>NC_000003.12:108251028-108554058 GCF_000001405.40 Homo sapiens
TCCAGTCAGATCATACCCCCTGGCATCACCTCATTACAAGATCCAATCAGGTCACAGCTCATTACCCTATGCTTATAAAACCTGATCCAGCCCCCAGCTTGGGGAAACACTGCTTTGGGAACTAATGCCCAGTGTTCTCCTTACTTGTTACAAGTAATAAAATCCCCTTATTAAATCCTCCTTGGTTGTGGTCATCGGACTGATACCCCCTAAACGACCGAACCTACTCATTGTGTGGGTAACATGCCTAGTTGAGTTTCTCGTTTTTACACCTTGTCCTAGAATCTGTTTAATAATCACTTATCAGGTATAACATAGAGAACACAGGAAACAGTTGCTTGCTAAGTAATTGTTTTGATTCTCTCTCCTTCATGACAGCTAGCATTTAAGAACTTATTATGTGTGAGGCGTAGTGCCAAGGTTCGAAGTACAGTGTTTTATATATCTGATTTAGATATTACCTTGCTTAAGCCTTAAAAGAGATCTCGTGCTTTGTAGATGAGGACACTGAAGCTCAGATTGCCCAAGGTCACACAGCTGGTATGTGGTGGGATGTATTTGACACAAGGTCTCTAATGACAAAGCCATAATCTTTCTACTACAAAGTGAACATTACCATACTTCTCCCATACCACAGTACTTGGCTAATATAGCAGCCCCTAACAGAATTATTTATGTAATAACTATACAAATTAGACAAATAATTATACAAAAAAACTCCATTCCCCAGCTCTTCAGTGAAATTCTTTTATAGAATTAAACTTAATTTTGAGGTAATTTTAGATTCACATGCAGTTGTAAGAACAATACAAAGAGATCAGATATACCCTTTACCCAGCATACCCCAATGGTAACATCTTGCAAAACTATTGTAGTACAATATTGTCACTACATTATTGACATTGATACAGTCAAAATACAAACATTTCCATCACCACAAGGATCCCCCATGCTGACCTTTTGTAGCCACATCCACCTTCCTTCCTATACCACTTAACCTCTGGCAACTACTAAGCTGTTCTCTATTTGTATAATCTATCATTTTAAAAATGTTAAGTGAATAGACTCATACAACAGGCAAACTTTGGGGACTGGCTTTTTAAACTTAACCTAATTCTCTGGTGATTCATCTAGGTTCCTGTAGATAGCAATAGTTGATTCCTTTTTATTGCTGAGTAGTATTTTATGGCGTGGAAGTGTCACAGTTTATTTAACCATTCACCTATTGCAGGATATCTGAGTTATTTCCAATTTTTGGCTATTATACATAAAATTGCTAGGAACACTACTGTATACATTTCTGTGTGACTATAAGTTATTATTTATCTGTGATAAATGCTCAGGGGCACAATTGCTGAGCTATTTGGTAGTTGCATGTTGTGTTTTCAATGAAACTGCCAAACTGTTTCCGAGAGTTGCTCTATCACTTTATATTTTCATCAGCAACGTATGAATGATCCAGTTTCTCTACATCCTGGTCAGTGTTTGGTGTTGTCATCATTTTCTATTTTAGCCATTCTGAAAGGTATGTAGTTATATCTCATTGTGATTTTAATTTGTGTTTCTTTGATGTCCAATAATGTTAAACATCTTTTCAGGGGCCTATTTGATATCTGTATATCCTCTTGGATGCAATGTCTTTTTATGTCTTTTGCTCATTATCTCATTGTAGTCTTTGCTTTTTCACTATTATTGCATTTATTCAAGATACTAGTACTTTGCCAGAAATGTGCTTTACAAATATTTTCTCTCAGCCTGTAGATTGGTTTTTTATTCTTTCTCTTTTTTTAAAGACAGGCTCTCACTCTGTTGCCCAAGCTGGAGTGCAGTGGCATGATCATGGCTCAATTCAGCCTTGACCTTATGGGCTCAAGAGATCCTCCTGCTTCAGCCTCCTAAGTAGCTGGACTACAGACATGAGCCACCATGCCCAGCTATGAATAATTTAAAATTTTTTGTAGAGATGGGATCTCACTATGTTGCCCAGGCTAGTCTCAAACTCCTGGCCTCATGCAGTCCTCCTGCTTTGGCCTCCCAAAGTGTTGGTATTACACAGTGGTGCCTAGTCTCTCTTAATGGAGTTTTTCACAGGGTGAAAGTTTTAAATTTTGATGAAGCCCAATTTGAAACTTTTTTTTTTCATGGAATCATGCTTTTAGTGTCAAGCTCAAGAACTTTTTGCCTAGCTTTAGCTCCTGAAGAGTTTATCATATTTTTTTCCTAAAAAGTTTTACAGTTTTATATTTTACATTTAAGGCCAGGCTTATCTTCGACATTTACTATCCTAGTGCTAGAATCAGCAGTTTCTCCAAGGAGCCCCTGTTTCTTTTATTGGAGAAAGGTATTAGAAACCAAGATCTGGGTGCTAGGCATGCTCATTGTTGTTGAGGTGTCATTGCTTTTAGGTTCTGTCAGTCCACAAAGGAAGAAAATACACTAACCCATGTACTAAAGTTTTCATATATGTTTCAATAAATATTTTATATGCAAATATCTATATTTATATTAAGCTAAACATGAGTTTATATTGATATTGATGTCTTCCACTCTACTCTATTGCCACATGGATCGTTCTATCTTCCTTTCTTTGCTTACTTGTAAATTCCCAATACTGAGAAAATTGACTCCTGTTATGTACCATCTATTTACTTATTCATTCTAGTATCCATGTGTAGAGGTATCAGAATTGTTGGGCTGTACCCCAGTGAGAAATAACTTTACTAACTAGAGTACAGTGTATATGTACAGTAACTTTTGCTTTAGTGTTGGAGACTCCACTCATTTCCAAAGTTACTTAGGTCAACACCTATTTCCTCACCCTCTTCAGTGAGATTGTTCCATACATTTGTAATACAATTGGATCATTTTATCACCATCTGCATTCTGTCCTGAGATTTCCTGACCTTCTAAATGCTTTTTTAAAATGTGGATACATTAAGGTTTATTCTTTGTGCTATAAAGTTCTATGGGTTTTGATAAATGTGCAATATCAGATATTCACAATTACATGATCATAAAGAACATATGCCCTAAAAAAATCTCCTGCACTTCACCTATTCAGCCTTCTCCTTTCTGGAAACCACTGTTCTCTCTATGGTCTATATAGTTTTATCTCTTCCAGAGTGTCATATAATTGGAATCATATGACACGTAGCCTTTTCAGACTGGCTTATTTCACGGTGTAATGTGTGTTTAAGATCCATCCATGTCTTTGTGTGGTTTGAGATCTCATTTCTTTTTTTTAATCTCTGATTAATATTTATAAAATTAAGATTCACAATATCCAATATAGTGCATATGGACACACCATAGCTTGTTTGTCCAACAACAATTGAGGGACATCTTGGTTGCCTTTAGTTTTTTGTGAAGATGAATAAAGCTACTATAGACATTCATGTGCAGATTTTTGTGTGAACATAAATTTTCAGATCAGTTGGGTAAATATCTATAAGCATGATTGCTAGATGTATGGTAAGACTATTAACTTTGTAAGAAATTGCCAAACTGTATTCCAAGATGACTGTACCTTTTTGCATTTCCACCAGCAATGAATGAGGGTTCCTATTGCTCCAGATCCTCACCAGCAATTGGTTTTATGTGCGTGTGTGTGTGTGTGTGTGTGTGTGTGTGTGTGTGTGTTTTAAATTTTAGACATTATAATTGATATGTAGTAGTCAGTTATATTTTTTATTCTTAAAAACTACCAAAGGACAGCATTTTTTTGTTTTTTTTTTTTTGGCAATGCAGGAGAATTTAAGGCAAAGATACTGTTTAAACACCGAGAATCACTGACTTGGCCTCCATCTTAAAAAATGAGGATTGGCCTCAATGGTAAGGAATTTGCTTTAAAGCCTGGGAGAGCTCATGTTTATAAGATTCCCTTAAATCTATGGTTCTCAGTCCTATCAGACTCAATGCTCCCTTACAATAAATCTTTGTAATGCCCTGTTTGCTATGCCAAAATGAAAGTTATCAATAATATAACCTAACTATACAGTTTTTAAAAAATCAGTGTAATACCGTTACATAAAAGAGAAATTTTTAAAAATTAAGAAATTCTATGTCCCAATACATAAATGTTCAGTCTTAATCACATTAAAAGACAATGAAGTAGTGAGATACCACTACCTTCTTGAATAAGTAGGTGAGAAGAGCAAAAGTCATTCTATAGAAGACAAACAGAAATTGAAGCAGTGATATCTTAGTCCATTTGGGCTGCTATAACAAAAATATCATAGATTGGGTGGCTTAAACAAACATTTCTTTCTCATAGTTCTGGAGGTAGATCAGGGTGCCAGCATGGTTGGGTTCTGGTGAGGGTGTTCTTCCCCATTGCAGATTGCTGAGTTTCCATTGTATCTTCACATGACTGAAAGAGAGCTAGAGAGATCCCTGGGGTCTCTTACATAAGGGTACTAATCCCATTCATGAGGGGGGCACAGACATTTAGTCTTTTGCAAGTGGTATGGGCAGACACTGGAATAAAATCTAGTATTACTCTTGCATATGAGAAAAAGAGGGCTTATTTGTATACAATGAGAGGGAACAACCCCAGTCAAAGTGTGAATAAATTATAGACTTGAAGTGGAAACAATGAGGATATATGGTTCTTGCAAATGAGCTCAGCATTACAAGTATGCTGTTAAAATTTCCTATATTATGATATAGGATATAATAGTGACAAAGTGTCACATCTCCTCCTATTTTGAAATCCCATTACATATTAGAGCGTATGTTCAGTCTTGACTAAAAAGGCATGGGAAGCTATATTCTTCAGTAGGCAATAGGGATTATAGAGTGGACTAGAAAGAAACAGTAAAATAAGAGGCTATACAGAAATTGTGTGGTCAACCATCAGGGATAGCTGTGAAATAAGAACTGAAAACAGACAACCCCAAAGTAATTCCAATGCTGGTTTCACAACACAAGGTTTTATCCTTGTACTATAAAAATAATATAAGATGGTAAAATGTGAAATTTAAAAAAAAATTATAGTGAAATGTAGTGAGATCTCCATGCGTTCTGATAATTTAATAATATTTAGCATCA
The DNA here is from genome assembly GCF_000001405.40 of Homo sapiens. Classification (NCBI taxonomy): domain Eukaryota; kingdom Metazoa; phylum Chordata; class Mammalia; order Primates; family Hominidae; genus Homo; species Homo sapiens. Next base: position 108,256,078 of record NC_000003.12, read on the forward strand.
AGTCACTTAAAAGAAGTCCCACATCTATTATGTATTTGCAATCTGCCTTGTCATTTTTGCAGTAATTTCACTTCTGCACTAAAACCCTTTTTAACTAATATGCAATTGGAAAGCTACACTACATTGAGTAGATGGAAAGCAAAGAGTAAGTAAATTATTCAATAGTTTCAAAATAATGTCTTTATCCCATTTAAGCTTTTCTCTCTGTAACATTCTTCACTTAAATTACATTGACTTCTTGCATAAATATATGCAAATATTTTCAGTATTTCATCTAGTAAAGTATCGTTGATTTATACTTGTAGTGGGTTTGGCGTCATGGGACATTAAAACATTGTGCAAGAGGGTATTTCCTGCATTGGATTGTCCTGTGTGTTTTAGAGTATCCAGCATCCTTGCTCCTACATACTAAATGCCTGAGCTTCCATGTCTCTGTCCCCAGTCATCAGACAACCAAAAATGCTCCTATGTTTCCAAGATGGCCCCTAACCTACAGTACCTGACTTGTTAAGAATCACTCAGCCTAAATCTATGGATTCTATACTTGCATGAAGAGTATTATAAGTTTCAGCTGTTTGATTTTATAAAAAGAAGTTTGGACAAATGGGTTTTGTAATGATTTCCTGGTCTCAGAAGAGGATATAATATATATATGTTTGATGAAATGGGAGTGTTGGAGCTGAGGTTAAGTAAGTGTCATATTTTTTAAAGAGGGGTACAGAAAATGTTCTTAAGGAGTAAACCAGCTATTAGCAAAGAAGACAGCAGGAAAGCTTAGATTAGAAACTAATTTGCTCTTATTTTGTTCTTGTTCTTATTGTTTTAGTTCACAAAGGTAGGTTAGCATAAGGGAACTAAAAAGAAAAACTGCTATGTAAGCATGTACCGTGTACCATGTACCAAGGCTCTGCTGATACTTCCAAATCTAATTTCATGAAGCTCTTTCAGGAGATTGTACTGTCATCACTTAATAGTGGAGAAAAATAGTTTTCTGAGAAATTATACCTCTGTTGCAAAATAGAATCTGCCAAAAAGAAGAACAAGGAGAAAACTGAATGTTGGAAATGGAGCATATTGGAAATTACCCATTCTGTTGAATAGACAAGCAGGCTCATCGGGTGAGCCACATCAATATGTTTTGAGGGAAATGGAAAGCATTTGTAAACTGGTAGGTCCAGACTATCTGTACTTTTTAACTTGATCTATGATCTTTTGTCCAAGTTGTAACAATATACCACTGTTGTACTTTGTTCCTTATGGGTAATAACAAAATAGACCACCCAAGGTTTAGGCTTTTTGATTCAGGTCTAGCTAGACCCTTGTTAAACAATGGGGTCTAAGTTTGTGTAGTAAACATTTCAATCTGAACAATGTAAGAGGTTTCCCCTAGTTCAGTTTAAAGAGTCAATGCAAGTGAAATGAATTACTTTCTGAGAGATTATGGACAGGAAACCTCTAAGTGTTTTATGTGCCACCCTTGGCAAGCTCTACATTTAGATTACTGTATCTCATGCTTTAATTCTGGAGTTTCAAAGGCAGTGTGCTGGAGCATGCTCCTACCAGCTTGTGAAGGTCAATTGTTAAATTTTTAAGAATTTCGCCTGGGAGGAGCCAAGATGGCCGAATAGGAACAGCTCCAGTCTACAGCTCCCAGCCTGAGCGACGCAGAAGACGGGTGATTTCTGCATTTCCATCTGAGGTACCGGGTTCATGTCACTAGGGAGTGACAGACAGTGGGCGCAGGTCAGTGGGTGCGCGCACCATGCACGAGCCGAAGCAGGGCAAGGCATTGCCTCACTCGGGAAGCACAGGGGGTCAGGGAGTTCCCTTTCCTAATCAAAGAAAGGGGTGACGGACGGCACCTGGAAAATCAGGTCACTCCCACCAGAATACTGCGCTTTTCCGACGGGCTTAAAAAACGGCGCACCACGAGATTATATCCCGCACCTGGCTCAGAGGGTCCTACCCCACGGAGTCTTGCTGATTGCTAGCACAGCAGTCTGAGATCAAACTGCAAGGCAGCAGCGAGGCTGGGGGAGGGGCGCCCACCATTGCCCAGGCTTGCTTAGGTAAACAAAGCAGCCGGGAAGCTCGAACTGGGTAGAGCCCACCACAGCTCAAGGAGGCCTGCCTGCCTCTGTAGGCTCCACCTCTGGGGGCAGGGCACAGACAAACAAAAAGACAGCAGTAACCTCTGCAGACTTAAATGTCCCTGTCTGACAGCTTTGAAGAGAGCAGGGGTTCTCCCAGTACACAGCTGGAGATCTGAGAAGGGGCAGACTGCCTCCTCAAGTGGGTCCCTGACCCCTGACCCCCAAGCAGCCTAACTGGGAGGCACCCTCCAGCAGGGGCACACTGACACCTCACATGGCAGGGTACTCCAACAGACCTACAGCTGAGGGTCCTGTCTGTTAGAAGGAAAACTAACAAACAGAAAGGACATCCACACCAAAAACCCATCTGTACATCACCATCATCAAAGACCAAAAGTAGATAAAACCACAAAGATGGGGAAAAAACAGAACAGAAAAACTGGAAACTCTAAAAATCAGAGCGCCTCTCCTCCTCCAAAGGAACGCAGCTCCTCACCAGCAACAGAACAAAGCTGGACGGAGAATGACTTTGACGAGCTGAGAGAAGAAGGCTTCAGACAATCAAATTACTCTGAGCTACGGGAGGACATTCAAACCAAAGGCAAAGAAGTTGAAAACTTTGAAAAAAATTTAGAAGAATGTATAACTAGAATAACCAATACAGAGAAGTGCTTAAAGGAGCTAATGGAGCTGAAAACCAAGGCTCGAGAACTACGTGAAGAATGCAGAAGCCTCAGGAGCCGATGCAATCAACTGGAAGAAAGGGTATCAGCAATGGAAGATGAAATGAATGAAATGAAGCGAGAAGGAAAGTTTAGAGAAAAAAGAATAAAAAGAAACGAGCAAAGCCTCCAAGAAATATGGGACTATGTGAAAAGACCAAATCTACGTCTGATTGGTGTACCTGAAAGTGATGGGGAGAATGGAACCAAGTTGGAAAACAGTCTGCAGGGTATTATCCAGGAGAACTTCCCCAATCTAGCAAGGCAGGCCAACGTTCAGATTCAGGAAATACAGAGAATGCAACAAAGATACTCCTCGAGAAGAGCAACTCCAAGACACATAATTGTCAGATTCACCAAAGTTGAAATGAAGGAAAAAATGTTAAGGGCAGCCAGAGAGAAAGGTCGGGTTACCCTCAAAGGGAAGCCCAACAGACTAACAGTGGATCTCTTGGCAGAAACCCTACAAGCCAGAAGAGAGTGGGGACCAATATTCAACATTCTTAAAGAAAAGAATTTTCAACCCAGAATTTCATATCCAGCCAAACTAAGATTCATAAGTGAAGGAGAAATAAAATACTTTACAGACAAGCAAATGCTGAGAGATTTTGTCACCACCAGGCCTGCCCTAAAAGAGCTCCTTGAAGGAAGCGCTAAACATGGAAAGGAACAACCGGTACCAGCCACTGCAAAATCATGCCAAAATGTAAAGACCATCGAGACTAGGAAGAAGCTGCATCAACTAACGAGCAAAATAACCAGCTAACATCATAATGACAGGATCAAATTCACACATAACACAATTAACTTTAAATGTAAATGGACTAAATGCTCCAATTAAAAGACACAGACTGGCAAATTGGATAAAGAGTCAAGACCCATCAGTGTGCTGTATTCAGGAAACCCATCTCACGTGCAGAGACACACATAGGCTCAAAATTAAGGGATGGAGGAAGATCTACCAAGCAAATGGAAAACAAAAAAAGGCAGGGGTTGCAATCCTAGTCTCTGATAAAACAGACTTTAAACCAACAAAGATCAAAAGAGACAAGGCCATTACATAATGGTAAAGGGATCAATTCAACAAGAAGAGCTAACTATCCTAAATATATATGCACCCAATACAGGAGCACCCAGATTCATAAAGCAAGTCCTGAGTGACCTACAAAGAGACTTAGACTCCCACACATTAATAATGGGAGACTTTAACACCCCACTGTCAACATTAGACAGATCAATGAGACAGAAAGTCAACAAGGATACCCAGGAATTGAACTCAGCTCTGCACCAAGCGGACCTAATAGACATCTACAGAACTCTCCACCCCAGATCAACAGAATATACATTTTTTTCAGCACCACACCACACCTATTCCAAAATTGACCACATACTTGGAAGTACAGCTCTCCTCAGCAAATGTAAAAGAACAGACATTATAACAAACTATCTCTCAGACCACAGTGCAATCAAACTAGAACTCAGGATTAAGAATCTCACTCAAAACCGCTCAACTACATGGAAACTGAACAACCTGCTCCTGAATGACTACTGGGTACATAACGAAGTGAAGGCAGAAATAAAGATGTTCTTTGAAACCAATGAGAACAAAGACACAACATACCAGAATCTCTGGGACGCATTCAAAGCAGTGTGTAAAGGGAAATTTATAGCACTAAATGCCCACAAGAGAAAGCAGGAAAGATCCAAAATTGACACCCTAACGTCACAATTACAAGAACTAGAAAAGCAAGAGCAAACACATTCAAAAGCTAGCAGAAGGCAAGAAATAACTAAAATCAGAGCAGAACTGAAGGAAATAGAGACACAAAAAAACCCTCCAAAAAATCAATGAATCCAGGAGCTGGTTTTTTGAAAGGATCAACAAAATTGATAGACCACTAGCAAGACTAATAAAGAAAAAAAGAGAAGAATCAAATAGACACAATAAAAAATGATAAAGGGGATATCACCACCGATCCCACAGAATTACAAACTACCATCAGAGAATACTACAAACAGCTCTATGCAAATAAACTAGAAAATCTAGAAGAAATGGATAAATTCCTTGACACATACACTCTCCCAAGACTAAACCAGGAAGAAGTTGAATCTCTGAATAGACCAATAACAGGCTCTGAAATTGTGGCAATAATCAATAGCTTACCAACCAAAAAGAGTCCAGGACCAGATGGATTCACAGCCCAATTCTACCAGAGGTACAAAGAGGAACTGGTACCATTCCTTCTGAAACTATTCCAATCAATAGAAAAAGAGGGAATCCTCCCTAACTCATTTTATGAGGCCAGCATCATTCTGATACCAAAGCCAGGCAGAGACACAACCAAAAAAGAGAATTTTAGACCAATATCCTTAATGAATATTGATGCAAAAATCCTCAATAAAATACTGGCAAACCGAATCCAGCAGCACATCAAAAAGCTTATCCACCATGATCAAGTGGGCTTCATCCCTGGGATGCAAGGCTGGTTCAATATACGCAAATCAATAAATGTAATCCAGCATATAAACAGAGCCAAAGACAAAAACGACATGATTATCTCAATAGATGCAGAAAAGGCCTTTGACACAATTCAGCAATGCTTCATGCTAAAAAACTCTCAATAAATTAGGTATTGATGGGACATATTTCAAAATAATAAGAGCTATCTATGACAAACCCACAGCCAATATCATACTGAATGGGCAAAAACTGGAAGCATTCCCTTTGAAAACGGGCACAAGACATAGATGCCCTCTCTCACCACTCCTATTCAACAGTGTTGGAAGTTCTGGCCAGGGCAATTAGGCAGGAGAAGGAAATAAAGGGTATTCAATTAGGAAAAGAGGAAGTCAAATTGTCCCTGTTTGCAGATGACATGATTGTATATCTAGAAAACCCCATTGTCTCAGCCCAAAATCTCCTTAAGCTGATAAGCAACTTCAGCAAAGTCTCAGGATACAAAATCAATGTGCAAAAATCACAAGCATTCCTATACACCAACAACAGACAAACAGAGAGCCAAATCATGAGTGAACTCCCATTCACAATTGCTTCAAAGAGAATAAAATACCTAGGAATCCAACTTACAAGGGATGTGAAGGACTTCTTCAAGGAGAACTACAAACCACTGCTCAAGGAAATAAAAGAGGATACAAACAAATGGAAGAACATTCCATGCTCTTGGGTAGGAAGAATCAATATCGTGAAAATGGCCATACTGCCCAAGGTAATTTACAGATTCAATGCCATCCCCATCAAGCTACCAATGCCTTTCTTCACAGAATTGGAAAAAACTATTTTAAAGTTCATATGGAATCAAAAAAGAGCCCGCATCGCCAAGTCAATCCTAAGCCAAAAGAACAAAGCTGGAGGCATCACACTACCTGACTTCAAACTATACTACAAGGCTACAGTAATCAAAACAGCATGGTACTGGTACCAAAACAGAGATATAGCTCAATGGAACAAAACAGAGCCCTCAGAAATAACGCTGCATATCTACAACTATCTGATCTTTGACAAACCTGAGAAAAACAAGCAATGGGGAAAGGATTCCCTATTTAATAAATGGTGCTGGGAAAACTGGCTAGCCATATGTAGAAAGCTGAAACTGGATCCCTTCCTCACACCTTATACAAAAATTAATTCAAGATGGATTAAAGACTTAAACGTTAGACCTAAAACCATAAAAACCCTAGAAGAAAACCTAGGCATTACCATTCAGGACATAGGCATGGGCAAGGACTTCATGTCTAAAACACCAAAAGCAATGGCAACGAAAGACAAAATTGACAAATGGGATCTAATTAAACTAAAGAGCTTCTGCACAGCAAAAGAAACTACCATCAGAGTGAACAGGCAACCTACAAAATAGGAGAAAATTTTCGCAACCTACTCATCTGACAAAGGGCTAATATCCAGAATCTATAATGAACTCAAACAAATTTACAAGAAAAAAACAACCCCATCAAAAAGTGGGCAAAGGATATGAACAGACACTTCTCAAAAGAAGACATTTATGCAGCCAAAAAACACATCAAAAAATGCTTATCATCACTGGCCATCAGAGAAATGCAAATTAAAACCACAATGAGATACCATCTCACACCAGTTAGAATGGCAATCATTAAAAAGTCAGGAAACAACAGGTGCTGGAGAGGATGTGGAGAAATAGGAACACTTTTACACTGTTGGTGGGACTGTAAACTAGTTCAACCATTGTGGAAGTCAGTGTGGCGATTCCTCAGGGATCTAGAACTAGAAATACCATTTGACCCAGCCATCCCATTACTGGGTATATACCCAAAGGACTATAAATCATGCTGCTATAAAGACACATGCACACGTATGTTTATTGAAGCATTATGCACAATAGCAAAGACTTGGAACCAACCCAAATGTCCAACAATGATAGACTGGATTAAGAAAATGTGGCACATATACACCATGGAATACTATGCAGCCATAAAAAATGATGAGTTCATGTCCTTTGTAGGGACATGGATGAAATTGGAAATCATCATTCTCAGTAAACTATCGCAAGAACAAAAAACCAAACACCGCATATTCTCACTCATAGGTGGGAATTGAACAATGAGATCATATGGACACAGGAAGGGGAACATCACACTCTGGGGACTGTTGTGGGGTGGGGGGAGGGGGAGGGATAGCATTGGGAGATATACCTAATGCTAGATGACGAGTTAGTGGGTGTAGCACACCAGCATGGCACATGTATACTTATGTAACTAACCTGCACAATGTGCACATGTACCCTAAAACTTAAAGTATAATAAAAAAAAATTTAAAAAAAAAGTGATAAAATTCTGACACATGCTGTAACACAGATGAACCCTGAAGACATTATACTAAGTGAAATAAGCCACAACGAATAACAATACAAAGTAACAAACAGTTGGATCAGAGCCACACCCTGATGACCTTTCCAGCACGTCGGGAAGCCAAGGCAGGTGGATCACCTCAGGAAGCCTGAGGTCAGGAGTTTGAGACCAGCCTGCCCAACACGGAGTAACCCCGTCTCTACTAAAAATACAAAACATTAACTGGGTGTGGTGGCTGGTTCAAACTTCATTATCTCCATAAAGGCCCTTTCTCCAAATACAGTCACACTGGGTGTTGGGGCTTTAACATGAATTCTGAGTAGACTCAATTCGTTCAACAGCATCATGTAAGAGGAATCATACAGTATTTGATTTTTTGGTGTGTTATTCTTCATGTCCTTATAAGAAGAGACACAGAGGCTGGGCATGGTGGCTCACGCCTGTAATCCCAACACTTTGGGAGGCTGAGTCAGGCAGATTGCTTGAGGTCATGAGTTCGAGACCAGTCTGGCCAACATGGTGAAACCCCGCCTCTACTAAAAATAGAAAAATTAGCTGGACATAGTGGTGGGCGCCTGTAATCACAGCTACTTGGGAAGCTGAGGCAGAAGAATCTCTTGAACCTGAGAGGTGGAGGTGGCAGTGAGCAGAGATTGCACCACTGCACTCCAGCCTGGGCAACAGAGTGAGACTCCATCTTCAAAAAAAGAAAAAAAGAAAAGAAAAGAAAACATACTTTCATTTCCAAAAAAAGAAAAAAAGACACAGAGACTTCTGTTTCTCCCTGCCACCTGAGAACATAGTGAAAAGGCCACAGCCTACAGCTAGAAAGAGAGCCCTCACCAAAACCGACTATGCTGGCACTTTGATCTCAGGCTTTTGGCCTCCAGAACTTCAGCCTGTCTGTTAAGTTACCCAGTTTGTGATATTTTGCTGTGGCAGCTCAAGCTGACCAAGGCATGCGAGGGACCTAGAGTAGTCAAATTCACAGAGACAGAAAGTAGAACAGTGGTTACCAGGGGCTAGGGGGAGAGGGGACTGGGAAGTTACTGTTTACTTACAGTTTCCGTTTAAGATGACAAAAAATTCTGAAGGTGGATGGTGGTGATGGTTACATAGCAATATGAATGTATTGAATGCCATTGAACTGTACATTGAAAGATGATTAAAATGGTACATTTTATGTTAAAAAAAAAAAAAAAGAATTTCGCCATGTGTTAGTTAAACTGTTGATAATTTAAAATCAGCCCATGATGGGAATATTTACATCACAGAAATCAGCAAGCCCTTCAAATCAAGTCTCTACTCCTCCCATCCAGAGCCGGTTGTTAAACATTTATCTGCATACTACTGTTATAAAATCATTCTCCTATGTTTACTGGCCTTTGCTTACACTCAAAGGATCTTGGATTTCTCAGGGTTTGTTTATAGGGCTTAAAGTCTTTTGTCATATGACAATCACTGAAAAAAATATTTGCTTTCTGGCTATAACCAGTTGGAATGAGGAAAATAACAAAGTTACTTATTTGGGGGTAGATGTCTAGTGCAGATGGTAGTGATAATCAATTTGTGGCTCATTATCATTAAGGCTTTTATCATTTCCATTTATCTTCATTCTTTACTCCCATTGTCCTCTGGTGTCATTGGCAAACATTCTAATCAATTTAATGTCAGTCCTCTTTTATATATGTTCTTGTAAAATGTGTACTGTTCTGCATAAATCTATGAACTTACAGAAACAGTTTGTCTCATTCTATTTTATTCTATTTAATACCGTTTACACCCAGAACTAGTTTTAAGGATTCTTCACTTGACTGCATTGGTGACCAGTTGCCCTGTGGAAAGACTGCACTAGTCCACTTCCCATCAGCCATTCTTGAGGACTTCCTTTTCTCAACATTCTTGCCAACAGTTAACAATTATCTAGCTTACTATTTCCAGGCTAATAGGTATAAAGTGATATCTTTTATAAATTTACATTTCTGATTACTTAAGAGTTTGAGCATCTTGTTATATTCTTGCTAGCCTTTTGGGTTTTCTTTTCCATAAACAGCCGATAGATATATACTTTGCACAGTTTTTTTTTTTTTTTTTTTTTTGCCATGGAGTTTCTGTCTTTTATTATACATTTTAAATATTAATCTCTCATCAATTTCATATCCTGCAAATATATTTGGAAGAACAAATTTAAGCACCATTAATAATCTATTCCTTAGAAGCCCATAATTTTATACTTTTTAGGGATGGTGTAAAAAAAGAAAACGGGCCAGGCACGGTGGCTCACGCCTGTAATCCCACCACTTTGGGAGGCCGAGGCAGGCAGATCACAAGGTCAGGAGATCGAGACCATCCTGGCTAACACGGTGAAACGCTGTCTCTACTAAAAATATAAAAAATTAGCTGGGCGTGGTGGCAGGCACCTGTAGTCCCAGTTACTCAGGAGGCTGAGGCAGGAGAATGGCGTGAACCTGGGAGGCGGACCTTGCAGTGAGCCGAGATCGCACCACTGCACTCCATCCTGGGCAAGAGTGCGAGACTCCGCCTAAAAAATAAAAAAATAAAAAAAGAACGGTCCCTATTACCTTTTCCTTCATCTTCCCCATTGGTTCTTTTATCAGTCAGCATTGATTAGATTATGTTGCACTACCAAACATCCCCCAGATCTCTGTGGCTTAAAAGAGGCTGCAAGCCTGAGTGAGAAATGAACTGTCAAGTATAGATCAACAGAGAGTTTTTGCTTGTCATAGTCGCTCAGGGACTGATGTATCAGCTATCACTTTAAGCATTGCTGGCTGCTAAGACAATGGAAAGAGAATTCTGGAGGGTCTAGCACCAACCACTAAATAATTTGCCTGGATGTGACACATATTGCCCACAAGTCACTGGCCAGGAGTAGTCATGAGGCCTTATGCATTTCCAAGAGAACAAGGAAGTAAAATCCTGCCATTTTCTAAGAAAGCAGAGCAATACAAACAGTCAACAAAATACACTAATTTGCTCTTCTGGCCACAAAATAGGCAGGTCACTTCTTTTTTTCCCCTACTGCAGACAAAACATCCTTTTTTGAGAGAGACCGCCCCAAAGCCACCTTCCGTCAGCACATACAACTCAAAGCCCAACATCCCAACTCAATGAGAGATAAAGTCTTTACATCAGGTCCAGGTGTGACTCTTCATTACCTGAAAACCTATAAACTAAGATGACAAGTTATTAGTTTCTCACACACTCAATATACTTTGCCAGAATAATGAATGGATAACAACAATAAACAGTCTTGTTCAGGTGGGAAAAAAAATGGGACACTTGGGGTCAATGGGATGTAGCAATTCTGAAATCACCCTGTACATATGTGCAGGCCCAGGGCCCTTTATGCTGAGGCTGGGGGGTTTCTAGTTAGGGCTCAATTCTACTTCCTGGGAGAAAATTCCTAATTCCCTGTTCCCCAGTGCCTATGGCTTCACCCTTGGGGAGTTTCTTGCTTCTTATCTTCCTCGGCTCTATCTGAGGAGAGCATGAGAGAATATATCCTTCTTAGTGGTCGAGAAGCTTTCTCAGTCTATGCTTTAGGGCCCAAGTGTGATTTTAAGTTTCAAATAGTCATCAAATTTTGGTCTAGTTTAATGCTTCTTTAGAGTCAACTATAAATGTAATTAGGTCTTATCTGTTGGATTACAAGCAGCAGCATGTGCCAATAGACATGTTCACAATTATTTTCAAGACTGTGCTACTTTTAATTAAGTGCTCAGCTTGAGCTTACAAGGTTGTAGTGGGAAAATCATAGCCTTTGTCTCCTTTTGCTCAGCCTTATTGTCCTCTTAAAAGGATGCTATAACCTTAACGGGCCCTGTGCTCTATGATAATTGATCATTCAGAAGTTTTAAGCTTTGGCCATGACTTTGATGTGGTTCTTGCTGTAAAACTAATTTCTAATAAATCTTTGTTACTCAGAAGCCTTCCCATTTTTCTCTTTTACCAGCTGGAGATGAGAGGCAGTGCCTTTCCCAATAGGGCAAGTTTCAAACCTTCCAGACCCTCTCTGTTCCCTTTTATTCTTGCTTGTAAACCAGCCAATTCTTTCCTGAGTTAATTAATTTCTTGTTTGTTGACAAATATAGCCAATGGTAACTAAAATTCTCTTTTCCAACCTCTTGTCTCACAAATACAAGTTTAGCAAGCATATACATGATCTGCCTACCACTGTGTCACAAGTGACATTTTTACCAAATGTTTCACCACTCTTTAACATGGATTGTTAACCTTCCAGCCTCTAACCTTCTTGCCACTTAACCCCTAGGTCAATGCCAAACAATTTGGGACTTTAGTTATAGTAATGCCCCATTTCTATATGTTTATTTGTAACATGATCCAGGTGTTCTTCCCTCCAAGATGGATGACTAATTTAGCAGTTAACTGTGAGGTCCTGCTGTTTACTGGACTATGTTTCCCTGTGTCACTGAGTTAGAAGAAGAAGACAATTAATTGGTTCATTTTCTTGGTATGGTTTGGCTGTATCCCCACCCAAATCTCACATTGAATTCCCACATGTTGTGGGACCCAGTGGGAGGTAACTGAGTCATGGGGGCAGGTCTTCCCCATGCTGTTCTTGTGATAGTGAATAAGTCTTATGAGATCTGATGGTTTTAAAAAGGGGAGTTCCCCTGCACAAGTTCTCTACTTGCCTGCTGCCATCCATGTAAGACATGACTTGCTCCTCCTTGTCTTCCACCATGACTGTGAGGCCTCCCCAGCGACATGGAATTGTGAGTCCGATTAAACCTCTTTCTTTTGTAAATTGCCCAGTCTCGGGTATGTCTTTATCAGCAACATCAAAATGGACTAATACATTTCTCTTAAGGCCTAATATTTCTGAGTCAGTTGCCCAAATATAACATTGAAATAACACTGAATGAATATCAAAATCTAAATCATCAGTATCTACAATTAATAGAGCTAATATCTCTTTTCCCCCTTGCTACAAATGTAGTGATATTGAGGAAATTCCTCATATGATTTGCCTTCTTACCGGACATTTTAATACTGGTATAAAGAATAAATGGATAACTTGGTAATACCCGTCTTTTGTCAAAATTTGTTTGCATAATCAGAAATTTTCAGGGAATTACATTGAGGTTACTCAGGGTCCAGCCTCATGGATTTGTCCTTTTAATGGATCCTTGAGTAATTTTAGACATTAGTGTATTGTAGTACATATTTTGAGACATAAGAGAAATGAATGATGCTCCTCTACCCTGGGGGTTGGGGTGGAAAACAGACTCTTTCATAAGGCTTGAGGGGGCTGGAACCAGCTTCATGTTTAGAGTAGGAACAGGACCCAGAACCATGTGACAATGCTAGGACACAGGAGGTGGATGGAGAAGGTAAAGAAGTCTGAGTAGGCTAGAGAAGGCCAAAGCAACCCCTAATTAACCACATATGAGCTTAACATGAAGAAGACTCAAGCTCCTCATGAACCTAGGTGGTTAACACTTGATCATTGATTATAAGAGCACAAACACCACAGAACTGGCAGATGGAGAGAAGTGACGACATCGAAGAGAAATGTGGGCCAGCTCATGGGATCCCTATGTAGAGCAGTGGTTGGCAATTTTTTCCTCTAAAGGGCCAGATTGTAAATACTTAAGGCTTTGCAAGCCATATATGGTCTCTGTCTCTCCTCTTTCTTCTTTACAATCCTTTAAAAATGTAAAAATCTTCATAGTTCCTAGGTCATACAAAATCAGGCTGTAGGCCATATTTGACCATGGGCATCGCTTGCCAGTCCCTGGTATAGTCTGGTCAAATCTTCGAAGGATCATGTATATTTGGAAGCCACCGGGGAAGCAAGGAGCATCTGCAGGAAAAACTCATGCCATATGATGGAGTCCTCATTGACCAACGTCTGTGCTATTGAAGATGTCTGTGCTTCTTTTGAAAGACCAAATCTCTAAGCACCAGCAGCTATGCAGAGGAACCTAGAAAAGATATGGATGTCCCCTTTCTCCCCACAGCTTAGTGGACATCACTTCTCAGAAACCCAGACAGTGGATGAAGAGAAATCTTCAAAATGTACCTTTAAACATGAATGCAATTAAATATTTTGAACTTGGCTGGAAAGAATTGTTGTTTTAGACCACTTTTTCTGGTGCTGAATGGTAATGAGGCTCCAGAGCTAAGAAGAAATTGATTATAGAGAAAGAGTTTCTGTTATATTCTTTCCAATTTGACTTTCAAATCTATACGTTTTTTATGAAGATTTTTGAATAATCACCAGTGAATATTAGGGGCAATCAACATACATCTCTCTGCCATGGTCACTTTGAGTGTCAAGCTTGCACACTGCCCATTCAATACCTCTTTTACTCTGTGGATACAGCTTTTGTACTCCTTTTGCCTTACGTACATTTAAACCTCTGATAAGAGATAAACGTATCTCAGAATCCCCAATTATTTTTAATCACTTTGTACAAGTGAGGTAAGATCTGTTTCCTAAATACTTTATTTATTTAAACAACTTTTCTAGACTGTGAAAATTTGGTACTTTCAAACCAATCCTGACAATACCAAACCCAAGGAAAGATACTATCAAAACTTACCTGATTAGGAAAAACATTAACACTATCTAGGCTATAAGAAAATATCAGAAAAAATAATTCCAATTACTGGAAACATTCAAGCTTTTAAAACATATCAAAAGTTCAATTATAAAAATAAACTTCAAAATAACTGCTATACTTGTAGTTTGCTATTCTCAATACAAAGATCTGTAGATCAAAGATGTCCTCAAATCTCGAGCTAATATCTATGAAGGGTTTTTTGGCTCCTTTAATGCCTTGTGGGTTTTTTAGCTTAAGAAGTAAGAACAATCATGCTCACTTTTGGGGCAGTTAGACTCTTTTAATTACAACTTTTGAGCAGTAACACTGGGAAAATGTCTTTCATGGTTTGAGAAGTCCTAGTCCATGTGTTCAATTTTCATGCCTCTTCTTTTGAAAGTCTTACTGGGGTTTTTTCCCTGGTTTTTACCTGTGCATTCTACCTGCAGACACATGTCAGGAAAGAGTTGCACAGGGTTTGAGTTAGGGTGGTACATATGGTATAAACCAGGTTGGGCCCTGTGGAATCCCTAGGGCCAAGGCAAACAGGAATCCCGGTACTGGAGTATGGCTGTCAAAAGTGTATATACACCAGTTTCATGTCTTTGCTGTCTTTAATTCAGAGGCAGCCCAGGTCCCCCTGCCTATTTCTATCCTGACTTTTCAGTACTGTAAAATTTGGATTTAAAAAGCACTTGCCAGTTTGGAAGGCTGAGGTAGGAGGATCACTTGAGTCCAGGAGTTTGAGACCATCCTGGGCAAAATAGCAAGACCCCACCTTTAAAAAAAAAAAAGCAGCCAGGTGCGGCGGCTCATGCCTGTAATCCCAGCACTTTGGGAGGCCGAGGCGGGCAGATCACAAGGTCAGAAGATTGAGACCATCCTTGCTAACATGGTGAAACCCTGTCACTACAAAAAATACAAAAAAAATTACCCGGACATGGTGACAGGCACCTGTAGTCCCAGCTACTCAGGAGGCTGAGGCAGGAGAATGGCATGAACCCAGGATACGGAGCTTGCAGTGAGCCGAGATAGCGCCACTGCACTCTAGCCTGGACAACAGAGCGAGACTCTGTCTCAAAAAAAAAAAAAGAAAGAAAGAAAAAGCTGAGCATGGTAGTGCATGTTTGTAGTCCTAGCTACTCAGGAAGCTGAGGCAGGAGGGTCACTTGAATCCAAGAGTTTGAGGTTGCAGTGAACTATGATTCTACCACTGCCCTCCAGCCTGGGAGACAGTGTGAGACCCTATCTCTAAAATTTAAAAAAATTTAAAAATGATACTTGCATTTTATCTCTTGGTCTTATATACAGTAAGATTATATACTTGAGATGACTTAGGCATCTTCAGAAAAACTTGAGCCAGCTGTTTTTCAGAGACAAGTTACTGTTTTAACAGGATCTCTACGAGATAGGCAGAAATTCTTTGAAGGGCATGTAGTATGTGCATCTGGGAATGATTCTGTCCTGGTCAGTCCCTAGTGTATCCAGTTACTCCTTGTCTGACCAATCCTTGAGCAATAGAGAGTATAACAATGAATGGTTCTGGACATGTTTAAATTTTGGGCATGAGTGAACTTCACGCAGTTAGTGATCTTCTTGAAGTTAGCATTTGACTTGTAGGTCAATTCACCCCAGCAAGATCTTGAGTCAGCAGTTGACCTGCAAGTTCTCTGGAGAATGCTTCTAATGGTTGAAAGTTACAACCATTAAAGTCTCTAATGGATGTAACTTTCCAAGTCTGTTAAGAATCTTTCTACTTTCCCAAAGGATTTGGGGTTAATAAAGAGTGAAGTTTCTGAATAAAAGACGAAGACTTTTCATAAACCATGAATAATTGCCCCCATAAAATGTCTTTCCCTAGCAATGAAGAGGATAAATGTGTTAGGATGGCCTGGATTGAAACCATGAAGACTAAGGTCTCTCTCTCTTTCTCTTTTTAAAAATTATGCCACTCTAATTGCTGTGACTTCAACCTATCCAGAAAGTAAACATGCTATTACTACTACATTTTCACTCATAGTGGACAATTTTATAAAATTTATTTGAAGATGCTCAACCAATTCTGTCGTTCATGGTTTCAGTCTCTGTCACTTTTACAGTTTTTTCAACATTATATTAGTTACAGATGAGACATGAAAGGACATATCTTCTCTTATTCTAGAAAAGTTTCCACATCAATGTTGAGTATCAGAGCCAATTTGTCTCAGTGGTAATAAATTATACAATGGAAGATTTTAGCAAAGTCCATTTGAAGTTACCTGCTGACACCAAGCATCCTTCCTGGATTTGACAGACCTTCTCTTCATGAATTTTAAAACCTGATGATTCCCATTTATTTTCTAGCACTGATGAGTACTAGTTGGCAGTCCAGATTTCTTTGGGCAATGAGAAAGGGACAGAGAACCGATGTCCCCAAGGCAAAACTATAAAGAAATTTTCTTTGTTCTATGTGAGTGCAAGTATTTCTGATTCTCATTCTTGATGAGGCTAGAAAACATTTATTAAATTCATGGTTGCATACCATATACCTGAGGCCTTATTAATCTTCTCTAGCAATGCTATCACATCCAGCATAGTGGCTATGATACAGGCTACTGTTTGGTTGAGCTTATATAATGCCTAAGGTTCTTGCCTAGCCACGCCAAAGAATTGGTGTAGCGGCTGACCTCGGCGAGTGATAGAGACACAGACTGAGAGAGAGACAAAAAGCTGTAGGCTTTATTGAGCAAAGTGAAAGTACAAAGCTTCCACAGCGTGGAAGGGGTCCCGAACGGGTAGCCAGAGTTAGATTCTGTGATTGCCTTTTAAACTCTTTTTTTTTTAAATGTAATATTTTTCTTTATTGTATTGACTATTAAGGCTTTTGTCCATTTTGAACTTTTTTCACTTTTGTGAAATGCATGAATATTTTCTAGTGTTGTAAGCATGTTTGTATTTAACATACCAACTTTTTATGTCTACCTCTTTCATCTTTATGTACCACATGTAACAAATTTTTATCACAGTGACTGCATGCGTCTAGTCTAAAAGTGTCAAAGAGAATTGACAGTCTTATAATGACAGCTGTCATTCCTTCAGTAACGTCAATCCAATTCCCTGGAGATATCCTATTATGTCCTAAGATCATTCCTCTATACTTTTCTTTTTTTATTTTATTTTATTTTATTATTATTATACTTTAAGTTTTAGGGTACATGTGCACAATGTGCAGGTTTGTTACATATGTATACATGTGCCATGTTGGTGTGCTGCACCCATTAACTCGTCATTTAGCATTAGGTATATCTCCTAATGCTATCCCTCTCCCCTCCCCCAACCCCACGACAGTCCCCGGAGTGTGATGTTCCCCTTCCTGTGTCCATGTGTTCTCATTGTTCAATTCCCACCTATGAATGAGAACATGCAGTGCGATAGTATGCTGAGAATGATGGTTTCCAGTTTCATCCATGTCCCTACAAAGACATGAACTCTTCGTTTTTTATGGCAGCATAGCATTCCATGGTATATATGTGCCACATTTTCTTAATCCAGTCTATCGTTGTTGGACATTTGGGTTGGTTCCAAGTCTTTGCTATTGTGAATAGTGTCGCAATAAACATACGTGTGCATGTGTCTTTATAGCAGCATGATTTATAATCCTTTGGGTATATACCCAGTAAAGGGATGGCTGGGTCAAATGGTATTTCTAGTTCTAGATCCCTGAGGAATCGCCACACTGACTTCCACAATGGTTGAACTGGTTTACAGTCCCACCAACAGTGTAAAGGTGTTCCTATTTCTCCACATCCTCTCCAGCACCTGTTGTTTCCTGACTTTTTAATGATCGCCATTCTAACTGGTGCCAGATGGTATCTCATTGTGGTTTTGATTTGCATTTCTCTGATGGCCAGTGATGATGAGCATTTTTTGATGTGTTTTTTGGCTGCATAAATGTCTTCTTTTGAGAAGTGTCTGTTCATATCCTTTGCCCACTTTTTGATGGGGTTGTTTTTTTCTTGTAAATTTGTTTGAGTTCATTATAGATTCTGGATATTAGCCCTTTGTCAGATGAGTAGGTTGCGAAAATTTTCTCCTATTTTGTAGGTTGCCTGTTCACTCTGATGGTAGTTTCTTTTGCTGTGCAGAAGCTCTTTAGTTTAATTAGATCCCATTTGTCAATTTTGTCTTTTGTTGCCATTGCTTTTGGTGTTTTAGACATGAAGTCCTTGCCCATGCCTATGTCCTGAATGGTATTGCCTAGGTTTTCTTCTAGGGTTTTTATGGTTTTAGGTCTAACATGTAAGTCTTTAATCCATCTTGAATTAATTTTTGTATAAGGTGTGAGGAAGGGATCCAGTTTCAGCTTTCTACATATGGCTAGCCAGTTTTCCCAGCACCATTTATTAAATAGGGAATCCTTCCCCCATTGCTTGTTTTTGTCAGGTTTGTCAAAGATCAGATGGTTGTAGATATGTGGCATTATTTCTGAGGGCTCTGTTCTGTTCCATTGATCTATATCTCTGTTTTGGTACCAGTACCATGCTGTTTTGGTTACTGTACCCTTGTAGTATGGTTTGAAGTCAGGTAGCGTGATGCCTCCAGCTTTGTTCTTTTGGCTTAGGATTGACTTGGTGATGCGAGCTCTTTTTTGGTTCCATATGAACTTTAAAGTAGTTTTTTCCAATTCTGTGAAGAAAGTCATTGGTAGCTTGATGGGGATGGCATTGAATCTATAAATTACCTTGGGCAGTATGGCCATTTTCATGATATTGATTCTTCCTACCCATGAGCATGGAATGTTCTTCCATTTCTTTGTATCCTCTTTTATTTTGTTGAGCAGTGGTTTGTAGTTCTCCTTGAAGAGGTCCTTCACATCCCATGTAAGTTGGATTCCTAGGTATTTTATTCTCTTTGAAGCAATTGTGAATGGGAGTTCACTTGTGATTTGGCTCTGTGTTTGTCTGTTATTGGTGTGTAAGAATGCTTGTGATTTTTGTACATTGATTTTGTATCCTGAGACTTTGCTGAAGTTGCTTATCAGCTTAAGGAGAATTTGGGTTGAGACAATGGGGTTTTCTAGATATGCAATCATGTCATCTGCAAACAGGGACAATTTGACTTCCTCTTTTCCTAATCAAATACCCTTTATTTCCTTCTGCCTAATTGCCCTGGCCAGTTCAACACACGCAAATCAATAAATGTAATCCAGCATATAAACAGAACCAAAGACAAAAACCACATGATTATCTCAATAGATGCAGAAAAGGCCTTTGACAAAATTCAACAACCCTTCATGCTAAAAGCTCTCAAAAATTAGGTATTGATGGGATGTATCTCAAAATAATAAGAGCTATCTATGACAAACCTACAGCCAATATCATACTGAATGGGCAAATACTGGAAGCATTCCCTTTGAAAACTGGCACAAGACAGGGATGCCCTCTCTCACCACTCCTTTTAAACCCTTTAAGGCGGGAAATATGTGCAGCGAGAAAATGCTACCAGAGCAAGAAACAAAAGGCAATTAACCGTTTGTGACATGTCTTAGATCTTGAGGAAAACCGGAATTGCAACTTAGGTTTTGTCTACTTTATGACCTTGCAGCAGCATGGCAAAAAAGACAGGATCTTACAGGACTTTACAAAGTATGTTCACAAGGAATTGGAATTGGGAGGATAGATAAGGCCTGGTGGTCACAGAAAAACAGGCAGTTAACATTCCTTTTAACTTTAGTTTTGTGGGAGGGGGAAGGGAGAGAGGGAGAGAAGGACACAAGGAAACTTACAGCAACATTTTTGCTGTTTATAGCTTTCTTGGGGAAGAAAACACATGCACAAATCCTGGTGCTAGGAATAGTTTAAGCATATATCTTCAATATTATCCATCCTGGACCGAAGTAAGTCCTGATGCAGGAAATGAGTAAGTTTCACAGCTTTCTGAGCCCCTACTCGACCCAGGAAGCCCAGCCGGCCCCTCCTCTCACTTGCAGTGGTCTGCAGTTTTTCTCCAGGATTCACTCAATTTCTTTACAGTCAGAGTAATAAGCTAAATGGAGATGTGATAGGGACCACCATGCTTATATCCTTCAGATCTTTAGGGATAGAACTCTTCTCTGCCACTTTTTCTGAAATGTGGGTTTTTTGTTTTTTTGTTTTTTTGAGACAGAGTCTCACTCTGTCACCCAGGCTGGAGTGCAGTGGTGCGATCTTGGCTCACTGCAACCTCCACCTCTCAGGTTCAAGCAATTCTTCTGCCTCAGTCTCCCGCGTAGCTGGGACTACAGGCACATGCCACCATGCCGGGCTAATTTTTTGTATTTTAGTAGAGACAAGGTTTCACCGTTTTGCCCAGGCTGGTCGCAAACTCCTGAGCTCAGGCAATCCACCCACCTCTGCCTCCCAAAGTGCTGGAATTACAGGCGTGAGCCATTGTCCCTGGCCTCATTTTTTACTGTCTATTGAGTGTGGGGTATTTCAGAGACTTCCACTTGATCTTCCCTACTATGATGGTTCCTACCAATAGAACCAAGACCCAATTTGAGAGTTATGCCAACTTCCAAGTATGTCAACCCTAGTTATACACTTGAAGACTAGTGAAATGATAACTGCTAGTCTCATTAACTAGCATTAATGAGAGCGGTAACTGCACCCTCATTAACTGCTAATTTATTTTGTCTCTAGAGACACTGCACCTCCTTGTAGGCTAAGCCCCCTAGGCTGCACCTCTGTCCCTGCTGGTTGAGACATAATTTTGACCACCTAGTTTCTGGCATATAAGCACCACCACCCGGTCCCCATTGTACCTCATTAGCTCCAATGCTATTAGTGAGCCAACCTAGACCAAGTAGATATACTGTAAGCCAGAATCTATTTATTATCTGGTGTTTGCATGCCAGCTCTAACAGCAGAGACTTGATTTTGATCCTTGGGTATCAGTGTCAACTAAGAACCTATATCTAAAAGTCCTTGAAATGTCTGGGTATTCCCCTTTTCCTTATGTTCAAGTAGATCTTGTTGGGAAATGACTGGTGGAATCATTACAATGGATGGTTTTAGTAGTTCATTTTCATGCTGCTGATAATGACACACCTGAGACTGGGTAATCATAAAGAAAAAGAGGTTTAATGGACTCATAGTTCCACATGGGTGGGGAGGTCTCACAATCATGGCAGAAGGCAAAAGGCATGTCTTACATGGCAGCAGACAAGAGAGAATGAGAACCAAGTGAAAGGGGTTTCTCCTTATAAAACCATCAGATCTTGTAAGACTCATTCACTACCATGAGAACAGTATGGGGGAAACTGCCCCCATGACTCAATTATCTCCCACTGGGTCCCTCCCACAATATGTGGGAATTATGGGAGCTACAATTCAAGATGAGATTTGGGTGGGGACACAGCCAAACTGTATCATTGTGACCCTGGTCCCTCCCAAATCTCATGTCCCCACATTTCAAAAGCCATCAAGCCTTCCCAGTAGTCCTCCAAAGTCTTATTTCAGCATTAACTCAAAAGTCCACAGTCCAAAGTTTCATCCAAGACAAGGCAAGTCTTTTCTGCCTATGAACCTGTAAGATCAAAAGCAAGTTAGTTATTTTCTGGATACAATGGGAGTACAGGTATTAAGTAAATACACCAATTCCAAATGGAAGAAATAGGCCAAAATGAAAGAGCTAAATGCCCCACAAAAGTCTGAAATCCGATGGGGCAATCAAATCTTAAAGCTCCAAAATGATCTCCTTTGACTCCATGTCTCACATCCAAAGTGTGCTGATGCAAGAGGTGGGTTCCCATGGTCTTGGGCAGCTCCACCCCTATGGCTTTGCAAGGCACAGCTTCCCTCCTGGTTGCTTTCACAGGCTGGTGTTGAGTGTCTACGCCTTTTCCAGGCACATTGTGCAAAGCCATGGTGCACCCCCTTCTGGGGTCTGGAGGACAGTAGCCCTCTTCTCACAGCTCCACTACACAGTGCCCAAGTAGGGACTCTGTGTGAGGGCTTCAACTCCACACTTCCCTCCTGCACTTCCCTAGCAGAGGTTCTCTATGAGGGCCCTGCCCCTGCAGCAAACTTTGGTCTGGACCACCAGGGGTTTTCATACATCCTCTGAAATCTAGGTGGAGACTCCCAAACCTCAATTTTTGACTTCTGTGCACCCGCAGGCTCAACACCACATGGAGGCTACCAAGGCTTGGGGCTTTCACACTCTGAAGCCATGGCCAGAACTGTACTTTGGACTCTTTTAGCGTGGCTAGAATGGCTGTAATGCAGGGCATCAAGTCCCTAGGATACACACAGCAGGTGGGCCCTGGGTCTGGCCCATGAAACCATTTTTTCTTCCTAGGCCTCCAGGGGAAGGACTGCCTCAAAGGTCTCTGACATGCCCTGGAAACATTTTCCCCATTGTTTTGGCAATTAACACCTGCGTTAATCATAAATTTGCAGTTATTTATGCAAATTTCTGCAGCAGGCTTGAATTTCTCCTCAGAAAATGGGTTTTTCTTTTCTATCACATTGTCAGGCTTCTATTTTTTTTTTTAACTTTTATGCTCTGTTTTTCTTTTAAAACTGAATGCATTTAACAGCACCTAACTCACCTCTTGAATGCTTTGCTGCTTAGAAATTTCTTCTGCCAGATACTCTAGATCATCTCTCTCAAGTTCAATGTTCCACAAATCTCTAGGGCAGGGGCAAAATGCTGCCATTCTCTTTGCTAAAACATAGCAACAGTCACTTTTACTGCAGTTTCCAACAAGTTTCTCATCTCCATCTGAGACCACCTCAGCCTGGATTTTATTGTCTATATCATCAGCATTTTGATCAAAGCTATTCAACAAGTCTCTAGGAAGTTCCAAACTTTCCCACATTTTCCTGTCTTCTTCTGAGCCCTTCAAACTGTTCCAACATCTGCCTGTTACCCAGTTCCAAAGTTGCTTGCACATTTTCAGGTATCTTTACAGTAGCACCCCACTCCTGGTACCAATTTACTGTGTTTGTTCTCACACTGCTAATAAAGACATACCTGAGACTGGGTAATTTATAAAGAAAAAGAGGTTTAATGGACTCACCGTTCCACGTGGCTGGGGAGGCCTTAATCATGGCGGAAGGCAAAAGTCATGTCTTACATAGTGGCAGACAAGAGAGAATGAGAACCAAGCGAAAGATGTTTCCCTTTATAAAACCATCAGATCTCATAAGACTTATTCACTACCACAAGAACAGCAGGGAGGAAACTCCCCCATGATTCAATTCTCTCCCACCAGTTCTCTCCTATGTCATGTGGGAATTATGGGAGCTACAATTCAAGATGAGATTTGGGTGGGGACACAGCCAAACCATATCACTAATGAATTCTTGCAGTTCATTTGGGACTCAATTTCTCTTCTCCCTTAAGAAACCTGGCACACCATCAGCTGGCTTGTGCTGTGACTTAACCCTAGTTATCAGCCTAAAATCTAGGAGACAAAATGTGGTCATTTCCTGAAATGAGTGCCTGATGCCTTGTGAGGAAGAATCCTTTGAAGAATCTTCCTGCATGAGGTCAAAGTTAGCCTTTAATAGGGAGGACTGGGCCATTTTTATAAGTTCTGTCTCAGGGTGTCCTCAGAGCCACAGTTCACAAGGACACCCATCCAGACACCTTTTTACCATGTTTTCCCAAACAGGGCCTTGTCTTTAGCATTGCAAACATTATCTTAGCTGAGCATTATCTTGAAAGCAAGATAATGATAATTATTGCTTTCAATAGTCTTTGAACCTTCTCAGTTTTAATTATGAGATTTGGAGTTTGTTCATTAGTTGGGTCTGCTCTCCTGTTCTGAAAAACATAAGGGCTTCTTTGTAAGTGACTAAACAGGCCCTCTAGTTCTCACACTTAGTTTTCAACCTTTTTAACTGCCTTTAGTGTCTCTTGACCCCTCTGTAGTTAGTTAATGCAACTTATTAATAACCAGCCAATTCTACTTTCCTTGTATATATTGTTACTCTTATTATCTTTTAAATGCCTGAGTTGTCCCACTGGCAAAGGTATACCTCCATCAGAATATTTATCTTGTCCTAAACACCAGTGAAATTTTCATCAACTGGGCCTCTACCTTGTGGCAGGGAGTAGCCTTGCCCCATATATCACTTAAGATGGGGTACTTCTTACCACCCGGCTGGTGAGTGACAAGTCCCCAAACTGCATCTTACTACCTGCCTTCTTAGACCATCCAGGTATATCAGTTGTGTTAGATTTGCCTTCCAGGAAGCAGTCACAAAGACAGAGATAGGAATGCATGAGTTTTATTGTTGGTAATGCCTATGAAACATAA
This sequence comes from Homo sapiens, assembly GCF_000001405.40. Taxonomy (NCBI): domain Eukaryota; kingdom Metazoa; phylum Chordata; class Mammalia; order Primates; family Hominidae; genus Homo; species Homo sapiens. Next base: position 108,280,616 of record NC_000003.12, read on the forward strand.
GGGGAAAGTAAACAGGAATAGGGAAAGCCTTCAGACTGTGATGCAGGCCTGACACCTATGAAAGAAGGCAGGGAATGAAAGGGGATTGGATAGAAGCAGCATGAGACTGAAGTGCAGCTTTGAGAGTCTTGGCCAGCTTGATAGAGAGCTCCAGAGCAAAGATTGCCTATCACAGGAGGTTTGCATTGGCCATAAATAGCTGTGCTTTGGGATCCCTGATGTTCTAAGTCATTGACTGGGAGCTGTCTAGGAAGGGTTGTCCTTGGCTCAAACACAGCAATAGATCCCAAAGGTGCTGCAGCTAGAGGCTGTCAATAGACTACACTCCTCATTACAGGTTCTCTCTTAAAAGGAGATCTGAGCAATGCATTTTTGAACTATTATGCTGCCAAATTAGGTATTAGCTACAGGCTAGGCATTACCTTTTTTACATTTCATCCCCTTCATCTAGAATTATTTCCCATCTGTTTGAATAACATTCATTAGAATTTACTAGAGAAGTTCTGGGTTGAAAAAAATAGTTTTTAATATCCTGTTTTCTTGAGAATGTCTCTAGGTATAGAGTCCAAGTTTTCTCTTTTCCCTACTTTCAATAAATCAACTGTCTTCTGTCTTCCGTGCTACTCTGATGGTTCAGTCACGATTCTAATTATCTTTATTTTGTAGATTATCTTTCATTTCTTTCTGACTACTTTCACAATGTATCTTTCTGCAACATTTATGATGTGTTAATGTGTGATTTTATTTTTATTTTTACTGCCTTGGACTTCTAAGTCTTGGCTTACTAGTAATTATAAAAAGTTACCAGCACTATCTATCTCTCCCTTAGGCTCTCACATCCTTTTGGAACTCTGGTTAGAATTCTGTTACTTTTTATTCTATTCTCCATATTTCTTGCCTTCTCTTTTATATTTATATATCAATCCTTCTGGGTGTGTTTTGGAAGTCTCTTCAGGTTAGACTTCCAGTTTAGGCAGAGCAAAAATAAAATGTATAGCTTAATTCGTGCTCTAAATTTCACATTTTATGTGCTGTAGTCTTCTTTTCTACATATTCTATTTGATTGTGTTTAAAATCTCTTAGTTCTTATTCTCTAAAAATCTCTTCTTCCAAGCTTATTTTTAAGGATCTCATTTCTTTAAACATATATGCTTTTTATTCTGATTGATAATTCTGATATCTGAAACCTTTGTGGTCTACTTCTGCTGGTTCTTACTCATAGTATGTTTTCATTATTATTTTGTGGTCTGTATTTTGATATGTGTGTGTGGATGCTCAATTTTCTGGAGATTTAACCATGGGAATTCCATAGGACCTGTTAAATTACTCAGAGAGGATTGATATTTTCTTTTCTCAGTAGCTTGCTGGTATGACAAATCCAGGAATTCAAATTAAATTCTATACTTCAGTTTTCCTTGGACCATACAGGTTATTTGAATTTAGACAGCAAACCTGAGAACTGGTATATGATTATGTGCTCTCAGGGAAGAATTTATTTTCTTTTCCCTTTACCTACAACTAAGTTTGAGAAGGTATGTTTCCTTGATTTCATCTTTTTTGGCAACTTTTTTTTCCTTATATCCTGAAAAAGTCAAAATTTTATGCAGGATCTCCCCCTAGGTTCCCCAACTAGATAGGCCATAGGATTTAGTTCTTCATATTAGCTCACAAAGAAGCAGCTCAAAAATCTCCAGAGTTCAGCAGAAACTGACAGGTCAAGAGGCTGATTTGGTGATACCTGAGTATCACCCAGCATTCCTAGTTTTACATAATTTGAAGAATTTTTCATATTCTTTAATTCTTTACCAGCCTGTTGACACTTTCTAAAAGATTTTTTAAAATATTTCTAGTCATTCTCTTAGATTCATTGGGTGGGGGTTTTTTAGGATATCTAATCTACCATACTCCTGGAAATATAAATATTGATAACTCTTTATCTATTTTTCATGGAGTCCCAATTTTTCCCTAAATGTTTCTTACTGGGAAATAAGATTGCATATTCTGGCAACTGAGTACTTTAAATAAAACCAACTTTCAATAGGAATCTAACTTATCCAAAAATATTTCTGTGAGAAAAGCCCCCTGTTAAGGAGAAAAGAAAAAGAAGTTAACATAGTCCAGGACAGATGAAGAACCTGTTTGTCACCAAAGGATTTTTTTTTCCCAAAGTAAACTTGATGCTTGCTATATTATCTAATATATCTTGATATCAACAAATTTCCATCTCTTTCTGGTTTACTCACACTCAATTTCTAGAACCTGCATGTTTCTTTCTCTTGATCGCTCATCTGTTCCTTTCCATCCCCACTAGAGTCCAAATTTTCAGGCTCTGTTTTGAATGTTCTTAAGTTAAAGCAGCATTCAATCCATTGGAAAGTAGACACCTACATTTCCACCGACCCTTGAAAGACCCTATTCACATCTGTTTCCCCTCCACCTCTCACTAAACCCTGTTGCCACACCATTGTCTGCTAAACCATGGCCTCAATCTTGAGTGTCTTATTCCTTGCAGAACACTCAACTTGAGCACTCAATATGTTGCAACACTTTAAATAAGTGTTTGAGTGGACTCCTTTTGATTGTGTGGTTTTTAAAAAAAATCTTTTCACATTCCTTTCATTCAATTAATGCTTATTAGTTTCTAGGCAGTTAACTAGGTGCTAGGGTGACAAGGAAAATAAATATGACCCCTGTCTTCAAGGAGACCTTTTAAATAAGTTACATAAAGAGTAAATAGTTTCCCTGTGACTTGAGACATTCTTCACATCCCTTGGTAACCAGAGAAATATAATCCAAAATCTGGGTAAACCTGGTTTCTACGGAGAACTAGGAGAAAAGAACAGATGAAGGTGTATCAGACTATCTGAAGATTGCAAGCCTATATTTTTGAGCATGAGAGTTCCTTCTACAACATGCACAACATGCACAAACAAAATATATTTCCACAGAGGAAAACATCTGATATTCACATAAAATAGCCTGTTCTTAAGGAATCTTATCTTCCAATTCCCTTGTTTATGGTAAATAAAAAATTTTAAACAGACTACTGGTATTACAATCTGGTTACCATATCTTAGGTTCCTCAAAACACTTGAGAGAATCTTCACCTTAAAATCACCTTGACTTGACAGAATGCAGAAGCTGAACCTATTAACCTTGAGATTATGATTTGCATACCTTGTAATTTTCTCCAGCTCTAAACCTGAACTAATTAAGAATTAGTAGTAACTAATAACTATTCAATAACTTAAAGAACCTATCATTGTACTTCATTGTTATATAGGTCTAAAATTAATTAAAAGTTAGTATTCTTCACCCAATAAATGATATATTTTTGAAATGTTATAGTTTAGACTTGCTATGCAGAGCTCTCATTCAACAATTTGACATAGAAGAAACAAGACTTCATCTATACATTACACTAGCAACGTATCTATAGTGCTGTTTTATAGTAAAGGAAAGCCTGATCTGTGATTACCAGAATGGAGTCCTGAGTTTTCCCTTGTGGTGGCTGTAACTCTTTTACAAGGTAGTCCTTGAGTTTACTGGCAACTGTCTCTACCTCTGTTCTACTGGCATCACGATAATCTTACTCCACCCTGCTGTGAAACACTGGGAAACTGGGAATAAGAACAGGGCAAGACCCATGATAATAGCAGGATGTTATTGCAGTTATGTGCTTTTTTTTTTGGTAAAAGGTGAAGATATTATTCAGAAGAGAGTGTTTATATGTGTAGCCACTTTGTTCCTATGAAATATATGTCAGATGTCATTCCCATTTTGTTACTGAGGAAATAGCCCTGTTGCTGAGGATGGGCCTAAAGACTCACTGTAAAATCATAATAGTATAGGAGGAACTTGCAAATGATTAGGCATTTGAATGTCTACTATGTGCTAGGGCTTTGCTAGGGAAATCACATTTGCCTATACATAGCAAAATCACCAATCCCAAGCGGGAAAGTCAGGGGTAGTTCTAATAGCGTTGAGAAGTTATGAGGGTCTGGCAGATATTAAGTCTCCCTGGAACTAGAAAATTCAGAAGTCTTTTGTGATATATGTTTGAAAGATCAGAAGAATGGTAGCATAGTTTCATTTCAAAGAAGAACAATTCAATATTTCAGTATAAGTCAAATACTTTTTATAGATTTCTTGTTTAATCTTCTAACCACCCTGTGAGGTAGATGTTTTCCCCCTCTCGAAGACTAAAAAACTGTGATATAAAGAGATTAGGTAACTCACCACAATCAGTAAAGTAGCAATGAAAGACTTCCAGGAAGATCAAGTTGAAGTACTTGTCTATTCTCCTTCCACTTAGTACAATAAAAAACCTAGACATTATATTTTACACACACACACACACACACACACACACACACACACACACGGCCCTAAAACATAGAGAAAAGGCCCACAGGCTAGGAACCCTAAGATCCAAGATCAACAGGTTGGGGTATTCCCAAGGCTTTCTTTTAGCCTCATATATCTCAGAGGTGGAACTGAAATGGCTAGCAAACTGGAAATGCCAGTGGGCATAGGCCAAAAACATCCTAACAAAATCTTTCTTTCTTTACTAAAACAATCAGGAAAGGGGGAAACGTAGCAAGGCAGAAAACTTTTAGTAACAACTTCTCTACTTCAGCCAAATATCACAGAAAAAGTGGTGGAGAACTTAGGGTTTCACTTTCTGGAGGCTGTAAGGTGGTATCAGGAGGCTGAGTAGGGAATGTGGACTTTCATCCTCTTAGGCAGTATCAAGGACCCTGCCCTCACCAGAGTGTCAGTGGAGGCTGTGTGGAGTACCTGGACTTCCACCTCCACTCTGTAGTAATGAAATGGCACCCCCATTTTCCCCTGCTGAAGCTGTGTCAGAAAAAAAACAGCTGAAACACCATGTAAAAATAAGATCTAAAGTCTCATAAATGAAAAACTTTCACACTGCAAAAGTATCTGTTAAGAGGATGAAAAAATAAGCTACAAACTGAGATAAATTATTTGCAAACCATCTATTTGACAAAGGACTAGTATCTGGAATGTATCAAATACTCTCAAAATTCAACAGTCAAAAGAGAATCCAATCTGAAAATGGGTGAAGGACATGAACAGACATTTCACCCAAGAGTGTATACAATTGGTAAATGATAGTCATTAGGAAGAGTGTATACAATGCTGAAAAGATGTTCAACATTAGTAGACATCAGGGAAGTGAAATTTAAAATTACAATGAGATATTACTTTACACCTATGAGAATGGCTAGAATAAAAAATACTGAGAACACCAAATGCTGATAAGGATTTAGAAAAATTGGACCACTTATATTGCTGGTGGAAATATAAATAATATAGACATTCTGCGAAACAGTTTGGCAGTTTCTTAAAAAAACTAAACATTCCAGCAATTGCACCCTGAGTATTTCTCCCATAGAAATGAAAACTCATGTTTACTCAAAATTCTGCACATGGATATTTATGCCAGCTTTATTCATAATAGCCAAAAACTGAAGACAATTCTGATATTCTTCAATGGATGAATGGTTAAACTGTGGTACAACCATACCATGGAATACTACTCAGCAATAAAAAGGAATGAACTGGACAACCATCTGGATGAACCTCCAGAGAATTATGCTGAGTTTAAAAAGACGGTCTCAAAAATTATATACTGTATAATACCATTTGTAAGACATTTTTGAAATGATAAAATTATAAAAATGTAGAGCAGTTTAGTGATTGCTAGGGTTTAAGTGGGCTGTGGCAATGAAAGGTCAATATGAGAGATCCTTGTGGTGATAGAAATCGTCTGTTTCCTGCCTGCATCAATATCAACATCCTGGTTCCTAGGGGCCAAATTGTGTCCCCTCACAATTTGTCCATTGAAGTCCTAACTCTCATTACCTCAGAAAGTGACTATTTTGGGAGACAGGGTCTTTAAAGAGGCAATTAAGATGAAGTCATTAGGATGTGCCCTAATCCAATATTTCTGGTTTCCTTGTAAGAAGAGGTGATGAGGACACAGACACATAGAAAAGGAAGACCCTGCAAAGACACACAGAGAAGACAGCCATTTACAAGCCAAGCAGAGATGCCTCAGAAGAAACAACCCTGCTGACATGTTGGTCTTGTACTTATATCCTCCAGAATTGTGAGGAAATCAGTTTCCATTGTGTAAGCCACTCGGCTTGTGGTACTTTGTCATGGCAGCCCTAGAAAACTAATACACTAGTTATAATATTGTACTATAGTACAATATTGTTGTTGTCTTCCAGGGAAACTGAGTAAAGCATACATGGTATCTCTTTATATTATTTCTTACAACTGAACGTAAATCTGCAATTATTTCCAAATAAAAAGTATCTTTGTGAAGTTATTCTGAGGTTCAAATGCAGGCCTGTCTGTTGCTAAAGTTTATGATCAAACTGGCCCAAACTTTTGACTCGGTCCTGTGTCAGAGCAACTAATTGTGAGGCTATCAGTTATCCAAACTATGAATTCAGACTCAGGAGTTTGACATAGAGTCTTAGCAGTGATGGGTCAAAATGTAGCATTCTATGGGGTTTTCTAATTTTCTTTCTTGTGGTTCATTACTTCTGGACTGCCTCCTTCCGCAGAGAAATGACCCTATCTCACAGACCCAGAGCTTTGCATAAGGAGTGACCTCAGTGCTGTTGCTTTCATCTGTAAGTGAAAAGGCCTTAGCAATCTTAAAGGTAATTGATGCCACATGGTGTTCTGAGACTTTCCAAAAGTCATACTACATAATTTTGAGTGCAACCATTTTGTAGTCTTTAGGAACATATTGCTTTTAAGATGTCATTGGCACCAAATTTCCCCTAAATGTAAGCCACCTACATTGGGTCTGCAACTGAAAAAGTAATAATCAGAACTAAAGAAATAGTAATTGTTTCCATGCTTTAAAAATAAAATAAAAATCTCCTGTCAGACTCAAGAAGCTTCTCTCTGTTCCTTATGTGGTAAGGGATTTTCATAAGGCATTTTCAGGGGTAATTTTGACTTCATGAATGTTTTGCTTCATATGCTGACTTTAGAAATTAACCTCCTCATAAAATTCAATCCCACTTTGCTATTTTGACATTTCCTTTGTTTGAAAGTATTCATTAACATTTCACATAATTGCCCTGTTTCCAGAGCAAGTATGTAATTTCCTACAAAATGAAGACCTCATAATGCATATCCAATAAAGTCCACCCTGTCTGCCACTAGTTGATACCTTAGCCTTATCAAGGGATTGAAAGAATGATTTTTCTGCTGTTGGTCCTGTTGGATCCTGTTGAATCCTGTTGGTTGTCTCCACCACTAAAATGTGACCACCAGCCACGGCCATTTATAGCACCTACTATTCTTCAGTCATTGTTGTTCTCTTTGTTATGAACTCCTGGCTCTTTTTCTTTTTTCTTCTCTTTTCTTCTTTTTTTTTTTTTTTTTTGAGATGGAGTCTCACTCTGTCACCCAGGCTGGAGTGCAGTGGCACGATCTTGGCTCACTGCAACCTTCGCCTCCCAGGCTCAAGTGATTCTCCTGCCTCAGCCTCCCAAGTAGCTGGGACTACAGGCGCATGCCACCATGCCCAGTGAATTTTTGTATTTTTAGTAGAAATGGGGTTTCACCATGCTGGCCAGGCTGGTCTCGAACTCCTGACCTCGTGATCTGCCCTCCTTGGCCTCCCAAAGTGCTGGGATTAGAGGCGTCAGCCACCATGCCCGGCACTCCTCGCTCTTTTCTGAATATGTATACTGCCAGTGATTATTGCCAAGTCAGCATATAGAATGTCAAGCAAATTGATTAGAGTACTTTCATAACATTGCCTTTACCGAGATGGCCATGTAAACAACAATCAAATTTTCATACAATTGGATGCTAGGAAAAGCCATGATAATATACCTATGAGAACTTACATTCCAGTAAAATGTGAAGTCAAGGGATGGGCTTATAGGAACAGAGGTATTTCACTCTCTGACCAAAGAGTAAATTGCACAGAGCTTCAAGAGGAATTTTTAAAAATGAAATGTGTGTGTGTGTGTGCATGATTAAATATATTTAGTCAAGGGATGGGCTTATAGAAACAAAGGTATTTCACTCTCTGACCAAAGAGTAAATTGCACAGAGCTTCAAGAGGAATTTTTAAAAATGAAATGTGTGTGTGTGTGTGCATGATTAAATATATTTAGTCAAGAGATGGGCTTATAGAAACACATATAAATATATTTAATTTAAATATATTTTTAAACATTTTTAAAACATATTTATATATAATTATATATATTTATATATATTTATTTAAATAAAAATATATTTTCCTAAAGGATTAAAAGCAATTATGTAAACAGCTTTCACTTTATAATTTTTTCAACTGAAGTAATCTGTTCCAACAAACTATAATTAAAATGTTATTTAATAATTTTATCATTATTAATCATGTGGATAATTCTGGTGTTCAGATTATAGAATAGTAACTGACATAGGTATCTCTATTCTTTCAGGGAAATGGATTACTTGGCTAATCTATACAAATTGTTAATGTGTTCTTTAGGCAAGTCATGGAATAAACTCAATCGGTTGCTCCACAGTGTTAAATATTTTAGTTACTATATCTAAGATCCAGAAACTGGGTCTTAGTTTCCTTTCTTCATATTTATAACATAACACATTGCCTCTCAATCTTTAGTGACAAGCAAGCACAGCAATGTTTACCCAGGCTGCTGATTCCTGGTATCTGTCAAATATTATAAAGTGATACTTGTTGGCTCTTGTATTAGAAGCAGTGTTGCCAACTGATCTGATAGTCTGCATACACTGAATAGAATTGCTCCCTTTGGACTACTATTTAGGTCTAGATCTGTCCTTTCCAAATCAAGAATTGTTTGATATTCAGCAGTTGGTTTTTCTTGATCTTGTGCTCGTATGCTGGTAGCAAGATTGTACTTCATCAAGAGTTTTCATTTATTTTTTACTCAATATCCTTATTGTACCAGAAATAAATATAAATGGCCATGTTTCATTCTTATAAAATTATTGAAGGACAAAACTCCCTTAATACATATATGCATATATAATTACACCTGGCAAATACTGATATTATTGCTATTTTAGAACTCAAAGCTATAAAGACGTCATTCTGTTTTCTCTCCTCAGTGAGGCTGTTTGAAATAAGCCATCAATATATCTAAAATAAGCCATAAGAATAATCTTATGGCTTATTTTACATCTTATTAGAAAACATAGTATGAAAGGAAGCCAGGCAGAAAGCTTTATAGACCTACCCTAGAAATGTCTTTGAGTAAAGATAGTTACTTCCAGCTCTCTCAAACCATCTGTTGAATAGCAACTTACGTGTTTTTCCTTATATTTATATATGCATCCTTCTTCTTAAACAATTGCTACCTTAAAGGTCATCACAATTCTTGTTATTAAACACCTAATGTGTGCAAGTGATACAGAGCATAAAAAGATTATACTTGGTTTTCAAATATTAAATCTTATAGCCTTTGTCTGTGATTGGAAATTAAAAAAAAATGAGTATTGAATTTCAGGTCTGGTGATTAATAGGGTAATGAGAAGAATGAACCAGAAAAATCGAAAGAATGTGTTTGTAGCCTGTTTCAACTGAGATTTTCCCAAGCAGAGCCTGAAATAAGTCTTTCATGCAAGTACTTTTTTTTAATTCAGAGAAAATGTCCTTTAATATAACCCTTTCAAATTGTTTTCTTTATTTTTAACTTTTATTTTAGGTTCAGGAGTACATGTGCAGGATTGTTTTATCGGTGAACTCATGTCATGGGGGTTTGTTGTACAGATTATCTCATCACCCAGGTATTAAGCCTAGTACCCCATAGTTATTTTTTCTGTTCCTCTCCCTCCTCCCACCCTCCACTCTCAAGTAGACCCCAGTGTCTGTTTTTCCCTTCTTTGCGTTCATGAGTTCTCATCATTTAGCTCCTACTTGTAAGTGAGAACATGTGGTATTTGGTTTTCTGTTCCTAAGTTAGTTTGCTAGGGATAATGGCCTCCAACTCTATCCATGTTCCCACAAAAGATGTGATCTCCTTCCATTTTAATAGCTGCATAGTATTCCATTATGTATATTACCACATTTTCTTTATCCAAGCTGTCATTGATAGGCACTTAGGTTGATTCCAAGTCTTTGCTATTATGAATAGTGCTGCAATATACATTTGTGTGCCTGTGTCTTTATGGTAGAATGATTTATATTCCTCTGTATGTACCCAGTAATGGGATTGCTGGGTCAAATGGTAGTTCTGTTTGTGGCTCTTTGAGGACTCCTCCCCACCTCACTCTATGAGGCCAGCATTATCCTGATACTAAACCCAGGCAGAGACACAACAAAAAAAAGGAAACTTCAGGCAAATATCCTTGATGAACATTGATGCAAAAATCCTCAACAAAATACTTATAAACCGAATCCAGCAGCACATCAAAAAGCTAATCCACCATGATCAAATAGGTTTCATCTCCAGGATGCAAGGTTGGCTCAACATACAAAAATCAATAAATGTGATTCATCATATAAACAGAACTAAAGAATAAAAAACATGATTATCTCAACAGATGTAGAAAAAGCTTTCCATAAAATTAAACATCCCACATCCCTTCATGTTAAAAACTCTCAATAAACTAGGTATTGAAGGAACATATCTCAAAATAATAAGAGCCATTTATGACAAACCCACAGCCAACATTATACTGAATGGGCAAAAGCTGGAAGCATTCCTCTTAAAAACTGGCACCAGACAAGTATGCCCTCTCTCACCACTCCTATTCAACATAGTATTGGAAGTCCTAGCCAGAGCAATTAGTCAAGAGAAAGAAATAAAGGGCCTCCAAATAGGAAAAGAGGAACTCAAACTATCTGTTTGCAGATGACATTATTCTATATCTAGAAAACCCCATTGTCTCAGCCCAAAAGCTCCTTCAGCTGATAAACAACTTCAGCAGTTTCAAGATACAAAATCAATGTACAAAAATCACTGGCATTCCTATACACCAACAACAGCCAAGCTGAGAGCCAAATCAGGAAGGCAATCCCATTCGCAACTGCCAAAAAAGAATAAAATATCCAAAAGTACAGCTAATCAGGGAGGTGAAAGATCTCTACAATGAGAATTACAAAACACTGCTCAAAGAAATAAAAAATACAAACAAATGGAAAAACATCTCATGCTCATGGATAGAAAGAATCAATATCATTAAAATGGTCATACTGCCCAAAGCAATTTACAGATTCAGTGCTATTTCTATCAAACTACCAGTGACATTCTTCAGAGAACTAGAAAGAACTATTTTAAAATTCATGTAGAACCACAAAAGAGCCTGTATACCCAAGGCAATCCTAAGCAAAAAGAACAAAGCTGGAGGCATCACATTACCTGACTTCAAACTATACTACAAGGCTACAGTAACCAAAACAGCACGGTATTGGTACAAAAACAGACACATAGACAAGTGGAGCAGAATAGAGAGCCCAGAAATAAGGCCACACACCTATGATCTTCAGCAAAGCTGACAAAAACAAGCAATGGGGAAAACACTCCCTATTCAATATATTGTGCTAGGATAACTGGCTAGCCATATGCAGAAGCTTGAAAATGGATCCCTTCCTTACATTATATACAAAAATCAGCTCAAGATGGATTAAAGACTTAAATGTAAAACCCAAAACTATAAAAACCTTGGAAGACAACCTAGGCAATGCCATCCTGCCATAGGAATGGGCAAGGTTTCATGACAAAGACACCAAAAACAATTGCAACAAAAGCAAAAATTGACAAGCAGGATCTAATTAAACTTAAGAGCTTCTGTACAGCAAAAGAGACTATCAACAGAGTAAACAACCTGCAGAATAGGAGAAAATATTTGCAAACTATGAATCTGACAAAGGTCTAATATCCACCATCTATAAGGAACTTAAATTTGCAAGAGAAAAGCAAGTATTTTATTTTGGGAAGTGAATCCAGGGAACAGGGGAGGGGCCCTTGAGAAGAGTAAAACAGGAAGGAGGGAGAGCTAATCCAAGAGTGTGCTGTTCAGCTGGCTATGCCTGTGGGTAACTGGGGCTTAGTCTTGGTGGGGATGCTTTAAGGAACCACATAGAAGACACTTCAGGATTGTCAACCAGAGAGAAAACAGGGGAACAGCCTGACCTCCATAGGCTAAAATTAACACTGGAGGGTTTTTATTTTCTCTGTTTTAGGAGTCTCACTAGAAAGCAGAGAATCCCTGGGATAACAAGCAAGACAGACGCATAGTACAGCTGGGATGAAGTGCTGGTAAGGGCACCTGTGTAGAGCCTGTTGCCTCAACAATGTCCAGGACAAAAAGGTGAGCCAAGGGGATGTGAGAGGAGTATGGCAGATGTTTAATGTAATGCCCAACTTTGACACTTATTCATTAGGTGTATCATTTGTTCACTCTTAGCACCTGTTTCTTCATCCTAAATGAAGCAGGAGGATCACTTACCCTGGCTGTTTCCCAGAATGATCATTAAGAGAGTTGTGAAAGCACTTTGAAGCAATTTAAAAGCTAACTCACTGCAAAACTGAAGGTGGTTGATGCTATTCTAGACCTGAATATGAAGCAATACCAGGAAAACAGAGAACTAAGAATAGATCACAGAGAGCATCTAGAAGGCCTCAGGAAGTCCCTGCACTGATGTGGCAGTTCTGTTGTTACATTAACTAAGAAAAAAATCAACACAGATGCCAAAGAAAGTAGAGTATATTTGGGAAAAAAAGAATTGCAATTCAGGTACACTGAATTAGGGCAACACTAAATAGTGTCCTTTAAGGCAAGTTCAGGTTTTTAATAGGAGATTTCTTGAAAAAGTTGTTTTGAGGGGCAATTCACTGGCTGGACAGAAATCCTAAATTGCAGAGCTGTTCTGAATTGTTAGTTAATTAGGGTACTCCCAGCTGAGAGATGTTGAAGTCCAGTGGATTCTGACTTAAGGTGTTATCCAAGTCTGTTGGAACCTTCTGTGGCTTAACATTTAGCAGGTATGAGTGCAGTCCTCTCTTGATCTTCCAATTCCACTTTAATGCCTAGGCCTAAATTACTTTATGTCCTTTCACAGCAACAATGGGCCAGGAAGGCATGACATGCACAAATGATGACAGGCACCACACTTAGCATCTTGGAAAATGAATATGTGAGTTTAACACCTCAAGGTTTTTAATAGCTGAAATATTAGGAGACTTTTTTGCTGGAAATAAATATTGATTGAACTGATTCAGTAAATGCCTAATATATGAGGACCGTAATTCCTTATCTCCCTGTCAGACCAATTTAAGATCTACATTTTAGCCATGTCTGTCCACCTCTCAGCTTTAGAGTTTAAATTCACTTTCTTCTGCAGTATTTCGACAACTGAAAGACTCCAGTTGGATGACTAATTTCAGCCCTATTTGATCTGAGGATGCAACCGGTAGCTGCTCTCACATCCTCAAGTTACATGACAGTTATACTTTTTACTTCCTCAGAACATTTGCCAACTTAATAAATGTTCAATGCCAACATTAAATTCTCCCCTGAGCCTTAGTGTAGGTACATGTGCATAGATATAATCAGGATTAACCATATTTCATATGCCGTTTCTTCTCCCAGTCACTTGAAGACATCGTGGAGGCACTTTGCAGAAGAGAACCAAAAGTGGTGTTGAAATGGTAACAGATCCCAAAGCCTAACAGTTGAGCTCTTGCAAGCAGTGGCCCTACAGGTTCCCCTAATATAGGGTCCTAATGGTTCATCCTACTTCCTTTCAGGTACCCCTTCCTGAAATGAAGAATATGTTGCAAGGGAAAGGTTTGTAACCTAAAACTGTTGATCTAGTCTTCAATAATGGCATACATATCATAGCCACTTTCTCTGTGACATAAATCTCAGAGAAATTGTTCTTTCCTTCCTCAGCCATTGATATTATTTAAAACCGTGATTCTATTTTTACCTTCAGCTTGAACAATCTCTGCATAACAGGTATGTTTGTATGCATACGGCATTTCTTCCTAAAACTTCAAAAATCTTCAAAAAATATGTAATTCTTCTATTTTCAAATTCCGTGAGAGTCTGCTCTCCTCATGTGTATGCTTTAGGAGCTCTGCTATTTCCCTAAACTAATATTACAGTGGTGTGATGTACCATTAACTACATGGCCATGGAGATTCAGAGGTGAAAGCAGGGATTGCCTGCATCTTTTAAGTCCCAGTTTGATTTTGATTTCATTTCATAATAGATCTTATTAATGATAAAAGTTGGCGGCCGGGCGCGGTGGCTCACACCTGTAATCCCAGCACTTTGGGAGGCCGAGGCGGGCGGATCACGAGGTTAGGAGATTGAGACCATCCTGGCTAAACCAGGAACCCCAGCAAAACCCTATCTCTACTAAAAATACAAAAAAATTAGCCAGGCGTGGTGGCGGGCGCCTTTGGCACAGCACACAAATCCCCTGATCATATAATCATAGGGCCCTGTCTAGCTTTATAGCCTTTGGACATTACTGACCACATCAACTTTAACCTCCTGCCACACATGCACACTCAGGGGAGAGGGCAAGGTACATTTGGGGAACTCCCCCTCCTCTTCCCCATCTCTTCCTTGACTTCCTTCTTCTCTAGTCAGAGTCATCCATAGTGAGCCTTCTGCTGCCCACTGGAAACTGGGTTGAAAGTCCCAGCTACTCGGGAGGCTGAGGCAGGAGAATGGCGTGAACCTGGGAGACAGAGCTTGCAGTTAGCCGAGATCGTGCCACTGCACTCCAGCCTGGGCGACAGAAAGAGACTCTGTCTCAAAAAAAAAAAAAAAAAAAAAAACGAAAAACAAAAACAAACAAAAAAGAAAACGTTGGCGTGGGTGACTTTGGGGATTCTAGGAAGAGCCCTGGCGCTTTCAACCCAGTTTCCAGTGGGCAGCAGAAGGCTCACTATGGATGACTCTGACTAGAGAAGAAGGAAGTCAAGGAAGAGATGGGGAAGAGGAGGGGGAGTTCCCCAAATGTACTTTGCCCTCTCCCCTGAGTGTGCATGTGTGGCAGGAGGTTAACGTTGATGTGGTGAGTAATGCCGAAAGGCTATAAAGCTAGACAGGGCCCTATGATTATATGATCAGGGGATTTGTGTGCTGTGCCAAGGCTTGGATGGCATCCTTTGTTCCAGACAGAAGGGTCCTGTTTATTGTCCTCCTAAGGTAATTTTTGTTCACTTTGTAACTTTTGCTCCCATGCACTCAGCAAACAGATATTGACCAGCTACTATGTGCTAGTAAGTAAGTGGTAGTTGTTTGGGATACAATAGTGAGTAAAGCATGACTCTTAGCATCTGTTGTATGTGCATGCATGCCATGCATGTGACACTGAGGGAGAGAGAGATTAAATGATATGACAGCATAGAGGCTGGGCACTGCCCAACTTTCCATGTGGAATTCAGAGAGGTCTTTATTTCTCTGAAGTTGAGTTTAAGCTTGGGTGTTCTAGCGACCAGAACTGTAATGGGAATTGTAGGTGCAGATGAACTTTGTGTAGGGTTATGGTTCTTTCTCACAGAACTATTGGCACCCACTGCAACCAGCTACACAATTTTCTTTACAACTCTGCAGCAAGCTAGACAGGTCACAGGCAGTCCAACCTCAGGAGGTTGCCTGTATCATGTTGATGGTGAAGCTGACACCATAGCATGGAAACCAGAGTCCACTGCTCCCACAGCTCAATGCTTAGCTGTTTCAATATGTTGTCTGAAACTGCATCTTCTAATTCCTGGACTTTTCAGATCTGTACTGACTCAGATCTGGGTGGGGCTTAGTTTGAAGGAGGGAGTCCTTGGTGATGATGTGATTTCCTTGGTCTGTCATAGGTAGCAAATCAAACGTACCTTGGACTTTACTCTCTGAGAAACTCATAGCTGAATTCAATGTTTATTCTTATGGACTACTTAGCATTTGACTAGACGGTATGAATTTCTAAGTAAGGTAAGGATTTCTTTCTAAGTTGTTTATACCTAGAACTTAAAAGTGGGCATGAATAAATCAAATATGGGTGGTTTTTAGTTGACACTTTATTTTCCCGTTAGGAAAAAATTAGTGACTGATCTTTTAAATTGATTTAGTGCATATACTATGTATTGTGCATATGCACCAAACAAATACTTAGTAAAAGGTTGTCTTGAAGGAACATGCTGATATATTTCAAATAAAAGAACTTAGCAAAAATGAGGAAAATACCTAACATTCTGGTAAGACAGTGAAAGAGGGATGAGCAATGTTTGTTTTGAAAATTATCTGCGAACTTTAAAAAAATCTCTAAGAGTGTATTCTTACTTGTAATTGTTCATCTAGTTACACTACAGAGTTTTATTAGCTGCTCCAAGATGCACTGCGTTCCATTCTGTGGTGGAAACAAAAGGACCGTAGTAGTGGTTATCTAGCAGAAGAATCGTGATCTTTGAATTCTAATACAAGAAACTTAGAAGTCTCCTAGATATTTCCACTGTCTCAGGGAAGAATCATTAAGTTTATGTCATTTTTTAATAACTAAAACAAGATTCAAAAAGTTAAGATTCAATTCTCATTGGGTTTCTATTGTTTGGGACTTTGGATAATAGAAAAAAATATGAACAGGTAATTTAGGTTTTTTTGTGTTACTGGTACCTGACAAAACAAACTTGAGCTTCCCATTTCCTAGAAACTTGGAGGAAATAATTTCTGTCCAGAATGGCAAATTGGTGTCATATCCCATTATAAGCATATTTTAATCAAAAGATGCAATAAAGTGTAGTGGTCAAGATCATAGTCTCTAGAGTCAAGTAATCCTTGGTGCATTTACCTGCTTCATCATTAACCAGTTGTATATTTTTCTCAGAGCCAGTTTCCTAATCTGTAAAATGGGGGTAGACTAGTATTGCTGTGAAGATTAAATGAAATTTATTAAAGTGCTTAGCAAAGTGCCTGGTATGTAGAAAGTGTTTAATAAATATTATTATTTCAGAATATAGATGTAAAAGACAAATGATTTCCTATATAATCATATTGAGTAGCCTGAAAGTTTGGTGGCTCTTAAATAAATCCATGAATGAAGGCTCTGCCTACTTTTGGCGTGTGGCCCACCAGCATGTTCTATCAGTTGGCCTGAGCTGGGAAAGAAACCAATTCCTGTGTTGAGTTTTCCTCCAGGTGCTTAAAATAGACCATAGCTTAATATTTTGATCATTAACCAGTGATTCTGGGTGGCTTCTCCTTGCTCTGGTCAGTGACCGGTGTAGGTCACGTAGTACAGCATTAAACAAGGTGTTTTTCCTCCTGAGGTTGTCATGTCAACTCTAAATTCCCAGAGACTTGCCTAGGAGTGGAGAGTTTGTTCTGAGTTACATAACCAGCATTCTCTTTGAGGCTTTGAATGTCTGTCTAACTGACTTCTGACTGCAGGCATGCAAACTTTTCCCCTGCCTAGTAGGAATGAATACCCCTTTTCCAAGTATCTGCATAGCAGCGACCCAGGGGCTATCCAAGAGCCAGTTGCTTCCTGACTTAATTTCTGGGAAGACCAATTGCCTATTCAAGAGAAATTCCTTCCTCCTTATTCTTCTGTCAGATGAGACTAGCTATTAGGTATTCCCTATCTAGGACTCTGACCTGACTCTCCTAGAAAAGAAAATGAGGATCCAAGTCCATTCCGTTTAACTGGGGCTATAAACATATGCCACCAGAAAAATCCTGCTATTCTGGCTTATTATAACTTTAGGTTCTCCTTTCTAACACAATACTATCTTTATAACATGTACACACCTTTCCTTGGTATTCAGTTGTAGTGTTTATATGTTCAAAATCCTTCTAATTTAGCCCCAACTAAAGTTTCCAGTATATATTTGCAGGCCCCTTTTACTGCACCATCTTCAGTAAAATGCATATTTCTCTTTCTTCAGCATAGGCTTCACCCTTAGAAGCTTGCTTTTCTCTGGATATTCATTTCCAGCAGGTCTCAGAGATAATGTACTGTATTGCATCTTTTTCTGTTGGAGACTAGAATGCAGTTAGCAGGTGCAGCTTGTTATAATAACTGCAGATTCAGATTTTTTCTCTCTGTAAATACTGTTAAATGTCCCCTCAGAGGCTCATTTTAAAATTGAGTAACGAATGGGGGCTTGTTTTTCCTTAGTCCTCGATCTTGGAATCTTAGAGTCTGTCATTGCACATTGCTGCTTACCATTTAGAGTTCAAACCACTAATTCCCAAGTGATAAGAGATTAAGATACAAACCTGAGATAGGCAAATGTACACTTGCAGCTTCCTTGCTTTAATACTTCTGTTTCAGGTGGGATGTCTTCTCCATGGCTATCCAGGTCTGTCCTAGACACCACCTTCGAGAAATGAGATCCTTTCTATCTAATTTAACCTAGATTAGAGACATCACCAAGAACACCTTCTGAAGGTGAAAACCTTTTACCTTTTCTTTTTGTCCCATACTCTATATTCCTTAACTGCAATCACTACAATATCCTGTCAATTACACAAAATTAATGTTACTATGACCAACTTTGATAATATTTCTATTTCCAAATTGACAAATTATATTCCTAATCTAATTACATTCATGCAAAGCTAGTAGCTCTGTAGTTATATCAACTTGGCAACAAGGAAAATAAACTTAGTTTAAAAAAAGACTCAAAAAGTTAAATCACTTTTGTAAAAGACCCAGAAAAAATATATATATATAATCATATAACTATTATAATACATAAATATATAAATGTTATATAAATATAATACATATTTATTATAGATAATAAGTGAAAAGGGTGAAATTGATGGAGTCAGAGCTTAGAAATCTTGTTAGTGTGGTGGGAGGAGAGAAAGGTGAGGAGTAGTCAGATTATGAAGAATTCCGTCAGAGTAGTATGTTCTGAGTTGCAAATTCAGGGGTGGAACAGAAAGTTCTGGGTGATAAGTGCAGGAATCTATGGAAATGCTACGCTGAGTGGAGTAAAAGTAACTAGTTTTGGAGTTCTTGACTTTTTCTTCCTAGAGTTTTAGATTTGCTGATAAGAGAGGAGGAAGGGACATAGAAAACTCAGATGACCCAAGTGGCAAGCATTTCTTAAATATTTCAGACCCATAAAGGTACAAATTATACTCTAACTCAACCTTATATGCCCTATCCAGCTCAAATACTATTGACATTCGCTAGGTACCATTTCGTGTAGGAGCAAGGGTCACTCTAGAATAAACTTAGATTCTCACAGTGAGATACAGAATCCCTAAAGGTACAGGAGCGATGGCTTGGAAAGAGCACAGTTGGATGACGAGAGTCCCAGCTTTATTTTCAGATTCCAGTGTGGCGAGAAGACGGGAAAATGAGCAACTCTTCTTAAGAAAAAGGAGATAGGGAAATGGCGCTTTGGGGAAAGAATTGAGTTCCATCTGAGGAGGGAAAGCAGCAGGAATCTGAGCAGGTTTTGGGTAACAGGCAGTTTATTGGGTAATGATGTTTTCAGAGTACACAAGGAAGAGGTTTGAAAGGACCAACAGAAGGGGAAGGCTGGGTGGGTCGAGGGGAAACAGCACAGAACCTGGGAGAGACAGTGTGTGAGAAGATGAGTAAGCAAGCGTCCTGTTCACAGCATGAAGTACCAGCTTTTGCAGAGACAGGAGGCAGGGTGGGAAGAAACAGCCCAGGGAATTCAAGGACAACCTGCCATGGGGTTTCACTGTATGCCTTTGTTTCATAGAAAGGATTTCACCACAAGGAGTTGATGAGTCAAAGATTCAGGTGCAAGTGATTTATTAAAATAGTGCTCTTAGACGAAACCAGTTAGGGGGTAGAGAAAGCCAGAGTGATGGGTAGATTAGGAATATAAACCAGGTGAGCCAATAATAGGAAAAGCATGGTTTGCTGGGGCTTCCAGGAAATAAGCTTCTCTCCTTAATAAGAAGCGCTGGTGAAGCTCCAGTTCTTTTCGTCTGGGTTTAGCGGTGTGTGAGGTCAGGCCTGAAACATCTACAGCCACTTCATTATCACGAGGGAAGCTAGGTTGTGTATAAGGTAAACCCACAGGAGGCAAAGCAGAGACGTGAAACCTAGTGACATACGTCCTGGGTAGAGCTGGCCAGAGGCTCCTAGAAGCCTCAGTTATGTTTCTCAGAAGATTCCCTTTGTTGTCTAAGCCAGTTCCAGGATGTTGCTCTTATTGCTTGTAACAGAAATCTAAATTCCCAAACACTTTATTTTAATAATGCTGTCATATTTATCTAAATGTTCTTTAATCTGGGAATTGAGAGTAATCAAAAATGACTAATGACATCAAATATTTACGTTTAGCTTCTAACACAGCTGAAATATTTCATAGCAGTACAATGAAATGAGAGAATTTCCTTTCTCTCATTTTCACTGAAATTTTCTCTTCCTTTCACTGGAAAGGAAGGAATTATACATGCACAATATCTCTTCTAATTTATGTCTTCTGATCTTGGAGTTAGTCTCCTTAAAATTTGAGTGTGAGGAGACCTAGGCCCTCCAAACCAATGTTCCCTATTGAATTTAGCGTTTTATTTTATATGCAAAACATTATATCCTAAGTGTGCTTTGTAGATTACATTTCTAATTCCTGTTCACTCTTGTGCTTTTAGTGTTGCATGCTCTGACATAGTTCTGCAAGCTGTCTTTGAAAAGCTTTTTACCTCTTCTTTTTACTGTACTTTTGTCTTCCCTGTGAATTCCAGAGACGTGACTGCAGAAATAGATGACTGAATACTAAGTATGTATAGGTTCTATTTTCCCACTTTTATTTACGTTTCTGAGGATTCCAAACACGTTTGTTGTTCTTGAGGCATTTCTTCTAGAGTTATCTTCTTACAGTCTTTTTTATTAAGGTAACTCCAGTTCAATTCTTACCCCTTAGTTCCTCCCCACCCCACCACAATTTTCCTCCCCTGCCCCCAATTATTTCAATTGTCCTTGTCTCTTATATTCCTATTTTCTTCCGTAGGCTAATTTGAGAGACTGCATTGTTTCTCTTTCCCTTTTGGAAGTTGAGGGTGGCCCGTGGTAGTTTTAATCTGCTTGGCAAATTCTTGTAATCTTTTCTCATAAGGATTCTACCCCTTTCTCCCTCAACTCAAGCAGCCTCAAGGTCATCTTGCCTCCTCCTTTCTTCTTGGAACCAAGCAGCATGCTTTACTTTTCACTTCTTCCTGCTTGCTACCTTAACTCCTCTATTGTTTCTCTTCTGCTTCTAAATTGGTTTCATCCGAGTGACTCGAGTGACTCGCATTTACCAAGTATTGCCTATGAGCTCTGTGGTTTGTGTGCTGCCTGTACAATATAAAAGGTAATCCACATAACTGAGCTGAGGTAGTGGGTTGATATTCTCATTTTAGAAGAAAGTTGAGATATGCTATAGTTTAGGAAATAAGACAAGTAATCTAGATTTGATTTCTGTGTTGCTATTTATATTAGTAATCTAATTCACACAAGAATGTATACTTGTGAGTTACATAGATCTGATTTTTATAGTAGGGAAATGAATATTAACATGAAGATTAAACAGTCTGACTTTAAAATGGTATATAAATGAGTTTGAAAGAGAAAATACCTGATTTCATTTTCTGTTCTGTTGTAGTAGGAGGGTTAGTCTTTCGATAACAGGTCTGAAATAGCATGATACCTGGAAACCATGATTACTGGAAACTGTAAATATTTTACCATCCAGGGTTCAACCTCCTACCCCTTATTCTCCTGACAGTACGCTGAGACAAACATTTTATTAACTAACATCTCTCTCAACATTTTCCCCTGCTAATTGCATTTTGATTGGTTCAAATTCCGTGTGGGGATTCCTTGATTCTGACAGTACAAGACATTCAGTTCTCTTCAAGTCATGTAATCGACTTTTTTGAATTAGTTTTCAGTTTCATTTTGTTTTCCCTAATTCAAGTTGGGAACACTTCATTTTCCCCAATTCAAGTTGGGAACACTTCCTTGGTATTTCCTTGCTACATGGACTTTAGCAAATGCTACTTTACTCTCCTTCCAGCTACTCAGGAGGCTGAGGCAGGAGAATCGCTTGAACCCGGGAGGCGGAGGTTACAGTGAGCCTTTTCCTAGTTTTACTGTTGGAAGCCTAACTCACAGGAGAGATTATGCAATACAGTCCTGAAGTCAAGGGAGGAGAGGTAGGAAGGGAGAGGGGAAAAGAAGTTCCTTGAGGGCATTTACTAGAAATGCCTCCTGGTGCTGCCTTTTCTGTTCTGGGCTAGCTGTCTCCTTGAAAACAGCACACACTAATAGGAAATTTAAAAAAAATCCTGGACTCGGTATGCTCTGTTGTCTTTTGTGGAGAAGTCAAAGCACCTTCTTTTTCTTCTCCACCCATGCCCCATCTCTTTGTTGCTTGTTTAGGCAAAAAAGTAAAATATTTCTTCCCCTTATTTGGCATTCAACTGCTTAATTCAGTTATGTCTTGGTTCTGAGTTTTCTGTATCAACTTTTCCTACAATGTGGAAACTTTAGATCAACAGATTCAATTCTGTCTTCATTTTAGAAAAGTTTTCTTACATTGTATTTATGTATCAACTCCTTGATTTGATGAGTTCTTGACTTCAGGGGCCAATATCAATTATCCTAATACTGTGTCATTTATGTGCTATAATGTAACCTCATCTAATTGCATTCAATTTATGTTCTATAGCTCAACCTCATCTAGTGCATTCATCTCTTTCATCTGAATTCATGAAGATATCACAAATCTTCCTCTACTTTGGCTTTCAGTGATATCACTTCTGTACTTTGCTAGCTCTACATTCTTATTAGTTATCTCTAGAAATTTTAGTCCATATTTTGTTTCCTCATATCTACAATCCTCTTCTCATCCTATCATTTTGTTTAGCTTGTTTTTGAGTACTTGTTTTGTTGTGTACATATGCTGGTCATTAATTTCTAATATAAAACATATAATTATTTTGTATATTTTTTTCTAGAGGGTATAGACCTAATTTAAGTGAAGTTTTCCTTTCTGTTCTTTGAACTGTTTTATTCCAGGTTGGGCTTTATTTTTTGGTCACTTGCATGCCATTCCTGTACCCCACCTATTTTGGATTATAGTGTATATTATGTAGCATGTCAGTTTTTTATTTTGCCCAGTTAGTGGCCAGGTAATTAAATCAGTTCTGACATAGTAGGTACGTGATGGGCTCTTGATTTTTTTTTCTCATTTTGTCTGAGACCTATAATCCATTATTGCAACCACCATCGCCACCACCTCACAGCAGGTGACTCTGGTGGTTGGGTATTTTGTGTTCTCTCATTTGCTTAGGCTGAGTTATTGGCAGGGGTGGAAATAAACTTTTTGTTAGATAATTGAACTGACTCTCATTTTTGGACCTACTGAATATCACATTCCAATGTTTATATCATTTAGTTGGTGGTGTGTATACGCGTGTGTAGTGTTCTAAAGGGGAATGCACTGGCGTTTTGAGTGGCTTCTCTCTGTTCAATGTATCATTGTATAAGCTATGCTCCCATTGTCATGTCAACGCCATTGTTTATGTTCCCATTTGTTTCCTACTCCTTCCCAGTCAAGAAAGAAAGAAGAAAGATTTCTCTCCAAATTTAGGCATTGTGTTACTTTCCTCAGGCTCCTTTAACAAACTACCACAAATATGGTGGCTTAAATTAAGAAAAACATATCCTCTCAGTTCTGAAGGCT
Source organism: Homo sapiens (assembly GCF_000001405.40). Lineage (NCBI taxonomy): Eukaryota > Metazoa > Chordata > Mammalia > Primates > Hominidae > Homo > Homo sapiens. The sequence continues at coordinate 108,304,327 of NC_000003.12, forward strand.
AGAAGTCCAAAATCAAGGTGTTGGCAGGCCCACACTTCTGAAGATTCTAGGGGAGAATCCTTCCTTGTTCTGCCAACTTCTGGCGACTCCTGGTGTTCCTTGTCTTGTGTCAATATAAGTTCAGTCTCTGCCACCGTCTGTGTCTCCTTTCATACCTCTCATAGGACTTAAGACACAGCCTAATCCAGTATGATTTCATATCAGTCTTCACCTTAATTACATCTACAAAGACCTATTTTCAAATAAGCTCCCATTCTGAGGTTCTAGGTGGATGTGAAATTTTGAAGAACAACCAGTCGATCCACTACAAATATATTAGAAAGGACTTTCAGGGCTTCAGCAACACACCACAAATCTACTGTGTCTGAGAGTGGGCTTCACCTCCCTACTAATGGTCTGTTCTGCAGATCGCTAATCTCTCTAGATCTGGTAAATTGCTCCTTCAGCCCAGGATGTTAGGGTACTTGTCCATGTTGCTAGTCTTGGGGGTACAGCATCATTCTTGTTAGTTTCACTTAACCCTGCCTGCAGCTGTATAAATAGTCACATTAGTAAACTATTGATGATTACCACAATATGTTGTCATATTTGCTGCCTGAGTAGGATTACTGGTTGACTTTGCATCCTTGCCTTATAATTGATTTTTACAGGGACTATTTCTAATGTTTCCCCATTGAAGATTCTGTCTGTTTTTATAGGGTTTTCAGACATATTCTTTGTCACATTAAAACCTTTTACTCATCAATGAGGAATTTGCAATTACTTTGTACATTATCTATTTTTTTCTGCATGGATTCAGATGATTGGTTTTTCAACTCTAATCTGCTTAATATGCTTTTAGCCTGGGTTTTCTAGAAAACAGAACCTGAGCAAGGATTAAAATGCTGATGCTTTATTTGGGAGGTTAAAAACTCAGGGCTGTGAGAGAGAAGGAAAGCGGAAGCAAGGCAAGGGAAGATGGGCAGCTTTGTAAACGGACAGATTACCATGCTGGCTACTGCTTCACGAGTAGTCAGAAAGACCCAGCAATTCTCTTGGTCGTAGCATTCATCAGTGTGAAGGACTTTTCTGAATGGGAATGTAGAAAACCGTGCCTCAAAGTCCTCCACGGGAGGAAAGAAGATGGGGGGATTCATCTGCCCAGATCTAGTCGTTCCTGTTGGTTAAAATTTACCTCACAGGAAATAAGCAGTTCCATATATCCCAATGTCATCATCTAGTCCCTTTAATAGCAGCTCAGAGTGCTGAGTCCCATGCCCTGCTGTATAGAGTTCCATTCCATTCCAGAAGTATCAGGAGGAACCAGACACTCCAGGTACATGCCTGGTTGGCTCAGCTCTGGGTGGTGGCCAAGGAGGAAGGCTTGGCACTCTCAGGGCAAATGACTCAACAGAGCCTCACAGTGACAGTTAAGGTCAGTGACACATTTGAGCCAAGGAAATCTGAGGCACACAGACTTTGGTCTGATACATGTGATAAATCACATTTATAAATCTTCTAATGGTAAATCTTCTTTGGATTCCTGGAGAAAACCCAACTTGGTCACTGTGGCAGCCATGAAAATGTGGGCTCACATCTGCTGTGGGGAGTGTGGGTGATTGCAGCCCCAGGTGCTGCTGTCTGGATCATCACCACCTTTGTGTCATGGCCATGACTGATCTCAGCTGATGCTCCACTGATTATTCATTCCCTCAGTGATTGAGCACAGTGGCAAGGCTAACAAGGGAATCCTCTAATGGATGACTTTGGTGCAAGGGTTCCCCAGTCATCTAACAAAACTTTCTTAGAACTGCTGCAAGCCTGACGTTCCTTTCACTCCATTTCCACCCTTCCTCTCTCCTTTAACATCACAGTTGGAAAGTTCTCCTCACTTCTGCTTTCCCCCTTTATCCTTCACAGGAATTTTCCTCACTAGCATCCCTTGAACATCGTGTCCCATCTTAGTGTCTGCTTCTTGTAGAACGTGATTAGCACAGTCATAATACATTATCTGTTTTAATATTGTTAGATTTGGTTTACAACATTTTGTCCAGATTTTCATATCTCTTTTCCTGAGTGAAATAGATTATCTTCTGTCCTCATACAGTCTTTTCCTGGGTTTAAATAATGCTGTCCTTGAAGTTTGGTAGAATTTGTCTGGAAAACCATCTGGGCCTGCTCGAGCTCTCCCTCTCTCTCCCTCTGTGCGTGTGTGTGAAGGTTTTAAACTGCTATCCAATTTCTTTAATAATTATAGGACTCTTTAAGATTTCTATTTTGTGTGTATGTCAGTTAAGGAAAGATTCTCAGAAAACTGTTTTTAAATCCACTGGCAGAATGTTGCTGATACTATTATCTTTTCACATCTCTGCTTTATCTGTAGTTAGGCCAACTTTTTTAACATACTACATTTTCTCACTTCATTTTGCCAGAAGTTTGTCTATTGTCAATTTGTAGTCTTGTTAATCAATTTTTGACTTCAACCTTTTCCATTGTATATATATATATTTTTCTATTTTATTTCCACTGTTATATTTTCCTGCTACTTTTTTGAATTTTTCTTTTTTTGAGACAGAGTCTCGCTCTGTCACACAGGCTGGAGTGCAATGGCACGATCTCGGCTCACTGTAACCTCCACCTCCCAGGTTCAAGCAATTCTCCTGCCTCAGGCTCCCAAGTATCTGGGATTACAGGCATCCGCCACCATGCCTGGCTAACTTTTGTGTTTTTAGTAAAGACAGGGTTTCACCACGTTGGCCAGGCTGGTCTTGAACTCCTGACCTCAGGTGACCTCAGGTGAGCCACTGTGCCCAGCCCTTTTTAAAAAAAATTTTCTAACTTAGATTTTATACTCATTTAATATCTGCTTACCTTTATTCCTTTTTAATACAAATGTTTGATTAAATTCTCCTTAAAACTGCTTTTATTGTATTCTACCTCTTTGTATATGTTGTGCTTTTTCATTTGGTTCTGAGTAATAACCATTTTTATGTTAGAATAATTTTAGAGTTACAGAAAAGTTATGAAGATATTATAAGAGTTCTTGTTGGCCAGGCGTGGTGGCTCACGGCTGTAATCTCAGTAATTTGGGAGGCCGAGGCGGGTGGATCATGAGGTAAGGAGTTCGAGACCAGCCTGGCCAACATGGTGAAACCCCATCTCTACTAAAAATACAAAAATTAGCCAGGCCTGGTGGCAGGTGCCTGTAATCCCAGCTACTCGGGAGGCTGAGGCAGGAGAATCACTTGAAACAAGAAGACGGAGGTTGCAGTCAGCCAAGATCACGCCACTGCACTTCAGTCTGGGCAATAAGAGTGAAACTCTGTCTCAAAAAAAAAAAAAAGAGTTCTTGTTAACTTTTGCCCAGCTTCCACTTTGTTAACATTGTATATACATGGTTCATTTGTCAAAACTTAAGAAATTATCATGGTACAATACTACTAACTAAACTACAGATTCTATTTGAAGGTCACCAGTTTTCCCAGTAACTTCCTTTTTCTGTTTCAGGATCCAATCCAGAATACCACAATGCATTTAGTAATTAGGTCTTTTTTTTTATTTTCAATTTTAATTTTTGTGGGTACATAACAGGTATATATATGTATGAGATACATGAAATGTTTTAATACATGCATGCAATGTAAAATAAGGACATCATGGAGAATGGGGTATCCATCCTATTAAGCATTTGTCCTTTGAATTACAAATAATTCAATTACACTCTTAAAATTATTTTAAAATGTGCAATTATGTTATTGATTATAGTCACTCTGTTGTGCTACCACATAATAGGTCTTATTGATTCTTTCTAACTATTTTTTGTACCCATTAACCATCCCCACCTTCCCCGCAACCACCACTACCCTTCCCAGCCTCTGGTAACAAACCTACTCTCCAGGCCCATGAGTTTAATGGTTTTGATTTTTAGATCCAACAAACGAGTGAGAACATGTGACGTTTGTCTTTCTGTGCCTGGCTTATTTCACTTAACATAATAATCTCCAGCTCCATCCATGTCGTTGCAACTAATTGGATCTCATTCTTTTTTATGGCTGAATAGTTACTCCATTGTATATATGTACCACATTTTCTTTTATCCATTTATCTGTTGATGGACACTTACGTTGCTTCCAAATCTTAGCTATTATGAGCAGTGCTGTAACAAACATAGCAGTGCAAATATCTCTTTGATATACTGATTTCCTTTCTCTTGGGTATATACCCAGCAGTGGGATTGCTGGATCATACAGTAGTTCAATTTTTAGTTTTTTAGGAACCTCCAAACTTTTCTTCATACTGTTGTACTAATTTAGATTCCCACCAACAAGGTATGAGCATTCCCTTTTCTCCACATCCTTGCCAGCATTTGTTATTGCCTGTCTTTTGGATAGAAGCCATTTTAACGGGGGTGAGATGATATCTCATTATAGTTTTGATTTGCATTTCTCTGATCAGTGATGTTGAGCACCTTTTCGTATGCCTGTTTGCCATTTGTACATCTTCTGAGATATGTCTATTCAAATCTTTTGCCCATTTTTTTAAATTGGATTATTAGATTTTTTCCTATAGAGTTATTTGAGCTCCTTATATAGTCTGGTGATGAATCCCTTGTCAGAGGGGTAGTTTGCAAATATTTTCTCCCATTCTGTGGGTTGTCTCTTCACTTTGTTGATTGTTTCCTTTGCTATGCGGAAGCTTTTTAACTTGATGTGATCCCATTTGTCCATTTTTGCTTTGGTTGCCTGTGCTTGTGGGGTATTGCTCAAGAAATTTTTCCCCAGACCAATGTCCTAGAGATTTTCCCCAGTGTTTCTTGTAACCGTTTCATGGTTTGAGGTCTTAGATTTAAGTCTTTAATCCACTTTTATTTGATTTTTGTATATGGCAAGAGGTAGGGTTCTAGTTTCAGTCTTCTGCATATGGATATCCAGTTTTGCAAGCACCATATATTGAAGAGACTATCTTTTCCCCAGTGAATGTTCTTGGTACCTTTGTTGAAAATGAATTTACTGTACATATGTAGATTTTTTTCTGGGTTTTCTATTCTGTTCCACTGGTCTATGTGTCTGTTTTTATGCAAGTACCACACTGTTTTGACTATTATAGCTCTGTAGCATAATTTAAAATCAGGTAATGTGATTCCTCCTGTTTTGTTCTGTTTGCTTAGGATGGCTCTGGTAGCAGTTAGGTCTTCTTAGTCTTCTCCAAACTTCAAGTTTCTCCTTTTTTGTTTTTTTGTGACCTTGACAGTTTTGAGGTATAATGCTCAGGTAATTTGTAGACTATCTTCAATTTGACTTTGTCTTATGTTTTTCTCATTATTAGACTGGGGTTGTGGGTTTTGTGGCAGAGTACTACACAGGTGTAGTGCCCTTATCACATGTAGGGATACATAATAGCAACATGACTTACTGATAATGTTAATCTCAATCACATGGTTAAAGTAATGTCTGTCAGGGTTTTCCATTATAAAATTACTATTTTTTCCCCCATGCTCTGGTTGTTGGAACTGAATGACTAAATCCAGCCCACACTCAAGGGGAGGGAAATTAAGCTGCCCACCTCTTGGAGGAGGGTAGTATGTTTATATATATTATTTGAAATTATTTGGTATGGAAAAAAGTTATGTATTCAACCATTTATGCACATTAGTGGATTATTTATATTACATGGATTTTTTATTCTTTGGGTTATAATCTAATATTATAATTTATTTTGCTGCTTAAAATTTCTAGCTGCTTTGGTCATTACAGGCTCTTTAAAGTTGATGCCTGTGTCCTTTTGACATACCCCTACTTTTTAAAAATTAGCACTTTCTTTCTCCTCCTCATGACTCCCCAAATTTGTATTCTTATACCGCTTATATTTATCTAGATCAGAGAAAATATATTTTTCCAGAGAGAAATTAGGCTAAATTAATAAAAGATGTTATATTAGTCCCAGTTTTGATATTTATAGGAAAAACAAGTCTTACATGAATAAAAAGCAATTATACATTTTACATATTACCTTCAGGGGAAACATACCCAAAGAATTCAAAATTCATCAAAAATACCTGTTAATATATTTGTGTTATTTTCATCCATCATATTCTGTAGAGATTAATGACATATTGTTCCCCTCTTATTGGAAAAAATCAGCTGGCTTAATTGTTAATTTTTTTGAAATTTCTTGGCAAGTCAGAGTAATTCATTTGGATTATCAAGAGAAATGTTCATAGTATAATGATCTGAATTCTGATTCTCACAAGTCATTAATCACTGAAAATGAACTGCATCCCACATCCACATTGGCAGTGAGAATAAATTTGCTTGTTTGTTATGATTATGGATTTGATTTCTCATCTCAGCACATATAGAACTGGATGCCCTTGTGGTACATCTCAAGGCTGATTTGAAAGCTTGAGAGACCATCAAGAATTGGATTTGGGGAAGAGGTGAGTATTTGCTATACTATATTTTACTCTATGTGTATAAATTCCTTGAACAGAAAAATTTTAATACAACATTTAAAAGACATATTCAGTCATCATCTTTAGCACAAATGAAGTTTTGGCAAATGTATGCAGATATTCCTACACAAAAATACTATTTCTTGCACAAGAAATAGTATTACCATTCACCAAAATGCACTATAAATCTGGTAGAGGGTTGTAACTTATAGACCTTCCATGTTGTTTTAAAGAAATATAGAATTAAGAACATTTACAGAAATCTGTTGTTTCTCACTTTACCAAGTGTAAATAGGGGTATGTGTCTGTATCTAGCATATGTACTTAGGAAATTGTTCTACTCATAACAAACCTATGGTCTTTTATCAGCGGTGTGATTTGCAAGTAGTAGAGAACAACACCTGGGAAGCTTGTCTTTCTGTGTTTTCTAATAAGCCTGTAATCATTTTGTTAAGCCCCTTGGGATGGCCTTGGTCTAAACTGCCTCTTGAGTAATCCCAAGTACTGACACAACTTTGCAAATAATAATCAAAGACACATGTAAATATGCCAACTAAATTTGGACCTATGTTTAATGCTTACTTATGTTATTTAGTGCACAGTGAAATATTTAAAGTGATGGCTAACATTTTGAAAACATCAAGTAATATCAAACATTAAGTATTATTTACCCAGATATAAGAAGGAGAAAATGGAAATTCAAGTGAGAGGAGCATCATGGTAAATCAGTCTGTGCCAAAATTATGAATGAAATGGAGCTGCATTCTTGATACTACCTTCAAAAATCCTCCAACTTTTCTAGAGCCAAGCTCTAGAAAAAGCTTATCCCTTTTTCTAGATTTAAGATTGGGTATTGGGCACAAGAAAGGAGTGTAGCTTTCAAGGTTGGTCTTTTCCATAGTTGAGAACTAGAAACTGAGCTAGAGAAATCATACATGGTATATACACATTTGATTGCAGTAACTAGGGCCTGACATAGATTTGATTACTTCTATTTTAATCTCAAGAGATGTCTATGTCCCCAAACTAGTTTACTCTACATCATAGCAGAGAAAATGGACAAAACACAGCTGTTTTGGTAAGTATATAACTCACTTGGTATGAACAGAATTGTGCAGATGTACTGCAGCGGTGTGTCAGTGTCTGCTTATCAGTTCTTGTTCTCTTTTCTGCCCTTCCTCACTCTGCTATGTGCCACATTGCAAGAAACCACATTTCCCAGACTGCCTTTCCCTCTGGCTTCTGTGTATGTCCAGCCAATGGCAGGCACAGGCGGAAAACGGGAGGGCTGGAGGAGAGGGGAGGGAAGAAGCCACGTTCCCCCCATTCACCATTCTTACTTCCTGAGGTGTCCTGCCAGAGGCTGCCTCTCTTCTGCATCCTCTTAGTGGCTCTAATCCCCCCAGACGGTCCAGACTCTCACCAGTTCCTTCTTCTGTTATCCCTCCAGCCTTATGGGTTATAGCAGCTTCTTGTTACTGCTAATTTCTGGATTGCCTCACTCACCCCTATTGCTTCCCAGCCATCACCCATGTGGCCAATTTTCTGTAAGATAATAAATTTCTTCTTTATCAAAAACCTGTGGTGTTTCTGCTCCCTGGCTGGACCTTGCAGACTACTAGCTATGTCAAGGGACAGGGAAAAGTATGAACAGTAGGGCCTGTTGATGTCCTGCCCAGATCCCCTTTTCTAGGCAGGTGCACCCAAACTCCAGCTGCTGTGAGTGCTGGCTGCTAATGGCCTTTGTATACACTCTTCCAGAGATTTACCTTTGCCCAGAGATGCCTGGGAAGCTATGATGTTTCCCCGGGGGTGGCCCATGCCCAATGACAGGCTGATTTGAGGACAAGCTGGCCCCTTGCAGCAAGGGTGAGCAAGTCTGTGGTGCCACTCAGGTTCCAGTGCTCCTGATGCTATGAGATAGAGACCAGACCTCAGCCAAGCTCATTTTTTGCTTGGCTTCTTCCCTTTCTCTGTCCTACTTCCTTGATTCCTTACAATTTTCTCCTGAAAGCTCACCCTCAGTAATTCCACTGCATGATAATCACCATTTCTGGCTCTGCCTCAAGGGAACCTGAACTAAGAGTATATTTTACAGAGGGAATGGAGAAAATCTGTTTAATCTGGTGAGATGGTGAAATGGAGGTTGTGAACAGAGCTTCAATGTAGTGATGATGAAACTAAAAAAACACAACAGCTGAACATTCTTGAGGAACGAACAGTTGTGGGAGGACTCAACATTTTGAAATTAAGGAGAAAAGTGGTGCCTTGCCAAAATTAAGGTCTGGAGAGGCTAGTTTTCATGGCAAAAGGATGATACTGTACTTCTGACCAGTGTAATATGGCATTCCAAGAGTTTTCAAGAGTATCAATACCTGTGGGGTAGTTAGAAATGCAAGTCTGTTTTAAGACTAGAAATATATATTCTGTGAGATAATTATATAAAGACAGTTTTTCTCAGGCTTGAGTCATGCACAATTCTTTATTTTGGAAAAAGGCTGGTGTGGGTAGTCTTGTACCAACGAGCAGGATTGTGATTCGGGGGAGTGAAACCAGCAGTGAGGGAAGGTCAACACAGATGTGTTACTGATTGGATCCCAACCATTGGGAACTATGCTTAATCCCGGGGGATTTTCTGGAGAACATTAGTAAATATGTTTCAGAACCACTCAACAAGGGCAAGGAGTGGGAGCATTTATTCATCCTCTCCAGGGCCCCCACGGATATTACCTCCTCTCTTTCTGGGTTGTGTGTGCATGTGTTGTGGGGGTGCTGAGAGGATTCCTGTGGTGCTCTCAATCTCTGCTTCAGAGCTCTTTGGGCAGTGGTGCAGCACCAAGGCAAAATGCCACTGACTGCCCCTGTAGCTGCCGGTTAAAACCTTCACAGAACTGACTGCTACAATGTGGCTGGAGTAAGAGGTGGACTAAGTAGGTTGAAGTCCTGCACAACAGGTGTCCTGTATGGACCCTACCTGTAGTTATATCCATGGGGTAGTGAAAAGACTGGATATGGAGTAAGGTCTGACTCTTTGCCACATAGACATTAACCTCTGTGACCTTGGGCAAGTCAGTCCTAACTTACTAGCGTGGAAATCGAAGCTAAGAGTGTTCAGGAACTGAACTCCGAGCATACATCTTTCAGGGTTATGATGACTTCATCAGACCCCTCCTTTTTGTCTCCAGACCCCAACTAAGTCCTTCTTAATTTAAAATGCACTATTTAATTATCTTTGGGGACTATGATCAATTTACAGAGGAGGTATCACTTTCTCTTCTGAGTTCCATCATTCCTAGCATTAACTCTAGTACACACCGTGATGTCGCATAATTGTATATACCTTTACTTCTGCTGTGTGGAGTTCAGATTGATTTTTTTTTATCTTTGTGCACACAAACACTAGCAAGCTGGCAATCTGTTGTACTAAGATTTGTGCCTATGAATACTTGATACAGAGAAAGAGGTCAAAGGAGAAAGAGATGGAGGAGATTGGGGGAACAACTGTAGCACTGCATTCCATATTCTTGTGAGCACTTAATCTTGTCAGCAGGAGCAAAGCAAATCCATGGCCCTATACTGTCTCTTAAAAAAAAAAAAAAAATTCCTACTCCTACATCCTTAGGCTGGCCTTTTTTCCATTTTGTGGATTCCTTCCCCTTTTGAATCTTTTCTTGAAGTTATTGAAATTCATTGCTTCCCAATTTTTAAATAGGATAAGAATATTGTTGGGCAGTGAGGAAGATTGGCAGGGATGGGGAGGGGTTTTCCTGACCCCAGATACCTTGAGGCTGGGCCTGGCCACACCATGGCTCCTCTCTCCATGTCACCTGCAACCTCCCCGGTCAAAAGGAAAGCTGAGAAGACGGGAAGGTGAGGAGAGGGCGGTAGGCTGTGAACGAATATTTGTGTACCTATTATAGAGCCAGACATTTTACTTCATCGATTGATGTGTGGATGAAATACATTATTTTTATCCACTGCCACCTTGAACCTCCATTTCACAAGGAAGGAAACAGTTTAAAGATTATCATATTATAAGTCATCTCACTTGTAAATTTTGGAGCTATAAGTCACAGCCAAGCCTGACTCCAGAGCCCATGCTCTCACTGCTTCCTGCTGAAACACCCACTGGGTTGACCCCAAGGCTCAGGTGTCACCACTGTCAAAGAAGCCTGCCACTCTGAATTGGGATTTTTTCCCCTACTTATCTGAATAGAAAGTTTGCTGTCCTACTAAGCAAGATATCAAGCTCCGGGCCAAAATTTATTTTCAGCTCTTCAGTAGAACAAACACCCTTATTTTCCCAGATGGGTGGGAAATGGTGCTTTTGTACCCACGTTAAGCATTTTATCAGAGGCTCTCACCCTGTGGAATTAAATTCAAGGGGGCTCAGCAAGTGTGTGCCAGGGGTGCATCCTCTTGCCTCTCTGCCCTTAGAAGAGCCTTAAGTTCAGAGCTGAGCCCTGGATATTCCATAAAAGTGCTGTGCATGCTGATTGAGACTTGCAGCTTTGGAGACAAGAACTTCAGCTATCAGAGAACCCTCAGATATGACCAAGATGGATCCTGTTCCATAGAATGGGAATTACAGTCTCTTATAGCTTAAACGTGTGTCCAGGATCCATGTCAGTATACTTTCTCAGAGCAACTACCCTATCATTGCATGTGATATATGTCTTAAAGGCGTCATTAAGCCAATTAGGATATGTTGCCTTCTGTATATTTTGTGCTAAATCCTCTTTATTAGAAAATAATCAGAATTTGAAGCTTGATTGATGTTTGGCCCAGTTTTAAGTATTATTTACCAAACTAGAGATAGCTACTCTAATCCATTTAGAATGTTAAGAGCAGACCTATATAAGCCTCATGGGAGAATAGAGTCGTGATGCTTGTTCAAAATTTTTGGAAAGCACCCCAGCTGGCAGCTGGCTTCTCTTGGTATTTTAAAAGGGCATATAATAAGCATAAATAGAAGTATATGTGGTAGTTTTCTTATGGTTGTTTGTTTGTTTTTAAACTAGAATGCTATACCTTGCGTTTTCTTTTATCTTGATTTTTCAAACATCTACCTGGCCCTTAAAGCTACCTCCTTCACAAGCCTGGTCTATTTGTGTGGTTTATATGTGCTGGATGTTTATTTGGGTAATCTAAGGTAGCAGAAGAGGAATATATTTAGTCATCTAACCTTTACAATAAGGAACATTTGAAATGTCAGCATTTTATTTCAGGAACAGGTGAGCTATTGCATTATAAGGCTTTTATTTATTTATTTACACCCTACATGTTTCTGAAATTTGAAACAGCTTAGAACAGCTTATGACAAACAGTAAAAAAAAAAAAAATGAAAAAAAAAGATGAAAGAGGAAAGAGTAAATATTCCAGCCGGAAAAGTCAACACAGTTGCTGTGATAAAGTATAATCCTGTGTCTAAGATTCTTGGAAACAGGGCAAAGTGAGAAACAAATTATAAAATCTTTAATATTCAGAAAGAAGGGAAGAAGTTCCTCTGGTTAAAAACAAGTACTAAGGTGGCCAGATACTGGGTCAGGTGCCAGAGGCAAAACTACATAGACATGAATGCTATTCTCATGAAGCTCACAGTATAGTAGGCATGATAAATATTAAATCTATCGATATATAACTAATTATGCTTAGCTTTTGTATCATTTATGGAAAAGTAAGAGTTCCTAAATTTGCTTAAATGTCTCTGGCTTAGAATCCTTCCTTGACTCCCCAGTCTAAGACCTGAAAGATTAAAAGGCATCACCCAGGTTCAGAGACCAAGAGAAGTGATGGGGTAGGCTGGAGAACCTGCAGACAACTGGTGTACCTTGGAAGAGAAGGGCCCAGAGGATGCTGGAAAGGGAGACAGTTACAGCTAGGTCAACCACATCCCAATGCACTGATTAAGCTTTACTTTATCAAAGAAAAAATGTGGATTTAGGTAAACAGCTTTTATTTCTCCAGAAATATTGGCTTTTATTTTGAAATTACTATGCTTACTAAATCGCACGCTTTAGGCCCTATTTTTTTTTCCAAATAAAATTTGGCAACCCTATGTCAGTTCACGAAAACCATTTTCTTTAGGAATTTAACTGGTCCATGAAATCCAAAAAGCTGTGAACATTGGTCCACTAAGACCCTCAATAAATATGGCTGGAGAGATAGGAGGATAGAAAAAGTTTAGAGGTGAAGCATGACTTAGTGACAGGATTTCTTCATGGGACTAAGTTAATGTCTTCTAAGCACAAAAATCATGGCTGTTGTGGACAGTTATCCAGATTGAACAGTGTACTAGGCTCATGGGGTAAATAGAAATTGCAATCCAGTCCTGGTTCCTCTCACCAAAGCATGTACCATGGTAGGAGGCAGGGTCTACCTGGAAGAAGGGGAACCTTTTGTCTTTATAGAAAGACACTGTGGCCAGTGACAGCACATATTCTTCCTGTGATCCAGCTTAATCCAAGGGTAGAGTTTAACGAATCTGTAGAAGTGGATATACGGTGTGCAACTAGGATCTCTGTGACATTTCTAACCAGGATTTTTTTAAAGTATAGACACATTCTTCACTATCCTCTAGTAGGGTGGTCTAAAGTCCCAGCTGTTGCTGATTAAAGATGGCTATGTAGGCTTTAGAAATTAAGCAGGCAAGTGGAGGACTGAGCAGCAGTGAGGGAAGAAGGGAACATCTGGATGTCCCAGCCCTTGAGGTTGGTACTTTATTATTTTACATAGGCAGGATGTAAGTTTACTAATAGAATCCTGATTAATCAAATCTGTAAGAGGGTGAGGTAGCCTAGGATAGTAGGGAGATTACTTCTTTTTTTTTTTTTTTTGAGATGGAGTCTCACTCTGTTGCCCAGGCTGGAGTGCAGTGGCACGTTCTTGGCTCACTGCAACCTCTGCCTCCTAGGTTCAAGCGATTCTCCTGCCTCAGCCTCCCAAGTAGCTGGGATCACAGGCACGCACCACCACAGCTGGCTAATTTTTGTATTTTTAGTAGAGACAAGGTTTCACCATGTTGGTCAGGCTGGCCTTGAACTCCTGACCTTGTGATCCGCCCGCCTCAGCCTCCCAAAGTGCTGGAATTACAGGCGTGAGCCATCGCACCCAGCCTGGGAGATTACTTATTAAAGAAAATATTGTCGGGCATGGTGGCTCACACCTATAATCCCAGCACCTTGGGAGGCTGAGGCAGGCAGATCACCTGAGGTCGGGAATTCGAGACCAGCCTCACCAACATGGAGAAACCCTGTCTGTACTAAAAATAAAAAATTAGTCAGGCGTGGTGGCACATGCCTGTAATCCCAGCTACTCAGGAGGCTGAGGCAGGAGAATCACTTGAACCAAGGAGGCTGAGGTTGCAGTGAGCTGAGATCATGCCACTGCACTCCAGCCTGGGTGACAGAGTGAGACTCCATCTCAAAAAAAAAAAAAAAAATTCAATATTAGCTTTGACTGTAGCCAATTTTGAATTTGGTCCTTATGGAGCAATATTTTTCTTCAGACCTCACTATAAAGCAGAATAGAATGGTTCTAGACAATAACTTTTCATGGAGGGTATAGCCAGTCATCATCAATGGCCATGGATAAAATCCTAACTAAAAATTCCACTTTGACAAACATGGTCTCCTAAATATGTCTACCAGGATGCATTAGCTGCAAAGTGCATCCATCCATGGGTTACAGGGTAAACTGACCTTCTCTATGGAGTTCTCTTATAATTCACCAGTTATATTGGAAACTATGCTGAAAACAATGCCTGCACTTAGCTAATGCTCAGTCTAATTCCTGGAAATAAAAAATCACCCAAATTATTTTCCTTTTCCCCCAACATCTTTTTCTTCGTATTATACTAATTCATGTTCATTGAGGAAAAATTAGAAAATGGAGAAGAAAAAAAAATCACAACTCTATCATGTAAAGAAACAATACTAACATTTTACTCATGCTGTCAAATATTTTCCTACCCACATATATTTTGCCTGTGTCTGTCTTTAAGCTATAAGTTGTGTTGATCCTGCTTCTTACAACCTACTTTAGATCAGCTTTACTTCCATCCTACACCATATGGAAGTGCATTCTCCAAGATTCCTGGAATTCCCCAGAGATTCATATTTATCTTTGTCTCTTTGTCAACATTGGTTATGACATCTCATTTCTTTCATTTTGTAGCTATTTCCTTTTCTCCACTTCGCAAATAGCTCCATTCTCCCCAAACACATACAATATCACTCACAAGGTAGCTCTAAGTTCTTTGGCCACTGACTACCTTGTTCCTATGCTCTTTCTCTGTTCCTTCTCTCTTCTCTCCTTCCCACATCCGAAATTCCTGTTTATTTCTTATTTATGGTACCTTAGGAACATGCCTTGATGAGATAGTTCAGAATATGAGGGCCTGGGTGGGAAAGAGGCAAAGACCCTAAAAGAAACCATAGTGATAGCTAGTAAAATACTTTTTTTTTTTTCTCACACCACATCATGTACTTGACTTAAAGAAGGAAAATAGAGTCATATGACTTTGGCATACAACTTCTCCATTGGTCAGGCTGAAGCTTTCTTGGAACCCCACTCTAATCTGAGACTCTTCCCACTTGATCTTCCTTCCTTCCTCGACTCTTTTCAAGTGTTAGAACTTTATTATGATCTTAAGCTTCTTCTTGCCTTCTTCAGCTCCTTCTCCTTGTCCTTCTTGAATATTCTACCAATAAATCTTCTGCAATAATTCTGTCTTGGCATCTGCTTCTCTGAAGAACCCAAAATAATACACACACACACATTTACCAAGTGACCATAAAGAGTCACAAAACCTGTTCTTGCAAAACTTGGTGATGTGCCAAGCTCGTTTCTTTTAGGTACTTGAAGTTCCTTTCATGACAAGTTTACTAGAGGCAGACACTAAAATATTCTAGTGCTAACTGCTCTTGCGGTTTCTATCATACTCCTATTAATGCAAGAGCAGATGTGCTTGTACATTTTTCCAACAATAAAATATTTTGAGTATCTCTTTTGCTAGTTAGCAAACCCGATACTGATGGAGTTAGTTCTCATTGAAGCACTTGCAGTAGCTGCTTCTAAAGCACAGATTTGTGGAGTGCTTGCTCTGAATAGGATTCTTCAGATATCAACTAACCATCCCTGTGGAGCAGATTCGCCCCGTGCATGCATGTACATATCACATAGCCTATGCATATTTGAAATAAATTTCAGTATAATGTCGACTTTACCCATGACAGTAAACAACAGCATGTCATGACTGCATAATGGTCAATTGCATGAATATCCCACTTATTTTAATAAATTCTGCAAGATAGGTTATTTTGGGCTCCTAAGTTTTCACTGTTTCTGATTTAGCAAATCTGTATACTTTGCAGTGTCCAACTTTTCATAGACTATTTCCTAGAAGAATTATTGGCTTAAAAAGCATGGCCAATTTTAAGGTTTTTGATATTTGTTGCCAAGAAGTCAGCCAGGAAGTTTGTTCCAATTTACACTTGAACCATTTCTATATGAGTAGGCTTATTTCTTTTCCTTTTATTTTCTGCATGTGAAATTATGTGTAAAATGTACAGTCCAAAGAACAACAGAAAAAAACCTAACCCTTGAATCCTCCACCAAGGTTATGAAATAGAATTTATTAAGTTGGTGCAAAAGCAATTGCGGTTTTTGTCATGACTTTTAATGGCAAAGACCACGATTACTTTTGCACCAACCTAATA
This sequence comes from Homo sapiens, assembly GCF_000001405.40. NCBI lineage: Eukaryota > Metazoa > Chordata > Mammalia > Primates > Hominidae > Homo > Homo sapiens. Next base: position 108,320,476 of record NC_000003.12, read on the forward strand.
GAATCCTCCTGCATTTGCTGATTCTCATCATACTTCTTCATGCCTCCCCTCTTCACAGGTAAATCATCTAGAATTTAGGGTTATGCATTCCCTTGGTTTTCTTCATAGTTTTCATAGTTAAATGATAGAGTGTGTGTGTATATATAACTATTTGTAGTCCTAAATATTATATAGATTTTTTAAATGTGGGCGGCAAATACAAAGCTAGTTGTGTGAGGAGGGTATGGTCACCGCTGTTAGGTAAAGTTGTCTAGGACAAGATGAACTTGCAGTCTTCTGCATCCTGGGACTTTATAAGGGGGCTTTCTGGTATATTCAGAGGGAGAGACCATGAAGCTCACCACAGTCCATACATTTGCAAGGACTGTAATGCAAAGCAGGTACTAACCACGTGATCAGTGGGAGTGGCATGAATTACCCTGGGTTTCTTGCTGCTAAGCTTGTTCCAGCTCGCAGAAGTCAGTGATAACAGAACACTTTGGCAGAATGAATAAATGTCCACAGTTGATTTAGGCAGCAGGACCTGGAAGAAAGAATAAGGAATTTATTAGCAAATTGTCAAGATCACTAGATTCGTATCCGGGCCAGTCTCACCAGAACATTTCTCCAGGTGTTTAAAAAAAAAAAAAAAAAAAAAGACTGTGCCAAAGCAGTGGGGATCATGGTTCTAACAGGCAGAGGCATGTCCATTTAGACTCACTCCTCTCCAGTCTGGTCCAGATTCCAGCTAGCATTTTGGAATGTCTGTTCACCATCCTCCTAGGAATCCCTTGACTCCTCTTCTATTTTGAACTAATTTTCTGTATCACGTTGTCGTCTTTATTGGTTTATACTCTTATTTTGGTGGAGCACATTTTCCCATAGCTTCTTGAAAAGAGAGGATGGGTAATACATTTATTTTGTTTTTGAGATAGTGCATGTCTGAAAATGTCATTCTGCCCTCCCGTTTGGGAGTTTGACCATACTTGCAAGTTACAAGTAATTTTTCTTTAGAATTCTGGATGTGGTTGCGTTTTCTTTTTGCTGGCAAGTCATGCTGTTGCAAAGTCTGAAGCCACTATGATTCCTGGCCCTTTCTATTAGCTTTTTTCTCCTGGAAGTTGATGGACTCTTCTTTTTCCCTAGTTTTCTGAAATTTCAAAATGGAGTATCTTTGTGTGAATGCTTTCATCCACCACTTTTATTCAGTAAGCTTTTTTTCAGTAATAGCAATTCATTTATTATTCTGGAAAATTTTCTTAAATACTTTTGTTTTCTACCCTGTTTCCTGTTTTCTCTTTTTCTCTAGATTTTTTAGAGTTGTCACCTGATTTTAAAAATCTTTTTTGCTTATTTTCTGCCTCTGTGTCTATTTACTGTCTAGGAGACAGTCTCTACTTTATTTTCTAACCCTGTTAATGACTTCTGCTCTTATGTTCTCAATTCCAAGATGTCTTTTCTGTTAATTTCTTATGCCATTCTGTTCCTTTTTTATGAATGTAACTTTTTCTTATCTCTCTGAAGATGTTAGTTATAGTTTTATTTCATTTGTTTTTGTTGATTTTCACCCTCGCTTGCTTGCATATTTTTATTTACTCCAGGATGTCTTTTTGTAAGGGAGGTTGGTTTCATTTATTTCTGTCTTCTGTGACAGCTTTCCTCAGGGTATCTGGTAATCCCTCAATGTCTGCTTAACATTAAGAATGAGGGAAGCTTATTGGAGGCTCTAAGAGCTCGGACTGTGGGCCATGCCTCTCAGGCGGAAGTCACTGGAGGGTGATACAGGCTGGGTCTCTGTGTTCAGCATTAGATATCTGTTTGATAAATTAGTCTTAACCTCTACCTTAACTCTAATCTGTGCCTGGACCATCAATTCAGACATTATTATGCTTTGTTTCTCCATGGATTTCTCCAAAGAAAGGGGCAATTGTTCAGTAAAGTGGAGTGCAGGAGAGAATCTAGGGGGTTTAACTTCTTAAATCGTTTAAGAGTCTGACTCCATTTTTATCTTTGACTGCTGAGAGCTTTCATGCCCACCTCCTCTTTCCTCTTCTGCCTCATATTTGAGCAAGTTGGTAAGAAAGCTGGTGCTGCCCCCTGGACACAGCAGAAAGTTCAACCTATGTGGGGGAGTGGATTTTCCCTCATCCAACCGCCTATCTATGATAAAAACCAAGTCTACTTATTCTCATTCTTGCTTTCGAAACGTTCTCAAGCTCATTCCAGACTAGCCTGGGTGTTGTCCCACTATGTTTAGAAAGTTCCATGATGTAATACAATGTGTTCTCACCTCTTGGTGTGTACATGGCGTCATCAGTCAGGACGTCTCACCTATTAATTGGGAGGGGTTCATCCCACCTGCATTGGATGGCTGTAAGAAATAGCTTTCCTATGAGGTTTTCTTATCTTAGTCTTTTTCTTTTTTTTCCATTACCAGTTCCAAAGCAGTTCCTATGTCTTTTGAGTACTATATGGTACAAGTTGGTGGACTTTCACATTTTCCCATTAACTACAGATTCATTTTCTTGGGTTTACTAAGTCAGTTACTACTTGCCCATTTTTCTCTAGTTTCCAAATTTTTGCTGACTTTTTTGTTTGTTTGTTTGTTTGTTTTGACCTCACCTCTTTTTCTGCTTTATCCATTTCTTAAAAAACAAAAACAATCCTTCCCATAGTGGGGGGGTCTGTGGTTGGGGGGCAGTGAGGTGGGGATGGTTAATGGAATAGAAAGAATGAATAAGACCTACTATTTGGTAACACAACAGGGCGGCTATAGTCAATAACTTAATTGTACAATTTTAAGTAACTGAAAGAGTATAATTGGATTGTTTTTAACTCAAAGGATAATTGCTTGAGGGGATGGATACCCCTATTCTCCATGATGTGCTTATTTCACATGCATGCCTGTATCAAAACTTCTCATGTACCCCATAAATATATATACCTACTGTGTACCCATAAAAATTTAAAAAATTTGAAAAGAAAAATCCCTTCCCTAAATTTTTATTGAGTTAAGGAGATAAGAAACAAAATTATAAACATGTATTTAAGCTGCTGTCTTTACCCAGAAATCCTGAGTGGGCTCATCTCTTCACACCTTGTCAACAATGGGTGCTTTTCTCATTTATTTAGTAAATGGATTTCCCTGAAATCCGTACTATGTTCTAATTGCTTTGACAACTGAGATTATTCATATTATTGGATTCTGGTCTAAACTACTTGTTCATATAACTAAAAGCCTAAAGGACAATTTCATGATTTGTGGCAGATTCTCACATTTAGCCATTTGGTTTACCCTAAATTTGCTTCCATTTTTTAGTAGTGCTCTATTGTAATGCAGATGGAAAACATCACAATGTTCTAGAAGGGAACTGAAATGAAAATGAATTATCTATACCTATCTCCACTCCACTTATGTAAGGGAAATTGAAAGATAATCACTTCATGGGTATCCATTTAAAATAAAAGCCACTTTTCTTTTCTTATTGCTTGTGAAAATTCAACCCATCTTTTGAACAAATTTAGCAGTGATTTACAATTTTTGGTTAAAAATGCCAGACTTAAGATTTCAAAATGCACTCCTTTGTTAGAAAACAATGATTTCATCAAATGGTAACCCTACTTTGTCTTAATAGTTAATTCACAGGTTGGTGAATCTATTTATTATTAAATGTAATTCAAAGGTTATTTTCACAGTAAAAGCATACAGATAAAAATTAGCCCCTTCTCATAAATACCAGAGTCCTAGTCTCCCCTCTCAGAGGCAGTGGACTACATTAAATTTATTATTACATACGTTTTGAGAAATTATTTATGTGAATACAAGCATATATATGAATATGTAAGCTTTTTTCATATAACAAGAGCATTTTTGCTGTTCCATGCCTTATTTTATTAACTGTACATTTCTGAAGATTTGACTGTATCAGCACATTTAGATCTTCCTTATACTTTTAATATTTTTGTGAAAATAGAATAAATACAGAGAAGTGCACAAAACATAGCTAAATGAATCAACACAAAACAAAAGCCCACAAGATAACCACCTGGTTTGCCAGGCAATCAAGCACTCCTAGGCTTTCACAAGGCTCCTTCATGTCCCCTCCAAGTCACTACCTTCTCTGTCTCTGTCAAAGGAAAATACTTTCTAGCTTCTAGCTTCTATGGTAATCCTGTCCTTGCTTTTCTTTAGTGTTATACCTAGGTGTACATCCTTAAACAGTACAGTTAAGTTTTGCCTGTTTTCAGAATGTCAGGTAATTCAAATCATACAGTAGGAGTTATTTTGTGTCTGACTTACTCCGTGCTTTCTATTCATCTCATCTATTCTAGGGCTTTTATATGCTCTAAATTTTTCCTTCTTTCTGGGCCTTGCTGCAAATTTGTAATTCTGTTTCTCCCCCTACCTCTTTAGAAGTTATGCATTCTATAGTTCTTTTACTTGTGAACCACCAAATTATGATATACTTCATTGGTTCTTAAAACCTTACATTAATTGGTATTTTATACTTTTCATGGGCAATGAAAAGATTCTATATTCCTTTCAGACATCTCACTTTTTTTTAGCCCCTTCTAAAGTCTTAAGCCATTATTAGGTACTTTAATTCTGTCTTTAATCTGTATTTAAAATATGAATGTCAGTGTGTTTTATTTATGTTTAAAATTTATATATTTAAAATCTTATTATTGTCATTAGTCTCATTTATTTTTTAGAAAGACATTTATTCAGTGTCATGACCAGACTATTACATTTAGAAATAAACAGCATGGGTGCAAAAAACAAAAAAAAACTATGTTAAAACCCTTTGATGGAATGCTTTAAACGTTCCACAAACAGAAACTAAAATAACCTCTAATGCAATTAGTCACAAATATAGTTCTTCAGTTTTTTGCCCATGCATATGAGTATTGTCTTAAATGTGTCATCTTTGTAGCAGGTAGGCCTTGCCACCACTGTGCTTGGCTGAATTCACAAATCTGTTGTAACCTGTACCTCCCCTGTCACTTCTCTGGCTCTCCTCTCCTGTTAAGCTTTGCTTCCTGGCAGTAATTAAAACCTTCTGCTACTATTGCTACTGGAACCATCATAGCCATCTTGGTTTTGTAGTTTGGCAAAGTATTGGCCTCCCCCACCATAGGAACTAGAGTTTCTGCCTCCAAAGTTCCCTCCCTTCGTAGGCCCAAAATTTGAAGATTGATTATTGTAATTGCCAAAAATCGTTATAGCTTTCTCTACCTTCAAAATTGTTTCTATCTACCAAATCCATTATAGCCGTGCCCGCAGCCACCATATCTACGATCACCACGGCTGCCACCAAAGCCACCACAACCATTGAAGTTTCCTCTACTACCAAAGTTGTCATTCCTACCAAAACTACCTCCACGACCACCACTCACATCTCTAGAACTACTTTGACCTCTTTGGCTGGATGAAGCACTAGCCATCTCTTGCTTCAATAAGGCTTTCCTTATTTCATGATTGTGGCCATTCACAGGATGGTATTTCTGAATGACAGTATTATCCAGGGAGTCATGGTCATCAAAAGTTATGAAAGCAAAGCCCCTCTTCTTGCCACTGCCTCAGTCAGTCATGATTTCAGTCACTTTAATTTTCCATACTGTTCAAAATTATTTCTTAGGTGATGGTCTTCGGTGTCTTTTTTTTAATGCCACTACAATCTTTTTCACATTTAAGTGGTTACCTGGTCTCTGAAGTTCTTCATTTGAGACAGCTCTGTTTGGTTCCACAACTCTTCCATCCACCTTGTATGGTGTATTCGTCCAATTTGATGCCACTGATAAAGACATACTCAAGACTGGGTAATTTATAAAGGAAAAGAGGTTTAATGGACTTACAGTTCCACGTGGCTGGGGAGGTGTCACAATCATGGCAGAAAGTGAAAGGCACATCTTACATGGCAGCAAGCAAAGAACAAATGAGAACCAAGCAAAAGGAGTTTCCCTTTACAAAACCATCAGATCTCCTAAGACTTATTCACTACCATGAGAACTGTATGGGGAAAACTGCCCCCATGAATCAATTATCTCCCACTGAGTCCCTTCCATAACATGTAGGAATTATGGGAGCTACAATTCAAGATAAAATTTGGGTGGGGATACAGCCAAATCATATAAGATGGCTTTGCATTCATGGCTATATCTACCTCCATGGTGACATATGGGACAACCCAAAACCCCTGGAGTGCTTGGTGTTTGAGTCTCTCATTACTACACAGTCCATAAGAGTTCTCACTGCTCAAAATGGCTGTAGAAACCCTCATCAGTTATTTCAAAGATCAACCATGTGATGAAAAGCTTCTGCAGCTGTTCAGGCTTTTTAGGAGACTCTGACTTAGACATGGCTGCTATGGAAAGAGAGACTTTAATGATGCTTCTGCAGCAGCATCCATGGGGAGAAAGCTAGTCTACTTATTTAAATTTGCCCTATATTCATAGCTCTTCATCCCTTCCTGAATTTGAGCTTCCACCTGGTATCATTTTCCTTCTGCCTGAAAAACATGCCTGTAGTATTTCACTTAGTGCAGTTCTACTGGCTTCAAATTATGTTTTCTGTGTCTGAGAATTATTTCACTTTATTCTTGAAATATTTTTGCTACAATTTTGGGTTGGAAGTTATAATTTGGGGGTTGCAATTTTGGGTTGGAAGTCCTTTTCTTTGATCACTTAGAATAAATTTTTCTCTCATCTTTGGCTTCTATTACCTGTGTTTAAAAGTCAGGTATTTGCCTAATTGTTGCTCTTTTGAAGGCAACCTGCCTTTTTTGTTGTGCCTTCTGACTGCTTTAAAAGTTACTTTCTCTTTGGTTTTTAACATTTTTGGTGAGGTACCTGGTTGTTTATCTTGTTTGAGGTTTATAGGGCTTCTTGAATCTGTGAATTAATGTCTTTCAGTTTTGGAAAATTGTCCTTCATTATTTCTTCAAATAATTCCTACACATTCTCCTTTCTTTTTCCTAGGATTTCACTTATGCTTTCTCACTGTGTCCTCTGTTTCTCATCTTTCTTTCTAATGTTCCATCCTTTTGTTTCTCTTTGCTTCATTCTGAATACTTTCTTACAGATCAATATCCAGGGTACTGGTTCTCTTTAACTGTCTAGTCAGCTGTTAAATCAATCTATTGTTGCTAATTTCACTTATTTCCCAGTTCTTGTAGTTTCTGTTTGGTTCTTTATCATGGTTTTCAGCTCTCTGCCAAAATTCTCTATCTTGTCTTGTCTCTTTGAACAAAAAAAGTATGGTTAAATTCTATATCTAAAAACTAACATCTGAAGTGCATGCGAGTTTTATTTTCAGTTATCTGTTTGATTGTTTTCTTGTCTCTGAGTGCCTGGCTATTTTTTACTGTGTGTCATTGTATTTGCAAAAATGTTGTAGAGGCTGGGCATGGTGGCTCATGCTGTAATCCCAGCACTTTGGGAGGCTGAGGTGGGTAGATCACCTGAAGTCAGGAGTTCGAGACCAGCCTGGCCAACGTGGTGAAACCCTGTCCCTACTAAAAATACAAAAATTAGCAGGGTCTGGTGATGGGTGTCTGTAGTCCCAGCTACTTGGGAGGCTGAGGCAGGAGAATCACTTGAACCCGGGAGGCGGAGGCTGCAGTGAGCTGAGATCATGCCACTGCACTCCAGCCTGGGCAACAGAATGAGACTCTGTCTCGAAGAAAAAAAAAAAGTTGTAGAAGTAATTTTCAGTTTGGTATAATATTTTCTTCCAAAGGGAATTTGTTTTTATTTTACTGGTCATCTGGGGCATTGATACTCTGGAATCACCTTAATCTAATTTTATCCACACAGCATGTAGGAGAATACTAACCCTGCACAGATTGTGATGGTGATGTGGAATATACTAAAGCCTAGAACGCACCTCCTCTGGTAAGTAGGGAGATATACAATGAGGTTCCAGTATTATCTGTGCAGCTATTTATTTGAAAATTACTGCATGACCAGGAAACATTTTAATTGCTTTGCAAATATTATTAACATAATTCTTATAACAGTGATTTGGAGGTGAATATTATTATCCCTGTTACTAGATGTGAAACTGAGGCAAAAAGGAGTTAGGTAACTTGGACAACAGTACACAGCTTTAAATAGACCTGGGCTTTGAATCCAAGTAGTAAGAGATGATGCTGTTGAGGTGAATTTAGACTTTGCACACTATATTATTCTGAGAAATGGTAAATTTTGGAATTATGGGGGAGGGCAGTTAGGAGTGGCGTTTTTTACTTTGTCTTATGACTATAAATTTTAAACTGCATTATCTATGTGCTACTTTGATAGTGGTGCTGGGGTGTTCAGGAGAAAATTGCAGTAGTAGTTGTTATATAGGGAAGGGAACATGCCAGGAAAGATCTCAATTTGTGTTCACTCATTGCTGCAGTTCAGAATTGGGAGGAGGCGGAATTGTGGATTAAGTATGGGGTCTCTAAAGACTCTTTTGCACTGAGAGCAGCAAGTATGAAGAAATTACATCTTAGAATCAGAGTTTGTGCTGGATTCATGCGTGGGATTTGTTGATTGTGTTTCTCTCCACAATGACTGCTCAGGCTGCTTCAGCATGAACAGTTGGCTCAGTACCCAGAGAGTGTTTGATTAGCTAAGTTAGGATGCAAAAAGCCACACACTATAGAGGAAATTTACCCTGGAATAAATGTAGATCATTTAGTCAAATTGCTATGTTCTCAGCATGTTAAGACTTCCCTGTAAGAAAGTGCCACAGGAGCTTTCTTAGAAGTACAAGTAAACAGAACTTACTTTCCAGGAAACCTGAAAAGCATGACCTAACATGTGATTCAGGATCAGCCAACATGGCCTTGGAGGAAAAGAGCCCCTAAAAAAAGAAACGTCCTGACTGAGTCGTGAAACTGATCCTATAGGGGGTTTTATGAGTCAAAACTCTTGGTTGCAAATGACAGAAATCAGATTGAAGCCTAATCAGAGGCATCAAAGTAGGGGAGGGGTGGGCAGCACAAATTACTGTCTTTGGCTTGACTGCATTGCATATTGGTATAAATTTGTGCTTGCTGGAGTTGGACAGAGACCCAAAATGTTTTCAGCGGGTCTAAATATACTTCAAAGATTCTGAACTTAAAGGGGAGTGGAGGAATGTATTGGCTCATGATACTGGGAACAGGCATGGCACTAATTCACAACTGACTGGGTCCGGTCCAGAGGCTGAAAAATTACCACTGCTGATCTTGCATCATCAACCACTCTCGATGTCTGCCCCTCTCTTTGTGGGCGTGTTAACTTCTGCTGCACCTGTGCTTCTCCCGTATTGCTATGGAAGAGGGACACAGGCATCTTTCACTCTTCCTAGATTAGTCAGCCCTGGGTCAGGTATTTATGAACAATCTACTACTGCATAACATATTACTCTAAAAATTAGCATCTTAAGACAAACATTTATCATCTCAGTTTCTGAGGGACAGGAATCTGGGAGCAGCTTAGCTGGGTCATTCTGACTCAGGGTCTTTAATGGGGTTGCAGTTAAGATATTGCCCAGGGTGTCCATCATCTGAAGGAGCTGGAGAAAATGCTTCCAAACTCATTCATGTGGCTGCTGGTGGGAGGATTCAGTGCCTTGCCATATGGGCTCTCTGTGGGGCCATTCACACAGCACAGCAGCTGATCTCTTCAAGAGTGAGTGATCAGAGAGTGAAAGAAACCAAAATGGAAGCCACAGTGTCTTTTATAACCTCATATCAGAAGTGACATATCATAATTTCTGCTGTATTCTATTGGTTATACAGACCAGCCCTGGTACAGTGTGGGAAAGGACTATACAAGAGTCTGGATACCAGGAAGTGATAATCAGAGGCTGTGGTAGGACCACTGCAGGCAGAACTCTAAGGTGGCCCCCAAGATTCTTGCCCCCAATGTACACACTATGTAATTCTCTCCCTTTTAATGTGGGCTGCACCTGTGAATATGATTGGATAGTCACTGCTTTAATACGGTTACCTTTCATAACAAAGGTAAAGGAATTTTGCAGATACAATTAGCAATAGCAATAGATTTTTGAGTTAACCACAAAAGAGATTATTTGGGTGGCCCTGACCAAGTCCAGTGAGTCCTTTAGCAGAGACTCAAAGACTTAAAGCAGTGGCCCCTGATGGCCTTGAAGAAAGAAACTGGGATGATGTGAAATGGTGGGTGTCTCTAGGGTCTGAGGGCCTCAGTGCTACCGCTGCAAGGAACTGAATTCTGCCAACAACAAGTGAGCTTGGAAGGGGATCCCAAGCCTCAGATGAGACTGGAACCCTGGCTGACAGCTGGACGGCAGCCTGGTAAAAACCCTGAGTGGAGGACCAAGCTGAGCTGTGCCAAGATGCCTAACCCACAGAGATAGTAAGATAATAAATGTATGCCATTTACCTGCTAAACTTAGGGCATTTCGTTATTCAGCATATAAACATATATAATGCCTGCTTGTGAAAGATAAGGGTTAGGTGAAGGTCTTCTCTGTCCATATTTCCTCAAATTGTGAATTGTGGTGAGGTCCCCAAGGAAAGAAAGTGCTGTTAGAGGGACAAGGGGAATGCAAAGGCTGCTAGGCAAACAGTCTACAGCTGCCGCAGTTTATTAGGGTGTTTCAAACCTGGGCATCCCACCCGGTTCGAGAATATGTCATCAAGCAAACAGTGCTCTCCATTGCCGTCTAGAACATTGTTCTCAAAATGTGGTCTGTGTACAACCAGTGATGGAACTCTCTGGAGTGTTTGTTAAAATGCAGGCTCCTAGGTCTCACTCCAGATATATTGACTCAATCTCTATGGGGATTTGTATTTTTATTTATCATTTCATAGTTTTTATATTTTGAAGATTTTTCAAAATCAAAAAAAGTTGAAGGAAACAGAAGTGTGAGCATTTGTTTGCCTCTCACTGAGGTTCATCCATTGTTAATATTTTATCCCATTTTCTCCTCATATACATATTTATGTGTATAATTTTATTGCAGAACCATTTGAAAGTAAGTCACAGTAATCATGACATTTCACCCCTAAACACTTTAGTACACATAGCCTACAAATAAAAACTACCTCATATAATCACATGCCCTTCTCACACTGTAGAAATGAAACATTGATGTATTAGATAAAATACAGTGAAATTTTTCCAATAGGCCTCAAAATGCCCTTTGGAGTATTGCTTCTCAAAATTTGATCCTTGGACTTGTAGTATAGCACCAGCATATTTTAATAAGAACCCAGTGAATGACAAGCACACCCATTTGCCCTGTAGCAAGTTTTTGATTGAAGATCTAATCAAAGATTGTATTACATCTGGCTATCAAAGTTTTCTTTACTCTTTACCATCTCTGAGCTAGAATAGTCCATTTTTTCCCTATTCTTCCTTCCTCTGCTGCCTGCCTCCCCCTCCCCATTCTACCTTGATGAAAACAATCATGAAATTTTAAAACACTCTCATGCTTTTGAAACTAACCACATAAAGTTGTATAAGTGCTTAATGACTGGTACAAGCAAGATGGAGAGGAATCTTGTGGCAAGCGAGATCACTAAAAGTTGACAGATTTCATGAAAGACGTGGCATTTCTGTAGATCTTAAAATTGTAGACCACGTTAGTTTCTTTTGACTAACTAGTCTAGGAAACAAAGGACATTCACTTTAAAAGGTAAGCTGGAGCCAACTGAGGAATTTGGTTCAAAAGCAATCAAAATTTTAATTTTTAAAAATAATTTCCAGACTCAGAAAAATGTTAAAAATAATTTCCAGACTCAGAAAAATGGAGGCTACTTAACTGGGCACAGTTACCTCCAGGCGGTGGGACTAGTGAGTTCCAATATTTTAGTGTATTTTATGTAATTCCTTTGCAAAAAGGCATTATTGTAAAATTCTGACTTGCATTATAAATTTCATATGAAAATTTTCCATAACAGTAAAAATCCAGCATTAAAAATCATTTCATAAATAATGTACATTTGCATATCATAGTTTTCTTTCTTCCCTGTCATTGGACATTTAAGTTGCTTCCAAATCTTCACTGCAATAAGAAGCCTGTTCATACAATTATTACTTCTCTGATTATTATAACAGAGTCCTAACAGTAGAGTTGCTGAGACAAAGCTTACAATAGACTCAAACTGGAGTGTGTGCCCAACTCATGCAAATTCATTTGCAGGCTCTGATAGTGCCATCATTCTCAGTCTTAACCCTGACCGTTCTGAGCCAGTAATAGAATATCTAGATTCAAGTTGGGTGAAAAGAAACCTGGAAAGCTGACATACAAACAGGGAACTCTCAGGTGAGGATCTGGTGCAAAGATATCAGGCTTCTAAGCTGGGTTTTGATGTTGCTTCTCCTGTTCCTCTCCTTCCTGAAGCTGGTTTATGTAGCCCTTCCTTAGGTTGTGTGAGCAACCTTAGAATCCTTCCCTCAAAACTCCATGGTTTGCTTGTTATTCTGGGTTCCTTTCTGTTGCCAACAAAAAAAGAAACCCCCAAATAATATTGATGGTGGATTGTATATGATAGACACCTATAGAAAGGTAATATTTGGAATTAGCCATTGGACTTCATTGGAGTAAAAGGCAGTAAGGCTCCTTTCTGCATTCTGGTGCAGAAATTTAAGAGCTCATGGTAAGTGATGGCCAAACAGCTAGTACATCTATCACCCTCAGGCAACTGGGCATCTCTTTGGAAGTGAAACTTCAGGTGTCTGGATAGCTGATACCAAAACGAAGAGAATGGAGGCTGATGAAGCATCCCGACTTCATAAATTATGTGGCTAATTCTGGTCCAGAGTCACATAGTCATTAAGTAGAGGTGACGTGATTCAAACCCACACAATCTCATGTCATAACCTTAATTCTCAACCACTTCTTTTTATTCCCTTGCAAAAAGCAGCAAAGTCTCTTTTATATGAAAAGAAGTGAATGCCAATGGCTCTTACCCATAGAGTTGTCAGATTTAGCAATTAAAAATACAAGATTCCCAGTTAAATTTGAATTTCAGTATAAGTATGTCTGAGGGCTAGGATATTCTTGTACTAAAAAATTATTAGTTTATCTGAATTCAAATTCAACTGGACATCCTGGATTTTATCTTGCAACCCTATGTGGTCCAACCCTATATGTCTTTTCAGTGTTGCTCTCTCAGTAACCAAAAAAAAAAAAAAAAAAAAAAAATTAATTTAAATTCAGCACATACATGCCTCAGAGGATAGAGAGGAAAAAAACTTTTTAAGAGGAAATTTTAGAAATTCAGATCTCGCTGAAATCATTGCTATAGTACTCACCAGTTAGTCTGTATTCAATGAGCTAGCCTAGGCAGCCAGCTTTAATTTCAAGTTTGATGGCCTGATGAGTGCAAACCATTGCTGAATGCTGTCCTACGCTAGATGACATTGAATTCCTTCCCCTTCATTATGCTGGGGTCTTTTTGGCTCAAAAGATTGTAAGAGCTAGTATTGATTTGGACACATGTATCTGTGTGTCTCTGACCCACCTATCTCTCATTCTGTTCTGCTTCAGGACCCAGAAGAATCTTTTCTTCCCATGGGAAGTAAATTGCGAAGGCAGGCCACAGAATCCTTTAAAATGCACATTACTGTTCTTCATAGGCCAAGACTGTGAAGTGGGAGGGTGCAATGAAAATGGGGTTTCTAAATGAGCAGAGTTAGGAGGAGTCATGCTGAAAACAGGCAACTGGAGACTCCAAGTGGGTGTAGTCACAGATCCAAAGGCAATGCAATAATCAGGGCTCAGGAAATGGTCAGAGAAGCAGAAGTCTCTGGCTTAGATTAAACATGGAATCTTTGGGAACCAAATTGATGAGCCAGCTTTTAAGGTCTGTGTTTCAGTTTTACTTTTTGATACAAAACAAAACCCAAAACTTTCATTGCCCAAGTGTCATCAGTGCTGTATCAATGCTGAGAAACTAGATGGGAATAAGGTACGAGTATCTGCATGTATATCGTTCAGTCCTTTGAAAATAGCCTAGGATGTGGTGTTGCTTCTGATCAACTATTTTAAATGTATGAGGTAAACAAATTACTGCCACTTGGCTCTCCTATTGTAATAGACTTTTTGAAAAAGGATGGGGAGCTAATTTGTGGATTCAGAAAGTTGCCAAGGATAGACATCCATCCCTATTATATACTCAGAGACAAATGTTTTAATTATATCCCACAAGGCCTATTATGAGTCACTTTAACTGACGCACAGGTATAATCTATCCAGGAAAATAGTATCCACCAAGTATTTGCAACAGAGGGGATTTAATTCAGGGAACTGGCAAATGAAATCAAAGATGGTGAGGAGTGCAGGTAACAGCAGAACGTCACTTTCATGCTGGAAGGATGCTATGGGATCCCAGGGGTGAGGTCACCTTATGGAAGCTGGAATGGCAGATCTGCCCATCAGGAGCTTGAGTCATGGAAAAGATGGAGCTGGTGCCAGAAAAGCTGTCCAGCATATCATGACTTAATCAGGTGGTGATTCTCACTGCAACTGCTGTTCCATATGTTGTCCCCTCATTGGAGCAAATTAATGCAGTGACTAAGGCAGATCTGAATACTGAATGATTCCTGTGGCAAATCCTAATAGAATTGCAATAAAAGTTTCTAGATCTTGGAGAAAGGCTTTGCTCCCTTTAGCAAGTAATTAATTATTCTTTTCAGAAAATGTATCTGAGTGAGTCAGTATACAGTGCATGAAGATGTTTGAGTTTTAGATTCTATGATCAGGGATCCAGGATCCACAAGAAAGACAGGGACAAAGTTGAATGTGCCTGGCCACATTCCATCAAACCCCTAAAGAATAAATGAGTTGCATGAGCAGATTGTTTACATGCCCACTGAGCCCACCATACTGCTGTTTCATCCACAACCTGTGCTTGTGGCCTCATGGGGAGTCCCTTTAACAAGCTATTGAGTACAAAGGATGACTTTTCAGGATAACAACTACCACTGACTATAAGTAGATTTTGCAGCTTTAGAGTCTCTGACAGGGCTAACCCTAAAAGACGATGGAGAAGGGAAAGCCTCCCATTAGGTAGAATGTTGGGTAATACATGTCATTGTAACTTTACCTGAATGAAGATGAGGCCTAAAGTCAGGCTCTGTAACAAGTTCTTGGGCATGTTGGTCAAGAACATAGAAGAAGATTGACTATACAATTAAGAAAAAGGATGCAATCATGGAACATTCAATGGATCCAGAACATGAGACAGTTAAGGAGTGTGTTGAGCAAGCATGAAAAGGAGGCTGAACTGACCTGACGGTATGAATGCGTATTCATGTGATTGACAGCTGCTGCTTCGGACTTTCTGATGAGCATCCAGATAGAACATGACTGAGGCAGCCACAAAAGTAGTGATAGGGGCTTTGTACAGACTCCACCACACAGTATTTCCCTCATCAAAGCAGACCATGCTAATACAGTAGCTGAGTGATCCATTTGTCAACCTTAGAGACCAGCCCACATCTCTGATATGGCATCATACCTAGTAAACACAGTGAACTCCTTGTTGTATTATATCTAGTTGCTCTCATTATGGAAGGGAACAGCATTCTCTTTTCCTACTTCCTCCCTGTTGTGCCCCTGCCAGTACTACCAATTATGAACTTTCCAAATGCTTCATACACTATCTTGTTATCCCACCCAAATTGGCTATGAGGGGAGTTATTTGATCAAAAAGAAAGAATAAAGGCAATGGACTAATTAAAATGTAATTCACTGTTTTATGTTCCCTATTTATGAAGTAGTTAGCCTTATGACATTGTGCAATGGTCACTAAAGACAGCACCGCAATCTCACAGGGGATCTTCTTCCATCTGATGATGTAGCTACTTTGTAGACCACTGGTTAGGCACTGAACTAGTGTTTGAAATAAGAAATACTTTCCCCACAATTAAAAGACATGGATCTAGGAACCAAGGAGTGAGGAGGGACTGATGTGTCTAACAATGATAACTAATTAACCTATTCCCAAAATTTTTACTTGCTGTCCTTCTTAGGGTGACCCATCTCTTGTTAGTACTTAAGGAATGCTTTCATCATGTAATATATACTGTGATTCTTCTAAATTGGAAGCTAAAACTGGTAATTTGGGCTCTTCCTGCTAGGGGACAACAAATGGCAGAAAGTGGGATACTGTGTTGGCTGAGGTGACTGACCTTGCCTAGTAAGGGGAGATGCAATACTGCTGTACAACTAGATCTAAGAGGAATGTGAAAGGAACTCTGTGGATCCTTACTTTTCCTCATGTGCTCAGTGGGAAAGATTAATCAAAGATGATTGCCCTTCTATGCACAAGACCACTAGGAACTGGAACAGCTCAAGAACCAAGGTTCAGGTTATTCCATTAAAAAAAAAAATGAGGGGCCGGCCAAAGGTAAGGAGATTACATTATGGGTAATATCAAAGAGAATACCTAATACCAGTTCTGGGTTCTGGCTTGGGGATAAATGGCAGAAAGATCTGTTTCCTTGCTTGATGTGTCATGACTTAGCGCAAAATATTTTCTCTCCATATTTTACACACAGTGTGCTGGTGGTGGTAAATTATGCCTTTTGGACCAGAGGTTGAAGCGGATTTGAGGGGAAATGGCATTTCCAAGAGTAGTACTATTCAAAGTGGGGGGTCTGCAGACTGATGCTGGTGTGTGAACTGTTTATTACTGGTTCATGATGAGAGAAATGCAGAACTAGAGTATTTAAAATTATGCTGTCAAGGTAGCATTAACATTTCTATGCCTATTGTATATACTAATAAAAACTGAGGCTTGCATTTGATGTTAATTTCATTTTTCTAGCAATTCATTTTTATTACATTTTCCCAATGAATTTGTCCATGACAGATTAGAAACAAAAGTTTACTGCCGCTTTGCTACTTATAGTTTGAGAAACACTGATCTTAATGAGCAGTGGCCTTGTGAAATATATTGTAACTCCCAGATGCAGCAGCTGTGGGTAACTTTGGTCGCTTGCCACTGTGAAGATGAGTGAGCTTGCCATGGTTCATAGAGTATTTAGGTGGGTTAGGTGGAGGTATCTTTGTCTATGTGGAATCTATGTGTTTGTACCGTCAAAGTTGAATGAATAGAAATATACCAATGAGTTAACTGAGCAGCTTATATCTTGATGTCCTCCCTTAATCACTGGATGTCCTAGTCATGGCCAACTTTCCCAAGAGTGGAAATACATAACGAAAGCTCACCCTCCCCAGAAACTTTATAAGGTGGAACAGAGACCTATCCAGGTGGAATTTGATTGGAACTGAGTCACTGTATGACAGAACCCAGGAAGTGTCCAGGGTTCCTGTGTTGACTTTCTTGGAATTGTCTGGGCCTTTGCTCTTTTTGGTGCTTGGTCATTCTTCCTTGAGTTCTGGAGTTACCAGTGTCCTTCTAATTTCCTTCTTGCTTATGTCCTAAACCTATTTGTTGCTTGTCACTAAACTCACCTTAAATGATACAAAAGGTCTTGCAATTTTAAAGGCATTTGAAAAATATCACCAAGTTACTTTCTAGGAACTTAATTATCAGTGTATGGCCTCACCAATAATATAAGCCACTGTCTCCAGGTATTTTTCTCAGAACTGAATATAAAATGTATATAAGTGTATGTACAAACGCACACACACATATGTATATATGTAGCGATACCTGTCTATATATATAGAAATATATATCATAGATATCTAAATTTGATATCTATGTATCATATATCATAGATATATAGATTTGATATCTATATATCAAAGATATATATATATATCTTTGACATTCTGCCAGGTAGGATATTGGGACTTTAAAATATTTCATATATTTGAATATTATTGAAGGTGAAATTGTAGGAGATATGAGGTGTCAGTACACTTTTATGTGCAAGTTATAGAAACACATTTCAAATGAGCTTAAGCAGAGGGATTTTATTAGCATTACATAGAATAGCAGGTTACTGGGGAAGTTTGTAGAATTGAATTAAGAAGCATGGGAACCAAGTTATGAGGACATGCTTGTTGGGGGGCACTCATGTGTGCTCCTATGCACTTGACTGTTTACCATCAAGCACTCACCCTCAGCCTTCCTGTTCGCTTCTCATCATTGATTGATTTCTTTCTGTTGAAGTTCTCTTTGTGTGGCAGGAATTATTGCTGCCAGCAGTTCCAAATATATGTTTTCTCTCCACAAGCCTAGCAGAAAGAGCCCTTGTTTAATTTGCAGTAAGTAGTACTCTGGCCCTTCTTGGATCACATGTCCCCCTCCCACCTTGGACAGGTTGCCATGATTATTCACACCTGGATTAGTTAGCCTATCCTTAGATGGAGTGGTGGAGCAGACCATTGTGATCAACAGTGGTTAATAATCCCTCCAGAATGAGATAAAACAGGGAGGGAGAGTTGTCCTGGAGGCAGGATTTCTGGGCATTCATAAATGTCCCCTACACACTTAGCAAGAGCTCTTTGCCTTTTGGGCAGATGTATTACATATTCAAATCAATGTTTTCAGGAGACTAAGATGGCAATGGTACATAAGTAGCTTGATCATATAATTTATCATTCAAATTGGGACACTTTTGAAAGTAAAAGAGGCTACTGTTAATAATTAATGGAATGCCTGTTTGCCACAGGAAAGCTGAGCAACTGAAAGCAGACAAATGATTTTGGAGTTGTTGCACTAACTTCTGATGTGATACAGGTCTAACAGTAGTTATGACTATAAAACCATACACAGTTTTACAATCACTATCAACCACTTGCTGAGAGGAAATAACTTTTTGGAACCAGGTATAAGACTCACAAAAAGGTCAAGATTCACAAAAAGATTAAATCTACAATGAAATAAACTATCAGCTTCTCCATAGTTTGTTCTCAGGGGAATCACCCTGGGGTGGTGCTGTGACCTGTGAGATTTCACAGTAGAGTGGTTAGTAGAAGGCCTCAAAGTCATAAGCCCAACTTAATTTAGTCTTGACTTTGCTGTTTGTCAATTACAAGCTTGAGCAAATTACTTAACCTCTCTGAACCTCAATGTCTTCATCTATAAAATGGAAATTATAATACTTCATGTGATTGTGCCTAGAATTATGGTGTATTACTATATGCTATATTAGTATATAGCACATATATATATATGTAATGCATATATTAGTATATGTTTAGTAATACTGAAAGGTTAGCATTAATACTACCAAAAGGGTTAATAAAACGCAAGAGAAAAGAGAAAATTATTGATTTTTCTTTTAGCAGGTAAAATCTCCTAGTAAACACTGTTCATTGATTCTTTCTTCCATCTGTTTTTACTTACGTGGTCTGCTCCTCTGATCTGACAATTCCTCCTGTCAAACTTACCACAAGTACAAAAGAACACTCCATTTGTTGGCCAGGGAAGAGTGGCTGGACCTCTCTCATTTGGTTTAAAGATGTCTTTGGTTTGTCAGGTGTGTCACTTTTGCCTTTCAAAAATAGTTTCAGGATTGGTAAGAAAGAAAAATCTGGTTCAAAAGACTTTGAATAGTGAGCATGGAGTGAGGAGTGGCAACAGATGTGGCCCCAAATAAGACTTGGACGGTAAAGGTAGATGGGAATTAGGATCATAACTAGAGAGGACAACAGGGTCAAGGAATGTTACTCAGTGTGTGGGAGCCTGGGGAAAGAGCCCATCTGTGAAGGGCCAGGCGGATTAGAAGGAGGGCTAAGGTTTAGGGAAAGATAGGAAGGGAGAGAATTGAGGCAAGGAGGAATTGCCAGAGATAGGTTAAATAGGGAGAAGTGTAGATGACAGAATTTCTATTTCTCAAAGAAGGTGGTAGCTGATCTTTAGACAGTAAGAGATTGGAAGCCAATGCAAGGAGACTCATTCTCTAGTGACTCATGCTGGGCCTGGATCTCACTGCCTGAGCAGATGGGGGCATGGGTAAAGATGCCCCACTTAAAGAAATCTTCTTATTCTATAAATCGCTCAGCATTGGTTACACATGCTCCCTCTCTCGCCTAAATTTGCCAGTCTTTACTAAACTCAGAAAACTTCGTTGGAGAATTTCTAGTTATAGAAACAAATAGAACCAAACAAAGGTTGACCTACCTGGTATATCTGGGCAGCTTGATTTATATAAACAGACCAACATACCCATCTGTTCAAATGCATCAAACTCAAGTTCTCTGCATTTGAAAGTCTATATACCAAATTAAAGCTTTTATACTCTCCCTTCTTTAGTCTTTAGTGTTGAATTTATAAAGTTAAGGCATTGAAATACAAATAGTTATGTCATAAGATGTCAAATTCATTTTTCCTACAAATATTTAAGTCCCAGCTATACAATCTGAAGTTATTTTATTACCTTATAGCCTCATTTTTAAAGATCTCTTGAAAACAAGGATTTACTCTTTTTTTTTGTTTCTTTGAAAGAAAGAAAGAAACAGGGGTCCTGGAGAGTAAAATAGCCAAACTCTTTTCTTTTTTTTTTTTTTTCCTTCCTTCCTTCCTTCCTTCCTTCCTTCCTTCCTTCCTTTCTTTCTTTCTTTTCTTTCTTTCATGGAGTCTTGCTCCGTTGCCCAGGCTGGAGTGCAGGGGTGTAATCTTGGCTCACTGCAACCTCCGCCTCCCAGGTTCAAGCAATTCTTGTGCCTCAGGCTCCTGAGTAGCTGAGATTACAGGTGCTCACCACCACGCCTGGCTAATTTTTGTATTTTTGGTAGAGAAGGAGTTTCACCATGTTGGCCAGGCTGGTGTCGAACTGCTGACCTCAGGTAATCCGCCCGCCTCGGCCTCCCAAAATGCTGGGATTACAGGGATGAGCCACCACGCCCAGCCTCAAACTCTTTTCTTGTATAAAAGAAAATTCCCACATTTGCAAGATAATGCTTCAGTTAATAGTATTTTCCTTTTAATGTTGACATAAAAATAAATAGGAATTTTTAAGTTAATGTGGTTTTTCTGTCAGAAAACTCCTATAAAAACCATAAGGCACATTAAACTTACTACAAACTTCTAATGGCTCATAACTAACGTTTGTTTTAGCTTCAAGATTAAAAGTGTTTTTGCTACCATTACTAAGCAAATGTGTGTCTCTTACATTTTACATTACTCTGTTAAAATATAACACATCTTCTTTCAACATTTTGTTGTGAAAGGAGACATTTGTTTTTCATTGATTTATTTAAACAAACAAAAAAAAACAGAGCCCAGTTCTTGTGTCAGTAGCTCTTCATCCCTTAGTTTTCTTAATTAATTATCTTCATTATGCGTTACTTTCAAATGTTTGGAGACATTTGAAAATCCAACTCACAGTAGTTTAAATGTATTACTTAATTAACAGGAAGACTAGAGGTAGAGGACTCAGCACAGACAGGAGCAGAGACTCAACAGTGTCATCACAAACCCAGCTTCTTTCCATCCATCTGCTCTGTCATCCTTGTTACTGTGACTTCTTAATCCCCCTACTTGTTTCCTCACAACTGTAAGATAGAAGCTCCAGCTCCAGACATCAAATCAATGCTCTGAAAGTAGAGGGACGGGGTTTGCCATCATGTTCTGCTCTTGCATCCAATTTAGAGGCTCTCACTTCCATCCCAAGCCGGACATGCTCATCTCATTTACCTTTCTGAACAATTTGTCAGTTCTTTTCAATAGAGGCAGTCGCGTCCTGCAACACAGCTTGACAGAGGAGTTGTTAGCAAGGAAGGAGGGAAATGGTACTGGTGTCTGTCACAGTGTCCTTCCAAATTTAATCATATCCTACTAAAGTCTTCTTTTAATGGTATTCTATTACATTTAGCTAGTTGATGCTTATCGGCTGGCTCCTTTTTCTTCTTTCTCTCTTTTTTTTTTTTTTTTTTTTTGAGATGGAGTTTTACTCTCGTCACCCAGGCTGGAGTGCAACGGCGCGCTCTCAGCTTACTGCAACCTCCGACTTCCAGGTTCAAGTGATTCTCCTGCCTCAGCCTCCTGAGTAGCTGGGATTACAGGTGCCTACCACAATGCCTGGCTTATTTTTTGTATTTTTAGTAGAGACAGGGTTTCGCCATGTTGACCAGGCTGGCCTCGAACTCCTGACCTCAGATGATCCACCCACCTCTGCCTCCCAAAGTGCTGGGATTACAGGCATGAGCCACTGCGCCTGGCCTGGCTCCTTTTACTCAACCACTGTAATCCCACTGGTGTGATCTTTCTAAAACACAATCTGACTTCATCATTAGCTTTCTAGTATGGCTTAAAATAATGGTCATGCTGTACCCCTGGGACATCTTTCCAGCATTTTCTCTTCCATGTGGACTGCTGGGTATTATTATAATCGCATAGGATTTATGTTCTCTCTTGCTGCTGCATCTTTGTTCTATTGTCTGTCCAGAATAACCTTCTACTCTTCCTTATAGGCCAGTGTCTCTTTGTACCTCAAACCTAATGCTTTGAGAGGTCTTCCTTAACACCCTGCCCCTTCCAAGCTCAAGCGTCTTTCCTGTTTCCTTCCACAGCACCTGGTGGGAGCCCTTCTTCCTGCCTGCATCTCTGTATTATGATTTGTTTATGTAATTCACCTATCTTTTGGTACCAGATGGAGCTTTCTGAGATTAGGGACTGACTCATCCCTGTACAGTTTGTGACCCGTAGGTGATGCTGAAATCATATATTTTTAATGGCAGCAAGGATGTTAAAACTTTCTGGATGACAGTGTGGGGTACCATACAAAGAATGACCTAGTCCTGTTTCCTAGGAGGTCAAGATAAGTTGGAGGGCATTTTATTTTTTCTTGTTTCTCAGAACTTGAACCTTTCCTGGCTCTAACTTACGTATGGATTATGAGTAGAAGACAAGGCTTCTGAAGCAATGAAGCTTTACAAACCAAAGTTATTTGGAAGAATTGACTCTGAGCACCAAAAACTCACTGGTACAAAGCCAGCATGATAACCACTGTACTTAGGAAATGACTCACTGAACTGCATACATAGAACTAGGCCAGGAGATTTTCTTTTCTTGTGTACCAGCTAGTCAGGTTAGCAACCGCTTTAAATTCTGAGGACTGATAGCCACTAATTCAGATGTACATAGGTGCAAGTACTTGATAGAAAGCAGTCTATTTTAAAGTATCACTTAATAAAAGCTCTAAGCAGTCTATGCAGGTAGGAGTAAGTCTTATAAAGATTGGATTTGCCTATTCTTCACACCAATTCCTTGATTCTGATATTCAGTTACAGGTCACCCGCCCCAGCACCTTGATATGTAGATACAAGTAGGCGTTCTTTACTTTGGGATATGAAAAGATGACAAAGGGATTGAGTGGGAATGATTAACCTCATACTGGGGAATGACGATTGCTGGATATATCACTTACCACACAATAGATGTATTTAAATGTAACAGCTGTAACCAGCATAGGATGGAATTCTGATATCAGGAGTAGGTGATAAACTTAAATTGACATTGGAAAAGAAGTTTCCAGCTTCGTAATTCAGTTAGTCCAGATGTTTTGACCCCACAGACTGTTGATCCTCCTCAATGTTACAGAAACTTGGTCCCAGATTATGTGTGTTGAGAGTTCACTGTATCATTGTAGAGCTTTCATTACTTCAGTGGAAGTCCTTACATCTGACATAATCAGATGTGTCTAGTTAAAAACTAGTTAGTCTAGCTAAGAAAAAGTTATTCAAATTATACACTTTGAATGTTTTAAACCTAAACATAAAAGTCCACTCATTTTCTAGTCTTTTGGGAAAAACAGTCAAAGCCTTGTCCTGAGTATGGTGCCACTGTTTGATTTTTTTTTTCCTGTATCCATAGAACAATTTAATCAATAATGCATTATTCAGTATTTCCAGTTTTTGTTTCTTAAAAATGGCCAGAGACCTTTGCATTCAAATATGTACAAAAAAGTCCAGTTCCTCCTAGGCTCTACAATTGGCTTTGAATCTTTTGCCATTGTCTCTCCCACACCTAATACAATAACTGATTTTTTTTCATCTTTGTTGTGACTTGCTTTTATTTAGCTTTTCCAAAGCATTCATCTTATTCAATTAGTCATTGAAGATAGACCAGGTTTGGTCTTGTCCTCCCATTTAATCAATTAACATAACATTTTGTTAAATTATTTGATGATAACCCACTGAACTGCA
The DNA here is from genome assembly GCF_000001405.40 of Homo sapiens. Taxonomy (NCBI): domain Eukaryota; kingdom Metazoa; phylum Chordata; class Mammalia; order Primates; family Hominidae; genus Homo; species Homo sapiens. The sequence continues at coordinate 108,344,549 of NC_000003.12, forward strand.
GGGGGTAGAAGTGTACAGAAAGAGTGCACTGGCTTTCCAGAAGCACTTGGTGTGCCATGGGCATCTAGCAATATGTTTTACAGAGAAAAAGGTGACTAAGAAGTCCTTGGCCTCACATGTGCACATGTTCAACACTAACTTTATTTAATGGAGTTTTGTTCAATTGCTCACTACCTTGATGTATTCGACAAAATGCCTGCTGTCTGCCGTGTTAACCCTGGCAATTTCTTTTGTCTGTTTTCTTGGCTTTGCAGCATTCTTGCTAAACAACAACAACAACAACAAAACCCCACTCTGTCTAGCTATATTCTTTCTGATATAGAGAGCTATTAAGGAGGATTATATTATCTACCCATTTGACAAGAAGAAACATTTCGTGATTGAAGGCTGAGCTGGAAAATGGTCCCTGGAAGCAGGAGTAGTTCCCTGGACTTTACCCCACCTTGTGTAATGTGGATTCCTATTCAAGTGCTTCATCCTGGGCTCTGCTTCCAGGGAACCAACCCCTCCCAAGATGGGGAATTGAGGGCAAGTAAAGAGAGCAGTGTTCTCATTAACTGTATGAAAGCTGTAAGGAAGATTGAGAAGGAGGATGACACAGAGAAAGATGCTAAGAAAAAAATGTGGCTTCAGGTGAAGGCTCAGCCTGAACCCAAGGGAGCTCTGGGCTACAGGATGTTTCTTGCCTTGAAGCCACCACTGGGGCAGGGAGTTGCAAAGCAACATAACCTGAGAACTGCAGCTTCCATCATCCAAGTACAATCCTCCAAAGAAGGCTGAAGTTATGTGAGCAGGTAGCAGCAGCTAAGCAACACATGTGTGAAAACTAAATTGATAAAAGCAGTAAAAGGGGATCTTTGTAGGTGATTAACTGCAAATTCACAGAATATCAGATAGTAAATGTGTGGTATTGTTAAAATAACTACTTTTATTGGACCCAATTTACGAGCCTCCCTAAATTTTCTGGGTTTCTCTTGTCTCTTGGGCCCTCAACTGGTTAGACAAAAAGAGACCAGCCCCAATTTCCAAATGTCACCAGCTGACCCGTCTCCTCTGGGAAAGCCAACTTCAACATGTCCTCTATTATGCCTTCCTCCTTGGGAAGTGCAGCAGCTGCAGAATCCAGACATGACCCAAGGAAACACACAGACTGCGGTTTCACCTTTCACCTGTTTCCAGACTCAAACACAAAGCATCATACAGTTAAAATGCCACACAGTAAGGCATGGCATTTGGCTTTCGTAGTGCTTTTCCCAAGGGGCCATAGGCACAACCAGGAAGAGCATAGGAGCTAATGCCAATGGGGAAAACTTTAACCACTGGGGGGCAACTTATAGATAAATTCCTTTTTGCTCTCTTCCTCTGATGGATTGTTTTGAGCTGCTGTGGTTCTGTGGAGCATGTCTAGAGATTGTCCCTTGTGACTGAGCAGGTGGCTCTATTTTCCATTCTGAATCTGTGGCTGGCAAAGCAAGCACCACCTAGTATCTGTTTTCCATTCTTCCTTGTTTCACTTCCCCTTTTCCCTCACTCTTCCTGCCCTGCAATTGCACCTCCTCACCTCCCCCAAAACGTTAGCACATAATCTTAGCTTGATTTCCAAAATCAAAAATAAAAACACACCAAAACAGAACCGAAGGCAAAGACAGCACCCCTAGAGATCAAAGTTTCAGTACATGTACAAATCCCCTAAATGGTGGGATTTCACTGTGAAACATCAGGAGAGATATTTTGAGTAAAGAGAGGGTAATCCTGAAATTGTTCTTTTGTTCTTTTTCTGTCTAAACAGTCAATCTTATTAAAATCTAAGTGGATGCTAAGGAACATCCCCAGGATGCTACAAAGAGTTTTCCTTTGTTAAGACGTCTTTTACAAACTAGCTCGGTGTCATGAGCACTGTGGTGAGGCACAGAAAGTAAAAACAATGCAGAGGAGAATGTAGCAACCTAGAAGCTGCTTTTCCTCAAAGGAGTGCAGAACATTCATGAACTGGCATAATGATGAGAGTGATGCAAAACATTCTTATGTTTCAAAAAAGAGAATTGACCTGTTCTTGTGGCTCTGGTCAGATTGAGACCAGCAGTTATGAGGCCAGGACTAGTCTTTTAAAAAATATATTGACAGATAACATTATATGTTTTTATCGTGTACAACATGATATTGTGAAGTACACATACATTGTGAAATGGTTTTGAGCGTTACTAATGTGCAGGCTAGAGAATCTGTCCCAACTGCAAGTGATGTTTGCATCATCATGTCACAATTAGTACTGATGGCTGTGGTCAATTTAGTCTGGAGCTATTAAGATGGGTATGGGGGAGCTGTTCTGTTTTCGCTATTTTATGCTTGTAGAAATGGCCTCAATTTTCTCTTCTGTCTGATTAGTCTTAGCATATGGATTTCTTTTTTGCCATATTCTATTGCAGAGGCTGCCTCTCTCTGCCTTTCTCCCTCACATCTGGAATCCAGCCAAAAGTACCAGAACAAGATGCTTCTCACATTTGGGCCCTTTTGTAAGGGTGCTGATTGCAACTTGGGCAACTTCAGTATAATCTAAGGTGGAAGCTTTCTGCTGCTTTTGGGGAAAAAAATAAGTGTCTAAAAATAAAACCTAGGCATAAAAATAGGGCCAAATACTCATTAACTGCCTCACTTAGCTGAATGCTGAAATTATTTCAACAGCACTAAATCAAGCCTTTGTGTAGAAGAGGTTGGGCATTTTTTTATTCATAATACTTTATCTTAGATGATAAATGGGTTACTGTAATTTCTCACTTTATTCAAAACATGAATTAAATAGTCCTCAGAGACTCAATTTTTGGCTCATGCTCATGCTGACCCTTGAATTGGAGCACTTGTGTTCACAAGTCTCCAGGAATGTATTTTGTGGGCTGCTGTGGGAAAGGATTGGGGGACAGACAGGACCAGGAGTGGTGGATTAAAGGCTTGGGATGCTAGGGTTAAGAATTTGGATCTTACATTAGGTGTGGTGGGAAGCCACTGGAGGGATTTAATTAGGAGAATATTATAGAATGACTTCTTTTTTTAAAAAATATGACTCCTGACTGCTGTATTGACAGTGGATTGGAAGGAGACAACAGTAGGAAAAGGGTAACCAGCCGAATGCGTATTTGTAGATATCCAGGTAAGAAGGGATAGTGGCTTTGGAGCAGGATGGTAATGGTAGAGTTGGAGAGTAGGCAAATAATGGAGTTTATCTAATTCATTAACAACAACAAAAAGATTGGTTAATAGATTAGATATGGGGCATAAGAGAATGGAAGAGTCAAGATTGATTTCTAAGTTTCTGACCCAAACAACTGGAAGAATTTGGTACTAGGTGAGATGAAGACTGGAGAAAGAACAGGATAGTTTCTGCTGTTTTGTTGTGTTTGGGGTGGGTCATAGAGAAATGGAAAAGGAAATGAGGTGGAAATGGCTCATGTTAACTTAGGGAATCTAAATGAACAGTTCAGAAGAATAGTTAAACATATGACCTTGATCCAGTAGATAAGTTTGAGAATCCTTGATGTACAGATTATATTCAGAGTGTGAGATGAACTCGCCTAAGGAGAGAATAGAGAGAAAGTAGAAAACCTGGTAACATTCCATATTTCCACATAAATAGGGCAAGCAGAAGAGAACCAGTAAAGGACTTAGAAGGAACAGCAGTAAGGAAAGAAAAACTAGGAGAGTATGATGTTCCAGAAACCAAGAGAAGACTCTTAACAAAGGCAGGTAACAGTCAATTACATTAAATGCTGCTACGAGGTTGAGTTAGATGAGGACAAATAATATCACTGTTTTTGGTGTTCTTGGTAATACTGACAAGGGCAGTTTATGACATGTCATGCAGAAAAGAGCCGAGAGTTGGTAGGACATTTTAAAGTGGGAAATGAAGACAGCTATTTAGACAATTATTTCAAGAAATTAATGGAGCTGAGAAATAGATAATCAAGAGTAAGGGGAGAATTTTTTGTTTTTTCTCATGTTTCTAAGATGGGTGATTGGAGCTTTTATGCCTATAGAATTGATTCAGGAGAGAGAGAGAGATCCTGATGATGTAGTAGAAAGGAAATATGATTGCAGGGACAAATTTCTTTTTTTTTTTTAATTATACTTTAAATTCTGGGTTACATGTGCAGAACATGCAGTTTTGTTACATAGGTATACAGGTGCCCTGGTGGTTTGCTGCACCCATCAACCCGTCACCTACATTAGGTATTTATCCTAATGTTATCCCTCCCCTAGCCCCCCACCCCCTGACAGGCCCCGGTGTGTGATGTTCCCCTCCCTGTGTCCATGTTCCACTCCCACTTATGAGTGAGAACATGCAGCGTTTGGTTTTCTGATCTTGTGATAGTTTCCTGAGAATGATGGTTTCCAGCTTCATCCATGTCCCTGCAAAGGACATGAACTCATCCTTTTTTATGGCCGCATAGTATTCCATGGTGTATATGTGCCACATTTTCTTTATACAGTCTATCATTGATGGACATTTGGGTTGGTTCCAAGTCAAAATTAAAAGAACTAGAGAAGCAACAGCAAACAAATTCAAAAGCTAGCAGAAGACATGAAATAACTAAGATCAGAGAAGAACTGAAGGAGGTAGAGGAACAAAAAACCCTTCAAAAAATCAATGAATCCAAGAGCTGTTTTTTTTAAAAAAAAAAATCAACAAAATAGATAGACCACTAGCCAGACTAATAAAGAAGAAAAGAGAGAAGAATCAAATAGACACAATAAAAAATGATAAAGAGGGTATCAGCACTGATCCCACAGAAATACAAACTACCATCAGATAATACTATAAACACCTCTACGCAAATAAACTAGAAAATCTAGAAGAAATGGATAAATTCCTGGACACATACACCCTCCCAAGTCTAAGCCAGGAAGAAGTCAAATCCCTGAATAGACCAATAACAAGTTCTGAAATTGAGGCAGTAATTAATAGCCTACCAACCAAAAAAAGTCCAGGACCAGATGGATTCACAGCCAAATTCTACCAGAGGTACAAAGAGGAGCTGGTACCATTCCTTCTGAAATGATTCCAAACAATAGAAAAAGAGGGAATCCTCCCTAACTCATTTTATGGGACAAATTTCTTGAATACAGAAAGGTGTGAGATGCAGAGTACAGTGAAGGGTTTGGCCTTGGATAAGAGCAGAAGGAGAGACAAAAAGAGTGCACCTAGATGTTAATGGGTTGGTTGAGTCAGTGATAGGAGGATGAGGGAGTAGCCATAATCAGTTACAACAATTATGAAGTAAGAGCATCAGCTGGAAAAGAGATGAGAACAGGGAATGTCAGTTTCAAGAGAAGGTAGCAAATATTGGAGTCATTCTAGGCAATGGGAAGATGAACCTCTAGCAAGACAATGGACATGGAATGTTTCAGGGTTACGTTAAACAAGGTGAATTTGAGTTAATTTTTGCTTGGAAAGAGACAGTAATTAAATTTCAAGGTTTTTTTTAATGGCATATAGAGGCAAAAGGTATTATTACATGTTTACATATTTTCATAGTAGAAAAATGAGTTTAATGATTACTTGTAATCTTACTCTTCCAAAATAATCATTGTGATATCCTTTTATATATTATACATGCAAATACTTCCATAGGAAGAAATATAAAGGTCTCAATTTTGATAACTAATACTATTTTGGAGCAGTTTTGACTTTACCAACTATCTTAGTTATTGCTCTAAGAGAAATAAAAGCAATTGGACTCATAACTTTGTCATATTGCAAAAGTATTTCTATATTTTGTTGCTTTTTCCATTTTTATAGAGATAATAGAAAATGTACAGTTTTGTTAAAAGGCCTTCTTCCTAAGGTCGTGTTTTCAATAACTTTCTTATAGTCTTTAAAATGTAAAAATGAAACTCTAAATTATTAATCTACCAGGTTTTATTTTGATAAGATGTGATGAAGGAATCTAATTTTACTTTTTTAAAAAAATTGTTATTTTAACAGGAGTTACATGTGCAGGCTTGTTACATGGGTATATTGCATGATTAATTTCACTTCTTAAAATAGTTTCAAGTCATTCTTAAATCACATACCTCACAACAAATATAGAATATATTCTTGTAATAGTAGAGCTCCTAAATGGTATCTTTTTTATTTATTTTATTTTATTGTTACTTTTTTGAGACAGAGTCTCACTGTCTTGCCCAGGCTGGAGTGCAGTGGTACAATCTCGCCTCACTGCAACCTCCACCTCCCTGGTTCAAGCAATTTGCCTGTCTCAGCCTCTTGAGTAGCTGGGACTACAGGCACATGCCACCACACCCGGCTAATTTTTGTATTTTTAGTAGAGACAAGGTTTCACCATGTTGGCTAGGCTGGTCTTGAACTCCTGACCTCAAGTGATCCTCTTGCCTTGGCCTCCCAAAGTGCTGGTATTACAGGTGTGAACCACCATGCCCAGCCACCAAATGATACCTTTAAAACTTTCTTTTAGAGATTTTAAAACCAATTGTATGCTATTCTTTAAACAAGCTATTTCTTACAGTGTAAAAATTAACTTTAATCCTATCATCTGGGAAAATCAGTTACATTGTACTTGCTTGAAACTGTATTTTTGTGTATACACGTTTTGCCATCTATATTTTCTCACTTTTTTGAGTTTTTGAAACATGCTTTGTAACCCATGAATTTAATGGCTTGCACTAGTATTGGATATGTAAAAATATATTTTCAGGTTTTAGTTGTTCTTTATGTGTGATTATAAATAACATCATAGTTTACACCACTGGCACTTAATATTGAATTTAAATTGGTTTTAGTATTTTCTATCATAAAAGCAAATGTGTCCATGTAGAAAGCTTTAAAAATAACAAATTATTATCCAGAGAACCACTGTTGCAGATATACTAAATCTTTATTCATTCAAGAGCCATGTTTCAGCACCTGTTAATAGCAGTCACTGCTTCAGATATGAAACCTGCTCTTCAGAATTAACATCCTCATATACTTAGTCATATATCTTGTCAGTATCCTATGATCAGAAATGTGTATGTTTTAAAAAAGGAACCATGCTATTTAGAAATTGTATTGTAATCTAATTTTTCTCCGATAACCTATTAAGAAATTCCTTCCATGCCATTGAACCATCCTTTACAATATTATATTTAATGGCCACAAAACAATTATTTGTATGAATGTACCACTCTTTTCCAATTCCCTTTTGCATTTTAAATCCATAACATGTGCACTTTACTTCTCTTTGATAGCATGACTAATATGTTCTGCACAAGACATGAAGGCACAGACAGCACTGTCTTTCTTCCTCATTCTCATAACATCTCTGAGTGGATCTCAAGGTAATTTCGTTTGTAATACAAGTGTTAGTTATTTGCATTATCAGATAGAAACATGAGCACACAATGCAAGGTGGCTATTTCCTCCATAGCCACAGCATCGTGAACTTTCCTAAATCATCAGTTAATCAGAAGCAAGGAACAGGCTGGAAGTCTGCATGAAGACTAAAAATTATATATATTTTTTCTGTCCACTCTGATTAAGACTCTTTCTAATCTGTTGTCTGCTACCAGAAGTAAGTTCACTGGAAAGGCAAGTTTGATTGATTGATTTTTTTTTTTTTAAGTGTAAGCTTGGTACTTACCACTTGACAGAAGGCATTATCAGCTTTGCTAGGTCCTATGACAGGCATTCTTAATTATCCAGTGAAACATTAGAGGGGTTTAGCAGAGCAATTAGAGAGATCGACAGTCACTCTTTTCCTTTCCCATCTTTCTGTGTCTTTCTTTCAGCATGATGCCACATCCCTCTAGCTCTCTGCAGAGAGATTAAGTCTCTCTGAGGAAGAGAGGCGGGACATGGTAGGGTAGAAAGAGCCCCAGAAGGGAAGGTAGAGGATAAAGACTGTGACAGAGCCACTTGGGCACGCAGTTCTTCCATCTTGGGTGGCCTGGGCCATGAGCCAAAGGAGTTACTCCATTGTCCAAAAAATAAGGTCCTTTCCAGTGCTAATATCTTAGAATCCATAGACAGGGCACAAGATCTACTTAAAATATTTTGTAAATCAAAGCAGTTAGATTACCTCCTTCAATGATAGGAAGTGTCTGGGTATATTTTCTTTGCAAAAATCTCTTATTCTGTTGATTTCATTTGCTTTTTGAAATTAACTTGTGAAGTTGACAGTGAAAAGAAAACAAAACAAAATAAGTAAATCAAGAGAATTGGGGATTAGGCTTCCAGATTTATCTCCAGATATTCCTTACCTACATTTTGACCAACTCAGGATATCCTGAGAGCAGTCTTAAACTCAAAGCAAATGAATGACTCTCTTTCCCTTTTGGACTCCTCCTGCTCATGTCCTTCCCTATTTAGATCTAGTGTACAGATATCAGATTCCTGAACCCAGCATTGTCTTCTATGTGCTCCAAATATTTTCTTACCCAGTCAAGCTGAGTTTATTCCATTCTTTTAGGGCCTGCTGGCTGTTGCTAGCTGGATAAACTAATTTATTGTTGCTATAGTAGGAGTTAAATGTGAATGTGTTCTGGGAATGAAATCCAATGGAGTCTTTTAACATACATGATTTCCAGGCCAGGATTGGAAGAGAGATAAGATTATTGATCAAGTGGGCAGCAAACCAGTGTTTCTATGCCTTGGGCTGTTACCAGTTCTCCCAGTTACATTGCATAAAACAGATATTCAATTAAAATTAAAACTCAAACACAGAGCTTCACAGGTTTGTTTCTAATAATCAGACAAGTGTTTTTGATTATGTGGTCTACTAATAATCAGGCTGCTAACCTAGGATAGTTCTTCTGGGTAGTTCTGGTATAATCCTGAACAAGCACATGGCATTAATTCTCTTTATAACTTCTCTGCTCTTGACTGTAGGCATATTCCCTTTGGCTTTCTTCATTTATGTTCCTATGAATGAACAAATCGTCATTGGAAGACTTGATGAAGATATAATTCTCCCTTCTTCATTTGAGAGGGGATCCGAAGTCGTAATACACTGGAAGTATCAAGATAGCTATAAGGTTCACAGTTACTACAAAGGCAGTGACCATTTGGAAAGCCAAGATCCCAGATATGCAAACAGGACATCCCTTTTCTATAATGAGATTCAAAATGGGAATGCGTCGCTATTTTTCAGAAGAGTAAGCCTTCTGGACGAAGGAATTTACACCTGCTATGTAGGAACAGCAATTCAAGTGATTACAAACAAAGTGGTGCTAAAGGTGGGAGGTAAGTGTGCATGTAAAGTTTCATGAAACAGCAATGACATCATTCCATGTTATTAGTAAGCGTCTTTTTCCTAATATGCCATGAGCTTCCTTCCAAGTCAATACATGGAAATCTACTTATTTTTAACGCACAGCAACTTGTAGTATACTAATGTTATAAATGATACAACTGTTCCCCTGTTGGTGGGTATTCAGGCATTTCCAGTGTTTTACATTACATGGTTGTGATGAACATCCTTATAATTGTACTTAATACTGGGAAATAATCTGAAAGCAAAGTACCAGAAGATTTAAATGGGTTACTGATACTAGCAGCATAAGACTATCCACTTTCCCCTTAGTCTTATCAGTACCAAATAACTGCCAATATCATGACTGAAAAAATATTGAATTGCTGATTTAAATTGCATTTTTCTATATTATAAATGAGGTTAATTTTATATTATATGCTTTCCTTCTCTGTATTAGCTATATATAACACTATACCTATATAACTATAAGCCATTAATATAGTTAATACATACAGTTATATACAGTTAATATCACTCAGACAGAGCTTCATGGTGGTTATATTATACAGTTAATATAACTATATAATATATTAACTGTATTAATATATTAACTGTTGCTAATTCTCATAGTTACATTGAACCAAACAGGTATTAGATTAAAACTGAAGAAATTCAAAGAGCTTCATGGCTCCTAATTACCGGATTACCAAGAGTTCCTGATGATGTGCTCTGTTAATGATCAGGCTGCTGATCATTTATATGCAATATAGTTAGTATGCATTATAATATATAGAACAATCTTACATATAGATATATATACACACACACACATACATGCAGTATTTTCTAATGGGTTGTTTTTCCCAGCACTTGTTTCTTTTTCTTCTGTCCCTTTTAGCTGCTTCAGACCTTGATTCAGAAATCACAAAATTATGTGTAAACAGTCAAATAGGTGCTCTGAGTCAGTATTTGAGGAGTGTAGAGTGCCGCATGAACTCTACTTTATAGACTTAGACATCCTCATTTTGGTTTTTCAATGAGGCCATTAGATTTCTTTTCCAGCTATGTTTCTAGAAAATTGAGATTGCTAGTTGCCACATACCCATGCCTGCTCTTTTTTTATTTCTTCTAGATAACCACACTATATCTTAAGGTTCTACAGAGGTGTGTGTTTGTTGGTTTGTTTTCCCTTTCAGTAACTGCCAAGTTTTGCTCATAAAATTTAGCTTTTCATTTCATGGATATTAAAAAGTATTCTGCACAGACGGCCTATAAAGAAGCTAATGATGGCAGTTTTTCATGCGCCCTTCTTTCTCCTATGTAGTTTTTCTCACACCCGTGATGAAGTATGAAAAGAGGAACACAAACAGCTTCTTAATATGCAGCGTGTTAAGTGTTTATCCTCGTCCAATTATCACGTGGAAAATGGACAACACACCTATCTCTGAAAACAACATGGAAGAAACAGGGTCTTTGGATTCTTTTTCTATTAACAGCCCACTGAATATTACAGGATCAAATTCATCTTATGAATGTACAATTGAAAATTCACTGCTGAAGCAAACATGGACAGGGCGCTGGACGATGAAAGGTAGGCTCCACAGGACTTTCTGTGTACACGTGCTGTTTCAAAGTTGGGGGGTAATGGGGACTGATTTGCAAAAAAAGAAAGGAAGATGAAAGAAAAGAAAGCAAATCCATCTGCAGCGGTTAGAAGACCAAGACCGAAGCCCTAGGGCTGGTTCTTCTGGCTGTATTACATTAAGCAATCATTCTTACTTTTGAGCATTAGTACCTCATTGATAAAATAGAAGTAATTCTTACCTTGCTATGTATTTATGAGTTGAGTGAAAACATTCATGAAGTGGAAAGAAGCAAATCTATTCTTGAATATTAATGTATTTGTCAATGGCTCATCCTTCAAACAGGATTTTCTACCAGCATTGCTCTTTAAAAGATCAAAGGAGAAAGAATACTTGTCTTTCAGCAGATCACAACTTCCAATCTTACAATTAAACAAAATATTAATGAGTATTATTGCTTCTTTTTAGTTTCTTTACATAGTATTAGCCCATCAATCTTTATCCAACACCTCTATCACAACATGGTCAGTTTTTAGCGCTCGTTCCTCTCATTTATTTGAACAGATCCAAACTCTGATCAATCTCTATATCCAAAACCTGTTTAATAAAAAGTAATTTGCTATCTCCATATCCAAGTCCAAGAAAATTTGTTTTCCTTTTTTTTTTTTTTTTTTGAGATGGAGTCTCCCTCTGTCGCCCAGGCTGGAGTACAGTGGCATGATCTCAGCTCAATGCAACCTCCACCTCCCAGTTTCAAGTGATTCTCCTGTCTCAGCCTCCTGAGTAGCTGGGATTACAGGCACATGCCACCACATGTGGCTAATTTTTGTATTTTTTTAGTAGAGACAGGGTTTCACCATGTTGGTCAGGCTGGTCTCGAACTTCTGACCTCGTGATCCACCCATATCGGCCTCCCAAAGTGCTAGGATTACAGGCGTGAGCCACCGTGCCCAGCCTGTTTTTCATTTTATTAGTAACAAAGCAAAAATTTTCTGTCAGTCTCCCTTATAGGGGGAAAATGGAGGTTATCTTTTTTTTTCAGTCTTCTCTTTCCTAGCATCTCATATTCTCAAAATGCTCACCAAAAATATACTGAAATTGTGGGTGATTCACCACATTTACATGAGTCCAGTGTTAAAGGCATGAGTACCCAATGTTCATTCTCCATCAGTCAGGCAGCAATGGAAACATGGGAAAGGGTTGCAAATGTTAATATTATAAATATTGCCTTTGGAAAATCCTAATTTCTCATGTTCATTTAGAATTGAGTGTCTTGAAGCATGAACAGTTCTTTAGGCTCAGTACTGTTTGGTCTCATTGAAAAGCTATTACGTGCCAAGTTTTGTTGCTCACAGACTGTGAACTTAAGAACATGGTCTCTACTGATTTCTGGATCCACAGCATCTAGTACAAATATAAAAATTAAACTAGGAACATAGCTTACAAAGGGAGTGATTAATTCTATTCTCTGTGGTTGGACATGAATGGGGTTGTCACAGAATATGTGCTTAAGAAAGTTGCATAAGGGTAGAATTTTAGAAGAGTAGTAGGACATTCCAGGAGAAGAAGAATATTCCAGGTAAAAAGCACAGAAAAGTAAAATTGCCTGGATTTGTGGAATCAATGGATCAAGAGATGAACCTGGAGAGGGAGGCCAAAAACAGATGAAAGACCTTTTACACGTTGCTAAGGAGCTTGTTGAGTCTTGGAGGTAGGATAGATCAGAAGAGGGATTTGAACCATCAGAGAGGCCCTGGATTTGCCTTTTGGAGGGCTTACTTTGGCATCACTCTCCTGCAGGTAGACTGGAAGCCAGGTGAGTCTAGAGCCAGGGGGAACAGTCCATGACAGTCCATAGAGGTCAGCCTACAACACTACAGAACGGGAAGGACAAGATGGAGCTGGGTCTGGAGGGGCAAGCCAAGAAAATTCAGCAGTCTCTCTTTAAAAGAGCTCAGTCCAGTGGGGGTTGCCTGCACACAGCTGGAAATATTCTTATATGAAGAAAAAGAGATTTTGTCTAGAAAAAGAGATTAAGAAGTAGTGAGGCCATAAAAGTTAGAGACCACTAGGGAGTAGGTAGGGTACCAAAAGGGGTGTTCTGGGGACCACCAGCATTAGAGGGGCCAAGAGAAGGAGAACATTGAGTTTAATAGGCTAGTAACTGGTAGCAACATTCCTGAGTGCTTACTGTCAGGTTCTAAGAGTTAAAACAAGTATATCACCCCTCTAGCTGGCCCTGGCTTAGCCCTCCTTGAAGGTCTAAACTAACCTTGGTGGGAAACTTTAAAATAGTGGTAGTAAAACTTGTCTTTTAAGAAACCACAGTACAAATATAATTACTTTCCAAAAAGTTATTTCCAAATATATCAGTATTAGTGCCTTTGTTCTCTGCTTTCTAAGTGTAACTTAGAGAATTCTTTTGAAATGTTTATCTTCATTGATGTTTTCTTTTCTATTGTGTTGTTAGATGGCCTTCATAAAATGCAAAGTGAACACGTTTCACTCTCATGTCAACCTGTAAATGATTATTTTTCACCAAACCAAGACTTCAAAGTTACTTGGTCCAGAATGAAAAGTGGGACTTTCTCTGTCCTGGCTTACTATCTGAGCTCCTCACAAAATACAATTATCAATGAATCCCGATTCTCATGGAACAAAGAGCTGATAAACCAGAGTGACTTCTCTATGAATTTGATGGATCTTAATCTTTCAGACAGTGGGGAATATTTATGCAATATTTCTTCGGATGAATATACTTTACTTACCATCCACACAGTGCATGTAGGTAAGTTGCAAGTAGGTTTGGATAATGGGTTTTGGCTGTAGCATTAGAGGTTTGTGAATATCAAAGAGAAAATTAGGTTGACTTTTCAAGAATACATTGATACCCTCTCAAAATATAATCCACAGGGATATTTCTGGTCAGGATGTCGATTACCCTCCCTCCTTCAACCACACAAAAGTCCTGTTTTGAAAAAAAAAATTACTCCCACAGATTTCCTTTCAGGATTTTGGGGCTTCAGAAATGAGGAGGAAACACATTTTGATGACTCCATGCGCTGAGCATCTTCCATTTCTGCTCACTGCTGTGCCTAATATATACCTTAGGCCTAGGGTTTGGGGATTCAAGGCTAGAGACACATTAGGAAGTTACAATCGGGGTCCTGAAGAATGCTGGGAAATCATGACAGTGTCTATGAACTTGGAAATAGTCACCACACAATATTTGAAGCACCAAGTATATATTCCTAGTTCAGTTCATTTTTACCTCTGTTGATAGTTCACTGCCAAAAACCATTATCTAAAATATTTCTAGTCAACTAACCATCAAGTCATGGAATATATACTCATGAAGCTGACCTTCTAGGTGAGCTGGATGGTCCCACCCTTAAACTATCAACTTCACATCATGGCAGACCATGGCAGCTCTTTCTGTCCTTCAATAAAGGTATTTGAACCAGTGGAACTTATGTTTTAGAAATATTTCTATCATTTCAATTGTGAAAATTAGGAGGAATAACATTTGAAGTTTTGGTGATTCTACGTAGTGAGATTTGGAGACAAGAGCACAGAGTTGTCCTTTAGGTTATGTGATCTTCAAATACTTGGAAGCTTCTGGACATTGAGTAATAACACTCCCTTTGTAGAGCTGCCACTTTGAGAGTAGAGAATGAAAAACTGGGGCTGCATTTGAAGCTCCTATTTTTCTCCAAAAATAAAAGTGTCAGTTTTATGTAAAATACAGTTAAGCCTGCAATCTATTTTTAAAAATGTTGCCTCATGTTGGATTAATTTTGGAGTGTAAAAAAAAAAATAGTCAAGAAGAAATGTCCTAAAGACTACATATGGCCCGTCTTCCCACCCAGAGATCTAATTTTCAGTTCACACAAAGTGAAACATCAGGACCATTCCATCTCTGACAAAAGAGTATTTTCAGAACCTCTCATTCTCAAATAAATGTTGGCCAGGTGGGGCTGGGGGAGGGTGTGCTCACCCTTCCCCACGAGGAAGAGGACTTGGCAGGAGCCACCCCAGCAGGCCAGGGAACAGGGCAAACAGTCTTGGTACCTTAAATATCATCCTTTCAAGGATGACTTTTCCATTTGTTGCCTTTCCCAGGAGGTGCTACAACAAGATGGGGGGTACTTATGATTCCTCGAATCTAGATCTGCTCAATTAAGGTTGCACCAAGCTGAATGGAATTAAATAATCCTTGCTAAGTTCTGCTGCTGAATCAATATGTGACCTTGGGCAAATATCCTTACAGATGGGGGAACCTGAGGGTCACGAGTACAGTGAGAAGTAGCTATACCTTGTAGGATTTCCTTTAGGAGGAAGAAAAATGCATATGAAAACCCTGTAGAAAGTCAACCTAACATTCCTACTTAATCTCTCCTTTATATAGGTACAGTAGTCCCCCCTTTCCTTGGGGGATATGTTCCAAGACCCCCAGTGGATGCCTGAAACTATGGACAGTACTAAACCCTATATATGCATTCCCACATGGTACGAGGATTAATCTGTCCTTCCATGTTTATGCCTTGGTGCCTCATTCACACTTCTATGAATACAGGTTCTATTGGGCATCTTCTTCCAGCAGAGCTTGCTTTCATTGCAATTAAAGATTTGCTTTAGATGGAAATGTGGCTGTAGCTTCTTCATCAGCAGACACAGCCTCTCCAGTAATTTTTATATTTTTCAGTCCAAGCTGATTTCTAAATCTGTGTAGCCATCCTCTATCCTCTACTTGCAATAAATGGCCTGTTTCAAGGGATCTCTTGCTGAAGTCTTCATATAAGCCCAAAGCTTTCCAGTGCAACATATCATCAACCAGAACACATTTCTGTTATGTCTTCCACCCTCAAATTTAATGCCATTTCCATCTTAACTCAGCATATACAACACACTGTGGCCATAACTGTTGTAGTTTGAGATGTGACTGCAAAACTAACACAAATTTTCTTCTTTCTTTCTTCACAATTTTACAGATAGAAGATTCATTTTCACCATAGATCTCAGCAACCTCAATATATGATTTTTCATAAGTCAAGGGCTTTAATTGTTTTAGTTCAAAGAAGCACTTTATGGCTTCTTTTTGGTATATCCAAATTGCCAGCATCACTACTCTTGTGCTTTGGGACCATTCTTAAAGAAAATAAGGGTTACTTGAACACAAGCATTGTTATACCATGACAGTCAGTCTGATAACTGAGATGGCTAGTAAATGATTCATGGGGGTAGTGTGTACAACGTGGATATGCCGGACAAAGGGCGCAGTCACGTCCCAGGTGGGATGCAGTGGCGTGACACGATATTTCTTCATGCTACTCAGAATGGCACACAATTTAAAACTTAAGAATTATTTATTCCTGGAATTTTCCATTTGGTTATGTTTGGACTACAGTTGACCATGGGTAACTAAAACCTCAGAAAGTTAAACCAGGGATAAAGCGGACTCCTGCGTGGAATTTCAGAATGACACAAATAGGTGGAGAGATTAATATTTTATTAGTTGTAAAACACTATAGTATGTTCATAGAAAATTACATTTGTTATGTAAAAAGAGGTATTCATTCTAAAGGATAGCCACAAACATTTTCCCCCTGAATTGACCTTTGTGCTCTAATGCTTGCTGCCCTCGTTTTAGCAGAACATAGACCATAAGGTTAGCAGGGTTCTGACTTTGGTAACCCAGGGTCTCTGGAGTCCCCATTTCCATTAATACTAATTTCAACAATTCTAGTCCTGACCAAGATGCTGGAGAAAGTTTAGGCTCCTCCAGTTATTTCTGAGGAGCTCCAAACACTATCAGCAGGTCCTCCTTTTCTGCAGTTTGTTACACAAAGTCAACCACTGTCTGAAATTTTTAAAAGGAAAATTCCAGAAATAATGTTTTAAATTGTGTGCCATTCTGAGTAGCATGATGAAATTGCATGTCATCCCGCTCCATCCTGCCTTGAAGGTGAATCCTCCCTTTGTCCAGCATATCACACCGTGGATGCTACCCGCCTGTTAGCCCTCCTGGTAATCAGATCTACTGTCATGATATCGCAGTGCTTGTGATCAAGTAACCCTTATTTTATTTAAGAATGGCCTCAAAGCACAAGAATAGTGATGCTGGCAGTTCAGATACACCAAAAAGAAGCCGTGAAGTGCTTCCTTTAAGGGAAAGCTCTCAAGAGGAAAAAAGAGCCTATGTCGAGGTTGCTAAGATCTACAGTAAGAAAGAATCTTCTACCTATAAAACTGTGAAGATGGAAAAAGAAATTAGTGTATAGTATGCATAGCGTTCAGTACTAAGGTTTCAGGCATCCACTTGGGGGACTTGGAATGTATCCCCCAGGGATAAGGCGGGGGACTACTGTGCCTATTATCTCTGTGGTCACCTGCCACCTCTAACTCAAGACCAGGGCTTCTACTCATCTCCTTTTATCACCTCTGAACTTACCACTGTTCCCTTAGGACCCTGTCTTCTCTAGGCCAATGGCAGACTGCACTCTTACTTCATCCTCCAAGGTGAACACTGGGCTGAGGCTAATTTATGGACATAATTATTCCTTTATAAAAATGTGTTGTTTCTTATTACAGTATAAAGCAATAGAAACTGAAAATGCATAATAGATGTATTACCTCTCCAGTTTTCAGACTTTTCTCCCAGCTCCCCCACCTCCACCAATCTCCAATAATATTATGGTATCTGTAGGTTTCCCACAATAGATACACTGAGACTAGGAGATATTTATGCTCAAGACAAACTCTCCTGTCCAGTCTGGGCTCTTGGCTTTATCCTAAAGGACGTTTTTATTATGCAAAGTGTTTTCATATGAATTCAGCCTCCTACCTGTAATGCAGAAATAACTAGTTTTTAAAATAGTAAACATACTCCACCCTTACCCACCCACACATTTCTTATCTGGTAATTTTTCTTCCAGTTCACAGACTTTGTTTCTCCTTTTTTTTTTTAGAACCGAGCCAAGAAACAGCTTCCCATAACAAAGGCTTATGGATTTTGGTGCCCTCTGCGATTTTGGCAGCTTTTCTGCTGATTTGGAGCGTAAAATGTTGCAGAGGTAATAGAAGAATTTGGGCTCTGCCCCACGTGTTCCACATCACGTATATTAAAGATAACATGGAAATACATGCCCAAACAGCTACTGGGCATGTAATTGATCTGAATTTTCTGGAATGTCATTCACAAAATTCACCCAAAATCTTTTAAAATGCTCCTACATTTCCACCTAACCATTCTACTTCTAGGAATTTATCTCACATTAAATGAGCAGAGGTACACCAAACTATATACAAGCATATTCACTGCAGCACACTGCTATTGCCTTTAGGTTTCCTACTATTTTCAATAAATAATTGGGAAATTAATTAAAGATCATACTTTACTTTTTAAAATTTTAATCTAGTATTAAAATGATAACCAGGATGACTTAATCATCCTGCATTGAAAAGTAACTGGAAAGAAAAAAGCCAAAGCTTTAAGATGTTGCCTTTGGAGTGATAGGACCATGAGTTCTTCCTTACCCTCACACCTCAGAAGGAAGCCAGATACCTCCTTAAGCCCCTGGGCTCTGCCTGTTCTCCCTTGCTCTGAGTTTAGTCAAGGTTGGTGCTCTGATTGAAACTGCATTGTTCTTTTCTTATGGGTCATTTCATTTTAATTGTTGTTCAATTAATCTTTTTCTAAATTTTAGGCAAAAAATCTTACCAGTAATTTAAAATATCTTAAGATGCCATGATCATGGGAAGTACTTTTAGGGAATACTTTCCTAAAGTACTTTGCTTTTAGTACCAGAATTTTGAGCTAGAGAGCATCTGGGCAAAACTTAGATCTAGTTGATCTCCACATTTTACAGATCAGGAAACAGGAATCCAGGAAGTTAGCTTAAGTGCCAAGTAGGCATGTGAAACAGATTTAGGTGGATCATTTAATATCACCAAGCCAGCTAATGGTAGAGGCAGGTTGAGGCCCCCAGAAGCCCTCCCTTATTCCATTATCCCCCTGAGAAGGCTCTGGGTGTCCTGGGAACTTGAGATAGATCCTATGTCTCTTTTATCTGTCCTTCTGGTTGATATTTGGCTATTGCCCCTGCTGAAGTTAGGAGATTAGGGTTATAGCAGAAACTATTATTGAAGATACAGTTTTAGGGGCAATGGAGAGCAAGCATTTCACCAATTCTAGCCCTGTGATCATTCGTACTAATAAGCAGGATAGTTCCTGTCCCTTGGCTGGCCAGATGGAGTAAGACCACAGGCAGTCTAGCCTGTCCACGAAGATCAACCGTTGACCTAATATACTGATATTTGTGATTGGATTAGGTTCAAATTATGGGAGGTGGTGCTACATCCTACTCAAGAATGATAGTTTAGTTTCTTTAGTGGAAGTCTGCATAAGTCAGTTCTCAACTGAAAACACATGGCACACTCAAAACTGGATAAAGAACTTATGAGACAGTATATTCATGGCTGGGAGCACCCGAATCACTAGCAAACTTAAACTTGAAGGGACAAGGACAGAGAGCAGTTCCCAAAACTTGGAAGGAGAGAGTCACGTAAGATTAGTTGCCTTGTAAGGAGAGTGACTTACTTCTTTTTTTTTTTTTCTTTCTTTTTAAGTTCTGGGATACATGTGCTGAACATGCAGGTTTGTTACATAGGTATACATGTGCCCTGGTGGTTTGCTGCACCTATCAACCTGTCATCTAGGTTTTAAGCACCACATACATTAGGTATTTGACCTGATGCCCTCCCTCCCCTTTACCCTCATCCTCCAACAGGCCCCAGTGTGTGATGTTCCCCGCCCTGTGTCCAAGTGATCTCATTGTTCAATTCCCACCTATGAGTGAGAATATGCGGTGTTTGGTTTTCTGTCCTTGTGATAGTTTGCTGAGAATGATGGTTTCCAGCTTCATCCATGTCCCTGCAAAGCACATGAACTCATTCTTTTTTATGACTGCATAGTATTCCATGGTGTATATGTGCCACATTTTCTTTATCCAGTCTATCCTTGATGGGCATTTGGGTTGGTTCCAAGTCTTTGCTATTGTGCATAGTGCTGCAATAAACATACATGTGCATGTGTCTTCATAGTAGAATGATTTATAATTTTTTGGGTATATACCCAGTAATGGGATTGCTGGGTCAAATGGTATGTCTGGTTCCAGATCCTTGAGGAATCGCCACACTGTCTTCCACAATGGTTGAACTAATTTACTCTCCCACCAACAGTGTAAAAGCATTCCTATTTCTCCATATCTGATCTCTAGCATCTGTTGTTTCCAGACTTTTTAATGATCACCATTCTAACTGGTATGAGATGGTATCTCATTGTGGTTTTGATTTGCATTTCTCTAATGACCAGTGATGAGGTGCTCTTTTTCATATGTTTGTTGGCTGCATAAATGTCTTCTTTTGAGAAGTGTCTGTTCATATCCTTCACCCACTTTTTGATGGGGCTGTTTATTTTTTTCTTGTAAATTTGTTTCAGTTCCTTCTAGATTCTGGATATTAGACTTTTGTCAGATGGGTAGACTGCAGAAATTTTCTCCCATTCTGTAGGTTGCCTGCTCACTCTGATGATAGTTTCTATGGCTGAGCAGATGCTCTTTAGTTTAAGTAGATCCCATTTGTCAATTTTGGCTTTTGTTGCAATTGCTTTTGGTGTTTTAGTCATGAAGTCCTTGTCCATGTCTATGTCCTGAATGATATTGCCTAGGTTTTCTTCTAGGGTTTTTATGGTTTTAAGTTTTATGTTTAAGTCTTTAATCCACCTTGAATTAATTTTTGTATAAGGTGTAAGGAAGGGGTCTAGCTTCTATTTTCTGCATATGGCTAGCAAGTTTGCCCAGCACCATTTATTAAACAGGGAATCCTTTCCCCATTGCTTGTTTTTGTCAGGTTTGTCAAAGATCGAATGGTTGTAGATGTGTGGTGTTATTTCTGAGGCCTGTGTTCTGCTCCATTGGTCTATGTATCTGTTTTGGTACCAGTACTATGCTGTTTTGGTTACTGTAGCCTTGTGGTATAGTCTGAAGTCAGGCAGCATGATGCCTCCAGCTATGTTCTTTTGCTTAGGATTGTCTCGGCTATATGGGCTGTTTTTTGGTTCCATATGAAATTTAAAGTACTTTTTTCTAGTTCTGTGAAGAAAGTCAATGGTAGCTTGATGAGAATAGCATTGAATCTATAAATTACTTTGGGCAGTATGGCCATTTTCACGATATTCATAAGTATGAAATTTTTTTCCATTTGGTTGTGTCCTCTCTTATTTCCTTGAGCAGTGGTTTGTAGTTCTCCTTGAAGAGGTCCTTCACATCCCTTGTAAGTTGTATTCCTAGGTATTTTATCTTCTTTGTAGCAATTGTGAATGGGAGTTCACTCATGATTTGGGTCTCTGTTTGTCTGTTATTGGTGTATAGGAATGCTTGTGATTTTTGCACATTGATTTTGTATCCTGAGACTTTACTGAAGTTGCTTATCAGCTTAAGGAGATTTTGGGCTGAGACAATGGGGATTTCTAAATATACAATGACATCATCTGCAAACAGAGACAATTTGACTTCCTCCGTTCCTATTTGAATACTCTATTTATGTCTCTTGCCTGATTGCCCTGGCCAAAACTTCCAATACTATGTTGAACTATGGTGAGAGAAGGCATCCTTGTCTTGCGCCGGTTTTCAAGGGGAATGCTTCCAGCTTTTGCCCATTCAGTATGATATTGGCTATGGGTTTGTCATAAATAGCTCTTATTATATTGAGATATGTTCCATCAATGCCCAGTTTATTGAGAGTTTTTAGCATGAAGTGGTGTTGAATTTGATTGAAGGCCTTTTCTGCATCTATTGAGATAATCATGTGGTTTTTGTCACTGGTTCTGTTTATGTGATGGATTACATTTATTGATTTGCATATGTTGAACCAGCCTTGCATCCCAAGGATGAAGCCAACTTTATCATGGTGCATAAGCTTTTTGATGGGCTGTGGATTCAGTTTGCCAGTATTTTATTGAGGATTTTCGCTTTGATGTTCATCAGGGATATTCGCCTGAAGTTTTCATTTTTTATTGTATCTCTGTCAGGTTTTGGAATCAGGATGATGCTGGCCTTATAAAATGGTTAGGGAGGAGTCCCTCCTTTTCTGTTGTTTGGAATAGTATCAGAAGGAATGGTACCAGCTCCTCTTTGTACCTCTGGTAGAATTCGGCTGTGAATCTGTCTGGTCCTGGGCTTTTTTGGCTGGTGGGTTATTAATTACTGCTTCAATTTCAGAACTTGTTATTGGTTTATTCAGAGATTCGACTTCTTCCTGGTTTAGTCTTAGGAGGGTGTCCGGGAATTTATCTATTTCTTCTAGATTTTCTAGTTTATTTGCTTAGAGGTGTTTATAGTATTCTCTAATAGTAGCTTGTATTTCTGTGGGATCAGTTGTGATATCCCCTTTATCATTTTTTATTGTGTCTGTTTGATTCTTCTTTCTTTTCTTCTTTATTAGTCTGGCTAGCAGTCTATCTATTTTGTTAATCTTTTCAAAATAGCAGCTCCTGGGTTGACAGACACCTCATACAGGAGATCTCCAGCTGGCATCAGGCTGGTGCCCCTCTGGGACAAAGCCTCCAGAGGAAGGAGCAGGCAGCAATCTTTGCTGTTCCGCAGCATCCACTGGTGATACCCAGGCAAATAGGAACTGGAGTGGACCTCCAGAAAACTGCAGCAGACCTGCAGAAGAGGGTCCTGACTGTTAGAAGAAAAACTAACAAACAGAAAGCAGTAACATCAACATCAACACAAAGGACCCCCATACAAAACCACATCCAAAGGTCATCAGCCTCAAAGATCAAAGGTAGATAAATAAATGAAGATGAGGAAAAACCAGCACAAAAATGCTGAAAATTTAAAAAACCAGAATGCTTCTTCTCTTCCAAATGATTGTAACTCCTCTCCAGCAAGAGCACAAAATTGGACAGAGAAAGAGTTTGACAAATTGACAGAAGTAGGCTTCAGAAGGTGGGTAATAACAAACTCCTCTGAGCTAAAGGAGCATGTTCTAACCCAATGTAAGGAAGCTAAGAACCTTGATAAAAGGTTACAGGAACTGCTAACTAGAATAACCAGTTTAGAGGAGAATATAAATGACCTGATGGAGCTGAAAAACACAGCATGAGAACTCGTGAAGCATACACAAGTATCAGTAGCCGAATCGATCAAGCAGAAGAAAGGATATCAGAGACTGAAGATCAACTTACTGAAATAAGGTGTGAAGACAAGATTAGAGAAAAAAGAGTGAAAAGGAATGAACAAAGCCTCCAACAAATATGGTACTATGTGAAAAGACCAAACCGGTGATTGATTGGGGTCCCTGAAAGTGATGGGGAGAATGGAACCCAGTTGGAAAACACACTTCAGGATATTATCCAGGAGAACTTCTCCAACCTAGCAAGACAAGCCACTATTCAAATTCAGGACATACAGAGAACACCACTAAAATACTCCTTGAGAAGAGCAACCCCAAGACACATAATTGTCAGATTCTCCAAGGTTGAAACAAAGGAAAAAAATGTTAAGGGCAGCCAGAGAGAAAGGTCAGGTTACCTACAAAGGGAAGTCCATCAGACTAACAATGGATATCTCTGCAGAAACCCTACAAGCCAGAAGAGAGTGGGGGCCAATATTTAACATTCTTAAAGAAGAGAATTTTCAACCCAGAATTTCATAACCAGCCAAATTAAGCTTCATGAGTGAAGGAGAAATAAAATCCTTTACAGACAAGCAAATGCTGAGGGATTCTGTCACCACTAGGCCTGCCTTACAAGAGCTCCTGAAGGAAGCACTAAATACAGAAAGGAAAAACCAGTACCAGCCACTGCAAAAAAACACCATAATATAAAGACCAACAACACTATGAGGAAACTGCCTCAACTAATGTGCAAAATAACTAGCCAGCATCATGATGACAGGATCAAATTCACACTTAACAATATTAACTTTAAATGTAAATGGACTAAATGCCCCAGTTAAAAGACACAGACTGGCAAATTGGATAAAGAGTCAAGACCCATCAGTGTGCTGTATTCAGGAGTCCCATCTCACATGCAAAGACACACATAGGCTCAAAATAAAGGGATGGAGGAATATTTACCAAGCAAACGAAGAGCAAAAAAAAAAAAAAAAAAAAAAAAAAAAAAAAAAAGCAGGGGTTGCAATTCTAGTCTCTGATAAAACAGACTTTAAACCAACAAAGATCAAAAAAGACAAAGACGTTACATAATGGTAAAGGGATCAATGCAACAAGAAGAGCTAACTATCCTAAATATATATGCACCCAATACAGGAGCATCCAGATTCATAAAGCAAGTTCTTAGAGATCTACAAAGAGACTTAGACTCTCACACAATAATAGTGGGAGAGTTTAACACCCCACTGTCAATATTAGATCAATGAGACAGAAAATTAACAAGGATATTCAGAACTTGAACTCAGCTCTGGACTAAGCGGACCTAATGGACATCTACAGAACTCTCCACCCCAAATCAACAGAATATACATTCTTCTCAGCACCATATAGCACTTATTCTAAAATCGACCACATAATTGGAAGTAAGGCACTCCTTAGCAAATGAAAAGAATGGAAATCAAAACAGTCTCTCAGGCTACAGTGCAATCAAATTAGAACTCAGGATTAAGAAACTCACTCAGAACCACACAACTACAAGGACACTGAACAACCTGCTCCTGAATGACTACTGGGTAAATAATTAAATTAAGGCAGAAATAAATAAGTTCTTTGAAACCAATGAGAATGAAGACACAACGTACCAGAATCTCTGGGACGCAGCTAAAGCAGTGTTGAGAGGGAAATTTGTAGCACCAAATGCCCACATCAGAAAGCAGGAAAGACCTAAAATCAACACCCTAACATCACAATGAAAAAAACTAGAGATTCACGGGGGGAGGAGCCAAGATGGCCGAATAGGAACAGCTCCGGTCTACAGCTCCCAGCGTGAGCGACGCAGAAGACGGGTGATTTCTGCATTTCCAACTGAGGTACCAGGTTCATCTCACTGGGGAGTGCCTGACAGTGGGTGCAGGACAGTGGGTGCAGTGCACCATGTGTGAGCCAAAGCAGGGTGAGGCATCACCTCACCCAGGAAGCACAAGGGGTCAGGGAATTCCCTTTCCTAGTCAAAGAAAGGGGTGACAGACGGCATCTGGAAAATTGGGTCACTCCCACCCTAATACTGCGCTTTTCCAATGGGCTTAACAAATGGCACACCAGGAGATTATATCCTGTGCATGACTCAGAGGGTCCTACACCCACGGAGTCTCGCTCATTGCTAGCACAGCAGTCTGAGATCAAACTGCAAGGCAGCAGCGAGCCTGGGGGAGGGGCACCCACCATTGCCGAGGCTTGAGTAGGTAAACAAAGCAGCCAGGAAGCTCGAACTGGGTGGAGCCCATCACAGCTCAAGGAGGCCTGCCTGCCTCTGTAGACTCCACCTCTGGGGGCAGGGCACAGACAAACAAAAGGCAGCAGTAACCTCTGCAGACTTAAATGTCCCTGTCTGACAGCTTTGAAGAGAGTAGTAGTTCTCCCAGCACGCAGCTTGAGATCTGAGAACGGGCAGACTGCCTCCTCAAGTGGGTCCCTGACCCCCGAGTGGCCTAACTGGGGGGAACCCCCAGTAGGGGCGGACTCACACCTCACACGGCCGGGTACTCCTCTGAGACAAAACTTCCAGAGGAACGATCAGGCAGCAGCATCTGTAGTTCACAAGTATCCGCTGTTCTGCAGCCACCACTGCTGATACCCAGGCAAACAGTGTCTGGGTGGACCTGTTTAGTGGACCTCCAGCAAACTCCAAAAGACCTGCAGCTGAGGGTCCTGACTGTTTGTTAGAAGGAAAACTAACAAACAGAAAGGGCATCCACACCAAAAACCCATCTGTACGTCACCATCATCAAAGACCAAAGGTAGATAAAACCACAAAGATGGGGAAAAAACAGAGCAGAAAAACTGGAAACTCTAAAAATCAGAGCGCCTCTCCTCCTCCAAAGGAACGCAGCTCCTCACCAGCAACGGAACAAAGCTGGACGGAGAATGACTTTGACGAGTTGAGAGAAGAAGGCTTCAGACGATCAAACTACTCTGAGCTAAAGGAGGAAGTTCGAACCCATGGCAAAGAAATTAAAAACCTTGAAAAAAAATTAGGTGAATGGCTAACTAGAATAACCAATGCAGAGCAGTCCTTAAAGGACCCGATGGAGCTGAAAACCAAGGCACGAGAACTACATGACGAATTCACAAGCCTCAGTAGCTGATTCGATCAACTGGAAGAAAGGGTATCAGTGATGGAAGATGACATGAATGAAACGAAGCGAGAAGAGAAGTTTAGAGAAAAAAGAATTAAAAGAAATGAACAAAGCCTCCAAGAAATATGGGACTATGTGAAAAGACTAAATCTACGTCTGATTGGTGTACCTGAAAGTGATGGGGAGAATGGAACCAAGCTGGAAAACACTCTGGGGAAGTTCTCCTGGATAATATCCTGCAATCTAGCAAGGCAGGCCAACACTCAAATTCAGGAAATACAGAGAACGCCAGAAAGATACTCCTCGAGAAGAGCAACTCCAAGACACATAATTGGCAGATTCACCAAAGTTGAAATGAAGGAAAAAATGTTAAGGGCAGCCAGAGAGAAAAGTCGGGTTACCCACAAAGGGAAGCCCATCAGACTAACAGCTGATCTCTTGGCAGAAACTCTACAAGCCAGAAGAGAGTGGGGGCCAATATTCAACATTCTCAAAGAAAAGAATTTTCAACCAGAATTTCATATCCAGCCAAACTAAGCTTCATAAGTGAAGGAGAAACAAAATCCTTTACAGACAAGCAAATGCTGAGAGATTTTGTCACCACCAGGCCTGCCCTAAAAGAGCTCCTGAAGAAAGCACTAAACATGGAAAAAACAACCGGTACCAGCCACTGCAAAAACAGGCCAAATTGTAAAGACCATCGAGGCTAGGAAGAAACTGCATCAACTAACGAGCAAAATAACCAGCTAACATCATAATGACAGGATCAAATTCACATATAACAATATTAACCTTAAATGTAAATGGGCTAAATGCTCCAATTAAAAGACACAGAGTGGCAAATTGGATAAACAGTCAAGACCCATCAGTGTGCTGTATTCAGGAAACCTATCTCACGTGCAGAGACACACATAGGCTCAAAATTAAGGGATGGAGGAAGATCTACCAAGCAAATGACAAACAAAAAAATGCAGGAGTTGCAATCCTAGTCTCTGATAAAACAGACTTTAAACCAACAAAGATCAAAAGAGACAAAGAAAGCCGTTACATAATGGTAAAGGGATCAACTCAACAAGAAGAGCTAACTATCCTAAACATATATGCACCCAATACAGGAGCACCCAGATTCATAAAGCAAGTCCTTAGTGACCTACAAAGAGACTTAGACTCCCACACAATAATAATGGGAGACTTTAACACCCCACTGTCAACATTAGACAGATCAATGAGACAGAAAGTTAACAAGGATATCCAGGAATTGAACTCAGCTCTGCACCAAGTGGACCTAACAGACATCTACAGAACTCTCCACCCCAAATCAACAGAATATACATTCTTTTCAGCACCACACCACACCTATTCCAAAATTGACCACATAATTGGAAGTAAAGCACTCCTCAGCAAATGTAAAAGAACAGAAATTATAACAAACTGTCTCTCAGACCACAGTGCAATCAAACTAGAACTCAGGATTAAGAAATTCACTCAAAACTGCTCAACTACATGGAAACTGAACAACCTGCTCCTGAATGACGACTGGGTACATAATGAAATGAAGGCAGAAATAAAGATGTTCTTTGAAACCAATGAGAACAAAGACACAACATACCAGAATCTCTGGGACACATTCAAAGCAGTGTGTAGAGGGAAATTTATAGCACTAAATGCCCACAAGAGAAAGCAGGAAAGATCCAAAATTGACACCCTAACATCACAATTAAAAGAACTAGAGAAGCAAGAGCAAACACATTCAAAAGCTAGCAGAAGGCAAGAAGTAACTAAAATCAGAGCAGAACTGAAGGAAATAGAGACACAAAAAACCCTTCAAAAAAATCAATGAATCCAGGAGCTGGTTTTTTGAAAAGATCAACAAAATTGATAGACCGCTAGCAAGACTAATAAAGAAGAAAAGAGAGAAGAATCAAATAGATGCAATAAAAAATGATAAAGGGGATATCACCACTGATCCCACAGAAATACAAACTACCATCAGAGAATACTATAAACACCTCTACGTGAATAAACTAGAAAATCTAGAAGAAATGGATAAATTCCTTGACACATACACTCTCCCAAGACTAAACCAGGAAGAAGTTGAATCTCTGAATAGACCAATAACAGGCTCTGAAATTGTGGCAATAATCAATAGCTTACCAACCAAAAATAGTCCAGGACCAGATGGATTCACAGCCGAATTCTACCAGAGGTACAAAGGAGGAGCTGGTACCATTCCTTCTGAAACTATTCCAATCAACACAAAAAGAGGGAATCCTCCCTAACTCATTTTATGAGGCCAGCATCATCCTGATAGCAAAGCCTGGCAGAGACACAACCAAAAAAGAGAATTTTAGACCAATATCCTTGATGAACATTGATGCAAAAATCCTCAATAAAATATTGGCAAACCGAATCCAGCAGCACATCAAAAAGCTTATCCACCATGATCAAGTGGGCTTCATCCTGGGATGCAAGGCTGGTTCAACATATGAAAATCAATAAACGTAATCCAGCATATAAACAGAACCAAAGACAAAAACGACATGATTATCTCAATAGATGCAGAAAAGGCCTTTGACACAATTCAACAACGCCTTCATGCTAAAAACTCTCAATAAATTAGGTACTGAGGGGACGTATCTCAGAATAATAAGAGCTATCTGTGACAAACCCACAGCCAATATCATACTGAACGGACAAAAACTGGAAGCATTCCCTTTGAAAACTGGTACAAGACAGGGATGCCCTCTCACCACTCCTATTCAACATAGTGTTGGAAGTTCTGGCCAGGGCAATCAGGCAGGAGAAGGAAATAAAGGGTATTCAATTAGGAAAACAGGAAGTCAAATTGTCCCTGTTTGCAGATGACATGACGGTATATCTAGAAAACCTCATCGTCTCAGCCCAAAATCTCCTTAAGCTGATAGGCAACTTCAGCAAAGTCTCAGGATACAAAATCAATGTGCAAAAATCACAAGCATTCTTATACACCAATAACAGACAAACAGAGAGCCAAATCATGAGTGAACTCCCATTCACAATTGCTTCAAAGAGAATAAAATACCTAGGAATCCAACTTACAAGGGATGTGAAGGACCTCTTCAAGGAGAACTATAAACCACTGCTCAATGAAATAAAAGAGGATACAAACAAATGGAAGAACATTCCATGCTCATGGGTAGGAAGAATCAATATCGTGAAAATGGCCATACTGCCCAAGGTAATTTATAGATTCAATGCCATCCCCATCAAGCTACCAATGACTTTCTTCACAGAATTGGAAGAAACTACTTTAAAGTTCATATGGAACCAAAAAAGAGCCCGCATTGCCAAGTCAATCCTAAGCCAAAAGAACAAAGCTGGAGGCATCATGCTACCTGACTTCAAACCATACTACAAGGCTACAGTAACCAAAACAGCATGGTACTGGTACCAAAACAGAGATATAGACCAATGGAACAGAACAGAGCCCTCAGAAATAATGCCGCATATCTACAACCATCTGATCTTTGACAAACCTGACAAAAACAAGCAATGGGGAAAGGATTCCCTATTTAATAAATGGTGCTGGGAAAACTGGCTAGCCATATGTAGAAAGCTGAAACTGGATCCCTTCCTTACACCTTATACAAAAATTAATTCAAGATGGATTAAAGATTTACATGTTTGACCTAAAACCGTAAAAACCCTAGAAGAAAACCTAGGCAATACCATTCAGGACATAGGCATGGGCAAGGACTTCATGTCTAAAACACCAAAAGCAATGGCAACAAAAGACAAAATTGACAAATGGGATCTAATTAAACTAAAGAGCTTCTGCACAGCAAAAGAAACTACCATCAGAGTGAACAGGCAACCTACAGAATGGGAGAAAATTTTCGCAACCTACTCATCTGACAAAGGGCTAATAACCAGAATCTACAATGAACTCAAACAAATTTACAAGAAAAAAACAAACAACCCCATCAAAAAGTGGGCAAAGGATATGAACAGACACTTCTCAAAAGAAGACATTTATGCAGCCAAAAAACACATGAAAAAATGCTCACCATCACTGGCCATCAGAGAAATGCAAATCAAAACCACAATGAGATACCATCTCACACCAGTTAGAATGGCGATCATTAAAAAGTCAGGAAACAACAGGTGCTGGAGAGGATGTGGAGAAATAGGAACACTTTTACACTGTTGGTGGGACTGTAAACTAGTTCAACCATTGTGGAAGTCAGTGTGGCGATTCCTCGGGGATCTAGAACTAGAAATACCATTTGACCCAGCCATCCCATTACTGGGTATATACCCAAAGGACTATAAATCATGCTGCTATAAAGACACATGCACACGTATGTTTATTGCGGCACTATTCACAATAGCAAAGACTTGGAACCAACCCAAATGTCCAACAA
The DNA here is from genome assembly GCF_000001405.40 of Homo sapiens. Taxonomy (NCBI): domain Eukaryota; kingdom Metazoa; phylum Chordata; class Mammalia; order Primates; family Hominidae; genus Homo; species Homo sapiens. Next base: position 108,375,094 of record NC_000003.12, read on the forward strand.
TGATAGACTGGATTAAGAAAATGTGACACATATACACCATGGAATACTATGCAGCCATAAAAAATGATGAGTTCATGTCCTTTGTAGGGACATGGATGAAATTGGAAATCATCATTCTCAGTAACTATCGCAAGGACAAAAAACCAAACACGGCATATTCTCACTCATAGGTGGGAATTGAACAATGAGAACACATGGACACAGGAAGGGGAACATCACACACCAGGGACTCTTGTGGGGTAGGGGAGGGGGGAGGGATAGCATTAGGAGATATACCTAATGCTAAATGATGATTTAATGGGTGCAGCACACCAACATGGCACATGTATACATATGTAACAAACCTGTATGTTGTGCACATGTACCCTAAAACTTAAAAGAATAATAATAATACAAAATAAATAAAAATAAATTGTACATCAAGTAAAAAAATTAAAAAACTAGAGAAGCAAGAGCGAACAAATTCAAAAGCTAGCAGAAGACAAAAAATAACTAAGATCAGAGCAGAAATGAAGGAGATAGACACACGAAAAACCCTTCAAAGAACCAGAGAGTGACTTTCAATTGAAGGACAGAGCCATACCAAGGTGACCTTACAGGGAAACAGCTGGGAGAGTAAATACCTAATTTCACTCTTCCCTGTCTCTGATCTACAGCCCAGCTAGAAGCCAGGAGGAGCAGACACCCTGCTGATGGAGCCCAACAAGGTCAGCCTCCCATGTCTGAGAGAAGAATGGATTCTGGTTCTGGAGGAGCAGTCAAAAGATATCGGCAAAAACTCTGTCACAGTATTGGCCACTTTAAAAAATAGATATATTCCATACTTCTGCAGTGAGATGGGCTGAAAATATATTTGAAGCTGTTATATGAAAAGCCACAAAACCTTTCCTAGCTCCAGCTCCCTGGTTGTAGTTTCATGACTGTGGTTCATATGTTTTATTTTTAAATTCCCTTTTCTATTACTGTTTTAAAATGTACTTTGTCTAAGATATGTATTAAAGGGCCATATTTTAGGAAAGTCCATAAGGAGACCTTCTTTGAGAAATGACATATCCCTTTTTCTTTAACCATCACTCTCATCCCCTCTTTGGCTATGACATTTCCATTGTTAGCAGTTGGTAGGAACCAGGCCAAGGATCACAAGGAGCCAGGAATTGCTGAGCTGACTGAACTGCCTTTATTCCCCGGCTTTGGAGCACCTGGATCAACCATACACATTTACTGCTGCTTCTGATGATGTGTTTTTACACTGAATGCATTTTTCATGTTGTTTGTTAAAGATATGCAGGGAGAGTAACTCAGATGATTCTAATAACATGATTATATTGAGATAGGACTAAGGGAGAATTTTGGTGTTTGCAAAGAAATTATTTTTAAGTTCTCTTTTTTTTTCCTGTAGAAAGATGTTGTGTCCCTCCTGGTGAGCGCTGTCCCAGTGCACCCGATAATGGCGAAGAAAATGTGGTAAGGCATTATTTCCTTTATCAAACCATATACAGTATAAAAATGCTTCTTTAAAAGGGTAATTGAAGTTCTGACTGATTCACATATCATCAAGCAAGACTTTTATACAGAAAAAAACAGCAGCAGGGGTTGCAGGATAATATAGCACGAAAAATATAATTAGGCTTTTCCCAATGTCTATAATTAAACAGGCTCTACTTGCTTAAATACATGGTTGTTCTTCTTGTCTCCTATTGTTATTTGTAGAGAAGATCTCCAATGGCATTGTGCATATGAGGGTGAGCCAATGTACTTATTCTTATGATAGAAGCATGAAACATGGGATTGTATACAAGTGGAAAGAAACACAACTATAATTCACTTGCAAATTATAGTTTGATTGTATACTTCCTTTTTACTGCATTCCTTTTAGTATTTATGTGTTCCATTAATCAGAGTATAAATAAGGGCCAGGAGTGTGGTAAACTTGTTTTTTCCACTGTTAAAAACCATGAAACAGCTAGTAGGGAGATTAAAATTAACTGATAAGACTCAGACTTATTTTATAATGGTCTCATGGATCTTTAATTTCAGATGCAAGCAATAGACTAAAGCTTTTTGCCGCCCACCCCAAAACACTACTATCAATAAATATTTAAGATATAAATGGTTATTCTGACTTGAACAACAGACATTTAGAGTCTATTTTTCTTGCTTCTAGCCTCTTTCAGGAAAAGTATAGGAAATGAGAGAAGACTGTGACAACTCATGACCTGCATCCTTAATATCCAGTGACTTCATCTCCCCTTTCTTCACCACAATTCCAGGCAATGGCCTGTCGGAGCAGACAATTCTACCACTGCAAAGAGTTGTAACCATTTTCTGGTATCACATTTATTTTTCAAGACATACTTTTCAAGACATCATTCACTGACCCACTACCTGCATTGAGTATAAATGCCTGGATGTTAAGGATTCCAATTTAACTTTGAAAAGAACTGTCTCATTCATTTACATTTCTGTTACAGTCAGCCCAGGAGGTTACAGTGAGCTCTCCACTAAGAATCTGGAAGAAATGCATCACTAGGGGTTGATTCCCAATCTGATCAACTGATAATGGGTGAGAGAGCAGGTAAGAGCCAAAGTCACCTTAGTGGAAAGGTTAAAAACCAGAGCCTGGAAACCAAGATGATTGATTTGACAAGGTATTTTAGTCTAGTTTTATATGAACGGTTGTATCAGGGTAACCAACTCGATTTGGGATGAATCTTAGGGCACCAAAGACTAAGACAGTATCTTTAAGATTGCTAGGGAAAAGGGCCCTATGTGTCAGGCCTCTGAGCCCAAGCCAAGCATCGCATCCCCTGTGATTTGCACGTATACATCCAGATGGCCTAAAGTAACTGAAGATCCACAAAAGAAGTAAAAATAGCCTTAACTGATGACATTCCACCATTGTGATTTGTTCCTGCCCCACCCTAACTGATCAATGTACTTTGTAATCTCCCCCACCCTTAAGAAGGTACTTTGTAATCTTCCCCACCCTTAAGAAGGTTCTTTGTAATTCTCCCCACCCTTGAGAATGTACTTTGTGAGATCCACCCTGCCCACAAAACATTGCTCTTAACTTCACCGCCTAACCCAAAACCTATAAGAACTAATGATAATCCATCACCCTTCGCTGACTCTCTTTTCGGACTCAGCCCACCTGCACCCAGGTGAAATAAACAGCTTTATTGCTCACACAAAGCCTGTTTGGTGGTCTCTTCACATGGATGCACATGAAACTATGAACATAAGAATCTCTGAAGTTAGGTTACACTTGACCACACAAGGCTTGCATAGTTGAGTGACTAGCCATGAAGATAATTTAAACAACTCTTCTGGCTCAATTGGCATATTGCTAATCAATCTTCTAATAAATTTAGATTTTCATATAAATTTTTAAGCAAGAGAAGGGAGAACTCAGCTAACCTAATCTGTTTCCCTTAATTTTAGTCATCAATTTACATAAAAGAAACAGTCTAATGTTAATGCTTGTGAACTTGTCACTATAACCAGGCTTTTGTGTGACTTAGTAGATCAAGGTTTCAACTCTATAAGAGAAAGCAAATTCTGAATTGTGGTGTAACTGCCACCTGGTCCAATTTTATCTGACCTCAGTTTCACAATCCTCTCCTTGTATGTAGTTAACTCTGTTTTTGCTACAATGTTGTGATGGGTTATCACAAATAGCAAAGTATTAAGAATTCCAGTCAGAATGTTAATTATTAAAAAGTCAAACAATAGATGCTGGCAAGGCTGTGGAGAAACAGGAATGCCTTTACACTCTTGGTGGGAATGTAAATTAGTTCAACCATTGTGGAAGACTGTGTGGCGATTCCTCAAGGATCTAGAAACAGAAATACCATTTGAACCAGCAATCCCATTACTGGGTATATACCCAAAGGATTATAAATCATTCTACTATAAAGACACATGCACATGTATGTTTATTGCACTATTTACAATAGTAAAGACATGGAACCAACCCGAATACCCATCAATGGTAGACTGGATAAAGAAAATGTGATACAAACACCATGGAATACTATGCAGCCATGAAAAGGAATGAGATCATGTCCTTTGCATGGACATGGATGAAGCTGGAAGCCATCATTATCAGCAAACTAACACAGGAACAGAAAACCAAACCACATGTTCTCACTCATAAGTGGGAGCTGAACAAGGAGAACACATGGACACAGGGAGGGGAACAACACACACCAGGGCCTGTTGCAGGGTGGGGGGCGGGGGAGGGAACCTAGAGGACGGTTCAATAGGTACAGCAAACCACCATGGCACACATATACCTATGTAACAAACCTGCATGTTCTGCACGTGTATCCCAGAACTTACTTAAAGTAAATTTTTTTTAAAAAAATAAATATAACTTAGATATCTTTTAAAAAAATTCCATTGTGAAGAAAAACTCCATTGAGATAATATTTGTCTACCATCTCTGCTTCCCCCTAGCCTTGGTTCCTTTTTAAAAATTGTGTCCTAGTGAGAGAACATGATACTTAATAACAAAACTGGATGCATCCCCAAGCTGAAGTTTTACTTTACTGAGTATGTGCCTGGGGTGTGGAGAAACAATAGCATCCTAACTTCAGGATTGGTAATATGACAACAGCAAATTTCTAAGAAAAGGTTTGGGATATAGAGATGTTTCCTGAATATAAACATTGGCTTATTAAAGGATAATTCCAAACATTTTTTACTGAAGTTTTAAAAAATTACTATTCCAGGAAAAAAAAAAAACCCTAGAAAAGTTCCATGTTAAATGTTTCATGTTGTTTTCTCATTGCGTTAAGACCGATGGTAAGAAGGAGCGACTGCTTTGGATACAGCCCGACACACATACCTGCTAGTTCACTCTGTGGCTGTGCATCCCTCTCCGCCAACCACAAAACTCAAATTTGGTTCACCTTGCTCAAAATGGTACCCTGATTTTTCAAGAGCATCCACTTTGATCTGTCTGAGCCAACCCTGACAATTGCAGTCCTCTTGCCACTAGACTGGTTCAGCATAAGCAGATAAAGAAATCTGCTCACTAGGGTATGAGGAAAATTATTCCAGAGGTCTGTTTCTGGGAAAGTGTTTCTCCATTTTAAGAAGAGACAGGTTATCGTATGGGGAGAAAATGCTCAGGACTGCTGAAGTCCTCTTACGGCGACAAGAGATTCCGACAAGAATGAACCTGGGTCCTCTGATACCACTGAGTCCCTGAATTAATCGTCAAGCTACCCATATGAGTCAGGGTTGGATCAGGGAGGCAGAATCAGAGAATGACAGAATAAAGATTTATTATAGAGCTTCAGCCTTACACAATTGTGGGTGCTGGTGGAGAAGTCTAGGCCAGGCTGTTCCCTCTGCATCTGGTTCTGGGCCTGAAGTCACTGTAGGTCGACTGTGAATGCAGCAAGGATGAAGGGAAGTCCATAAGAACAAACAGAACCCATGTCTGTCTCACGGCCTCCACTGCAATGCTGTGTGTGATCTCAGGAAAAGCTGATGCTGGTTGCCATGGAGCTGCACACACACCTGGCCAGTACTTTGCAAAGCTGAAGGAGGAGGCTGGCAGGAGCTGGAAGAGCTCTGGGTCCAGGGAGCTGTCTCTGGTCTCTTCTAGCTCCCCTTTTTGGCCTGGAGTCATATTTTCAAGCTGTCACCATGCTTGGGTCTGTACACTGACCTTATGAGTATAAAATAGCTGCTGATCAAATTAATGCAAATTTCTTTATGACCTACTCCAATCCAGAACCATGAGAGAGAGGAATTCCGGGACATGTTCCTCCAGCTGAGCCAAATCGGTACTGCACAAATCCAGCATATTACCTGTCACTGAATGTCTCGTGTGGGGTTACCTCCATGTTTAAAGCATGTACCAGCATATAGCCTACATGTGTGTTGATTAGGAGAGTTTTGCCTACATGTTCAAATTGCCTAACTATAGCTATATTTATATCACAATGCTGAGGAGATCTTATGACTTCCATTCTACCACTGCTGGCTCACAATATACATTCATAGATTTAGGGGTGAATCAAGCCAAAGTTGCCTAACTTTAGTAAAAACCATTCACCAACATGCCCTAGTCCCCATGAAGCGTGACTGGTCTAAGGACATCTTCTATGAGTCCTACCCATTAAGAGGAAATATGGACAAAGGATCAAGTATTTATTCATTTTTTAAACATCAGAATTGAAAAGGTTCTTCCATTTATTTAATCTGTCATGTGAAGCATTAGAAGGTAGTTTACTTGCATTTGAGGATCAAAAAATCCCCATTAACTGTGGAAGCAATGATATTCCCTTTAATTATTTTTCTAATTGCCTTGTTTATATGGTGTGAAAAGCAATTTAAACATGTTTTTAAAAATGTTTCCATGCAACCTAAGTTTTTGGCCATGAAACAGCACCTTCCTTGTACTTCTCCAGCTGTTGTCCTTTCAAAGCAGGGGATGCTATTCTTCTTGAACCTGAAAAACAGAATGTCAGTGTGTTCTGTGAATTTCCTGTGATTTTCACCAGTGGAACACATGTCCAGAACCAAGCTGAGTCCCTTCCAGAGGTAAGCAGGCCTTAGCCAACTCTTCATTAACTTCAAAGGGAGGCAGGGAATTGAGGCAATTATCTGCATTACAGAAAGCAGACCCTGGTAATTCACCCCAAGGGCATGCTCGGTCACTCTCAATTTTCTGCCTGCCTTGTCTTGCCAATGAAGGCAGCGCCCCCCTTTGCCAACCCCATAAGGAGAAAGATTCTGCAGCCACATCACCAGTTTGCTCCCCAGCCCTGACACAGAATTCTATCAGCAAACCTCTTCCTTGTGCATATGACAGTTGAGGATTTTTTGGCTTTTCTTCTGTGAAGGGGAAACAATTAGTCATTGCACTGCCAAGGAAGGTTTTCCTATTCCTCTCTGGCCTCTCAAAAGCAATTTCTACTTCACTCACTCTGTTCTTTGTTGAAAATAACTGTGACAAAGTCGAATGCATGGCATCTGTTTTGAAGGCCCTTCAACCTCCTGCAGCTGAATGCAATTGCAGCACATGGGAAGCACCTCCCTAAACAAGTCATTACATGGGGTTGCTGGTGGGCTCTGCAGAGAAGACCCTAAATCCAGTGCCACAACACTTCTCAAATTGAGGCCAAAGTTCAAACCACTTAATTGCCCCTCTCGCATAGGACTTATCCTTGAGGCAGCTATTCAGGCATCAGTAAAAAATTTCTGGAGTCTCTCAATGATTCATATTTCTTATATTTAGATCTAAGTATATTCAATATAACCAACTCTTAGGCTCTCCTTCAAAAGAGATGCTTTTGACCTCCCTTAAGGTAGTATTTATGCATATTATTGGCAACCCTATCAACTTACCTTGCAGGGTTACTAGTAATTCAGTTAGGGCCTGGATTCATTTGTATAAAATAATCAGGAGTCCATGGAACAAAGATGATTTTAAAAAGCACAGATGGATCGGCTCAAAATTTGGAGTGAACTCTTTCCATAGTAGACACATGTGTGACTTTTTACCATGTCAATATGGAGTCCAAGAGGGAAGACGTTTAAGATTGAGGCAGTGAAGGAAAACAAATGCAAGAGTCTTGCTTTGTAGTTCTCTGCTTTATATTCCTGATTCTGCCCGAAAACACAGAGAAAGAGGGCTGGTGATGCACCACGTTTAAAAAAAAAATAATAATAATGAAATGATGGTGCCTAACTATGCCAGAAGCTATGCTCAGTGATTTCAGGCAATCTATTAGCTAATACCACATTATCCAATCTCCTTTGATTCCTTTCGCCTAAAGCCAGACCTCGTTTAAAAACTGTGTGTTCCTGGGAAAATTTCAACAAGGAAGCCAAGACTACCTGACCCTACCAAACATTTAGTACATTGTTCTTTGTCACTCTACCAGTAAAATCAGGGCAATGGCCTCTACCATTAGATTAGAAGAGCCATTTTGTGGACCAAAGAGACATAGAAAGATCCTTTCTCTGTGTTTTTGGGCAGAATCAGGAATATAAAGCAGAGAACTACAAAGCAAGACTCTGGTATTTGTTTTCCTTCACTGCCTCAATTTTAAACATCTTCCCTCTTGGACTCCAAATTGATATGGTACAAAGTCACGTATGTGTCTACTGTGGAAAGAGTTCATTCTGAATTTTGAGCCGATCCATCTGTGCTTTTTAAAATCAACTTTGTTCCATGGACTCCTGACTACTTTACACTAATGAATCCAGGCCCTAAATCTTAGATCCTGCAAGTTAACATGGAAGTAAGCATTTGAAAAGTATAAATACAATGTGCATGTCACTCAAATGCTTAGCATTTCATCTACCAGGACAAGTATAATTTAGCAAACATGGGAAGATTTTATTGGAACCCTTTGTTCTTATCTTTTAAAAGCTTTTAAGGAGAAAAACAAATTTCTTGTTATACTGGTCCATGCAATGACATCAGCCCTAAACAAACATGATTAAAGAGTTAGAACAGAGTTGAATATCTGCCATACCTTTTTCCCAAACTCTCTTGCTTTAATTTTGAGTTTATTGACTTGAGATTCTGCCACCTCTGCCCTTTCCTTCACTTCATTCAACTCATGTTGCTGTTTCTTATACTTGGAAAGGTATTGATTGGCTTGTGTTTCCTATAAAAATAAAAAAAAAAAAAAAGAAATCTCCATGCCTATATAGTCAGGTGTTTTTTTTTTCTGCTCTGACATGAGAAAGTTGAATAATGTGAAAAGAATCTAAACTTCTGAGTATTGAATGGGATATCATATTTTGGTATGATATATTAGGATTCAGACTTTCTAGCAGGTATAAGATCCATTTTTTTATAACTTTTGTTCCTTGGAAATTCAGAACCTAGTTGGCACTTTTCATCAACTGGATGCAGTAAAGCTCTCACAGACTGAAAATGTGCTAGAATAACCACAGTTGTCTATTTTGTCATGAGTTTAACATCCTATTCTACCCCTGGGTAGAGGGGGCTTGTCTTTAAAATTATATGGGTCAACAGGTAATTATTAGACCTTGGGCTAGAACAGGTAGTGTTTTAGGCCAAATCATTGAAATAATCAAAACCCCTCAAGAGTTAATATTAGGGATAAATCAATATATATGACACTTATCAATTACATTCCCTGTAGTTATAGATACTGACCCAGGGATGGCAAGTACATTTCAATTTATGGTGGTTTTGTCCACAACCATATCCAGGATCATCAAGAACAAATACTGTGAACCATGTTTATGTTTACCCAAGGTTTTGGGATGAGGGAGGCCCCAGGGTGACTACCTTGCCCAAAACTGGCCTTCCCTACGTGACACTCTGCTTTTACCTATCTCATTTCTTGTTGTGTACCTGTTTGGGTGCAACCACAAAGGTAAAGGAGAGAGCTCTGGCTTCCTGGAGGGAAAAGCCACGCACATTTTTGCCATGGGTGAGAATTCTAACTTGAGAAAAAAAACTGAGGATGAGCAGACTCTAAGCTGAGCAGGTCCTCTCTGACAAGCTGCTTGCTGAGCTCAGGGTCACAGATCTCCCTTAATCAAAACAACACTGGGAAATCCATGAGGCTGAAACTTCCCCAGGCACTCACCGCCACCTCGACTTGCTGCTTGTAATTTTGCACTTTTAGCTGAAGTTTATCCATCTGAGTTTGCATCCTGCTCAGATTCTTCTTGTCTTCCTCTGCCTGCAATACATAGGCATGTATGGGAAGGTGATTCAGAGGATCCAGCAGTCTACGTTGGTGTAGTCTCATGTGGGGAAATAAGGATCAGGGAACTTTATTAAACATCATCTCAGAGTTGTGATTTTAACAATGGGTTTAACTCACCCAAGTTCCAAGAAATTGATAAATAGAACTGTCAGTACTAACAGTCATTTGTCCTGATCCATCAACCTTTGCTGAAATGGGAGTTAAACCCATTAGGTTCAGTTTGGGTCTTCAGTCTTTCCAGCTCAACCAAGCTATATCTGCCTGAAGCTATATCTGTATACTTAAAATTAGTAGTGAATTATCTACTGTTATATTTTACTTTAAGGTGGTGGTAGTGGGGGTGCATTCAGATGACGAAAACAGCAATAGCTTTAGCTATAGCTAAATAAAAAGCTGTATCTTTATTTAGCAGGAATGAAGTGCATTATTATAAAAGCCACATATGCAAAACTGAAAACCAATTGCTCCCCAATCAAAACAACTATTCCTTTGAACTTTCTAATTGACTCTTGGTTTTGAGTAATAGAACTATAGAAAAGATAAATTTTCTGGAATTCTGATGCGGAGATAGCAAGGAAGATTCTACAAGCTGTGGGGACCATGGTGTGCCCATTCTCATTGCCTCAATTACAATCCAGCCTCGGGCTGAAGAAAGGAAATCTGGTGGGATAATGTTTCTCAACTGTGCTCTGCAGAGCCTTTGGTATTCCAGAGAGAGAGGAGGCTAGAGGCAGGCAGGTAGATAGGGGTCTGCCTGCCCCCTCTTTCCTCATGCCCCTTTAACTGGAATATTTCCATATTGGAGCTATTGTACTTTTCAAAGGAAGAAAATATCTCAATTTGCTCAGGGTTGAGAAGCTGATTTAATCAAGAAAGATCTACTACTGCTTAAAATTGTTTTCTGGCTCCATTTGACCTATTCCATCAAGTATGAACTTTTTTGGCAGCTTTAATGTTCCCCCTACTTACCTTCCATTCCCCCCACCACCACGAACCCACTCCAACCAGGTCACATTCTCCTGTTTCCCCAGAGCTCCCCTGCTCACTCTGTCCTCCTTAGGTTTAGCCAAGCTATTCTCATCATCTGGAATGCTCCCCCGCCACACACACCACCACCTTAAAGTACCATGTAAAAGTAGATATTAATAATTACTAATTTTAACCATCAGGAGGCAGGGATGAATATATATGAAAGAACCTAGTTGGGGAACTGAGACAAGTCTGGTTCAAATAAAATCCCTTCTTTGTTTTTATCTGCCTATCCCTCAACTTGTCAGGTTTATAAAATTCAAAAGACTCATAGCATTATGTGCTTACAGTAAATTATAAAATCAACACAGGTTTAATTGCTAATAATCAGTTTACTGAGAAGAGAGTAAATTGGTCATAAAGGAGGCCACACAGAAGAAAACTGAAAAAAGCTAGAAGTGGTTGCTGATGTTACTGATGTCCCTCCCACATGGGAAGGCAAAGCCATTGATGTTAGGCCTAGGTTCCCATCTCAGCTCTAGGGCATTGAGTAACTGGTGACCATGACTATGCACGTCCTAGATTTCCTATCAAGAAAAGAACTTGACATTCAGCTGTGAGAAGTGCAGTTACCTGATAACCTCCAACTGCAGTGCCTTTGGGACCCGCCACAGCATTAGCATTGAGGCCACACACTTCCCAGGCAGCCCCCAGGCAATAGCTGGGCATAGTGAAGTCACTAGTGTCTGGCCATTTCTGCCCAACATGGGAGTCCTTTCTGGGCAATCTTTGTGCTGGAGACTTGCCCAGAGCTGCACTATAGTCTGACGCTCTTCCCTTCTCCTCTTCCTCCCTCAGCCTCTCCCTTCACGTCTCTGCCCCATCCTGCTTGCTTGCATCTTCATCCTTCATAGATGTTACTTCTAATAGATCTCTTGTACATCTAACTCTATCCTGGCATTTGGTTCCTAGAGAACCCTCTCAACACAGCAACTTAACCAAATTGTATTTCCTTATCCCTAAAAATGATACTACATTCTTGACTAGATGTGTAAAGATTAAATAATATCTATACAGATTCCTGGATGTAGGAGGCAGTTGATGGTAGAACCGAGTAGATGGGTGGAGAGTGAGGGGCAGAGGAACTATCTTGACCTTCTATAGCAGTTACAAGTACCTAATCTTATGTTCTGCTTTATAGCACATTTTTCTAGGTGCTGGAGAGAGAAAATAGGACAAGTTTCCAAATGCTAAGGGGATATAAAGGAGAAGATAAATGCAGCATGGGGACCAGCCATAGAACTGTCATGGAGTGGGACCACACTTGACTCCTTTCCAGTAGCAGAATCTTCCCAGAGGACTTTTCCTAAGAAAATGATATTTGTGTCCCTTTCAAAATGACATTTTTAATTGCACCTAGGAATGGGCTATCACCAAACACCCTGCCTCCTTGTCCTGGTGGTTATTTTGATGATTGAGATGACTCAGCGTTAACCTTGAACACTTCAAAACCAAGTACCAGGAAATGTGGAGTGTCCTCTAATGTCTTTTTAAACTTACAGGGTCTAGCCTAATGATATTAGCTGATTTGATGGCAGAAAATAGGCCTATCTAAGCATTCTGCAGACACTTGGAAGAAATTAATAAATGTACCTCATTCTAGTACATGAGAAACACTAGGATTATTACAATGAAGAAACAAAGGTAAGACACGATAGAACAAGAATGCATTCCTTGGGACAATGAAAACCAAAAAAATATATAACTTTGGTTTTTTGTTCCATAATGAAGTTGTTTACAGAATAAAACAATAAGAAGAATCAATGGGAAAATAAAAAGGAAAATCCAGACATTAAAGCAGCATTTCATGTCATCAACATGGGTGGCTTCTCCACCTTCCTCAAAGTAGAATAGCAAACTTTTAAGTTCCCAAGGTGTTTACCTACTTAGCCACACATACCATGGGCCCACTTCTCAGTGGCTTTGATATACCTAGCATGGTCTAAAGAAGTGTCAGACTAACTCATCTTACAAAAGGAACCGCTTAATAATAAAAGAGCTGTGCAAGTAGCTTGTTTCATCTTAATTAGCCCAAGATGATGCTTCTGAAGTGCTGTGCTTTCTTATCTATCCTTCCTGCTGCAAGGGAAGAAGACTTTGACATCTTTAACAACTCAGCCTCAGGAACCAGAATCAGGAGTAGCAGATCTTGCATTGGCATTGTCAAAGAAGCTGTAAAAATGGGTGCCTAAAATAAATTTGCCTTTGTATTGGAATAAGCTGTCATGTGCAATGTGAGAGGGCTGGGATAAGCTATCATGTGCAGTGTGAGATAGCTTACTGTCCAGTGTGAGATAGCTGGAACAAGCTATCATGTGCAGTGTGAGAGGGCTGGAAAGTGACTTTTAGCATCTGTGTTCAACAGTGGAAATCACACATCTACTGTGTGATAGGAGGATGCCAGACCCTGGAGGGGAGAAAAATACAGTGCCTCTGCCATCAGAGAATCTATGTTGACTGCATTAGAAGGAAAAGGGAAGCAATGGTTGAAAGTGAAAATGTAGATGATGATATTTTTACTTTAGAAATGCATTAGTCACTTGTAAGAAGTCTGCCCACCTCTTTTCAATTATTGCTTGAGACCAATGTTAGTCAACAGGTTAGATTCAGAAAGCTTCAGAGGTCTCTCTTTAGTATTTTGTTTCCACCTGGCACCAGCAACAGTGTCCTCAGTGGCCTTGAGTGTTTGCGCAACCAGAAAATAGGAGTGGAAATGCCCCCCGCTGCAATTGAATCAGCATCCCATGTAACCTGCCAGCTGGGTAGCCACCCCGAGCCTCTGCCATTAACTTCATTTACACATTGTTCTCACTCAGCCACTCACAGGAAGGCATCTTTATGAAAGCACTGCAAACACTATGTGTGAAAAAATCCAGATGGTATAAATAGCTTTTCACTTCTAATTGCAACTTGCCCCTCACATTTTGTTTCCTGAGAGCTCTGAAAAGAGACCGATCCAAACCACTAATAGCACAGGAGCTCTGGGAGGGTGAGTCAGTGTCTACTGCTGAAGGAGAACAAAGATGAAGAGAGAACGGCAGGAGTCCCAGAAGGCCATTTCAGGCTTGAAGGAGTACTTTTCTGCAGGGTAGTGCCCAGCCAGACAAACAGGGAATGGTTTCCTGGAGTACCTGATAGGTCAGCTCTTTGATGCATCGCTCAAGTCTGCGGGCTCCCCTCTGGGCCTCTGCACTGCGACGGATTTCACCCTCCAGTTCACCTTCCAGTTCACGAACCTGCAACCAAAACGTGACCTCAGACCAGACGCTGCCACCAAGTCTGGCATTCTATTTGCTGATTGGCACAATCATTTGAAAGACAGCAAAGTGTCAAGGGAACATGCACACACTGTTTTTGGTGCTTAAACAGGACAGTGTCTCTGGGAAAACTCTCTCGCCAAAAGTAAGATCTTTTATGGATTCATAAAAGAACTATTTAGACTGAAATATGTGAAAGGCTAATTCACACAGATATGAGAAGCTTTTTTCTTGAATTACAAAACCACACCCAAAGTGTATGTATGAATGTATATGTAAGTATAGAGAGTAAGCAATGTGTAGCCCATTTGAGGATTTGGTCAACATACTACCTAATCTTAAGCTGCTTTCCCTATGTTCAGCTCTGACTCTCTAAAGAAATCAGATGCTGAGTTTATGTCACATGTATGTCACCCACAACCCTCCAGTCCTGCTTGAGCTGCCTGCTGCCTTATAGAGTTACACAAATGAGCTTAACATTCATTCAATGCAGGTGCCTGCTACATACCACACCCCAGTGCTAGCAATACAGCAGTGAACAAAACAAACAAAAATCTCTTCCCTGAATTAGCATACGTTCTAATGAGGGGAAGCAGACAGACAAAACAAAGTAAAATGTAGGCTATGTTGATGGAGATAAGTGCCATAGAGAGAAATAAGGCAGGAGAGGGAGTAGGGAGTTGATGTTGGCTGCTCCCCCTGCCTAGGGGGCTCTTACCCAGATATCCTCTTTTCCTGCCTTCTCCTTGACGCCAATGCCACCTTCTCCAAGGGGCCTTCTTGAGAACGGGAAGGCCAGTGCCCTGAGGCAAGAATGTGCCTAGCACATCTGACCCCACCTCTTACTCCCCACTGGAGCCATTCTTCCCTCCTGTACCTCCTCAGAGAGGTGCAACGTGAAGGGAGGGGAGCAAGTGTGAGACTTCCTTGTGGATAAAGCCCATTTAAAGCAATCTTCTGACACCTGCTATATAGGAACCTGACACACAGTTCTGTCTGTCGGGATGTGAGCTCTTACAGGCCCCTCTACTTTTTTTAAGCACTCCTTAAGAATTTTGGGGGGGGATTAAAGTGATTAAAACACCTTGGGGAAAAACTGCTCTACTAAAGCAAATCCTAGACATTATGTAATTCCACCTGTAAATACTATTGGATATCATTCTAATAGGTAATGATGGTATCATGGTTGTGTCTTTAAGAATATTAACCATAATTCCTTAGTATTATCTGATATTAAGGAGTTCATTGCTGGTCGTTGCTACTGAGTTATCACTGGTTCTAGGCCATAATAGTGAACAAACAGCAATTGGAAATAAAACCTGGCAATCTTAAAACTGAGTTGGAAAAACCAGTTTCATGTATTTTTTAGGGGAAAAATGCATACTTTTAAATTTTATACCTATATGCCGTTTCTCTTATACCAAAAATCTTGGTTCTTATATATGTCATTGGATAAACTTACTGCTAATAGCAATTAAATGTTGGTATTTTGAAGTTATAAATGCATGGTTTTTGCCATTCTTTTGTTATTTTGTCCTTATATTGAGGGATGTATGGACAAAACATTATGTTTAAAAGTCACTGAGAATAATTCTTACTTGTGTATGTTTAATGCCCCCAATTTAATATATCATTAACTTCATTTGCTTCCATTGGTGTTAAAATTTTAGAGACTGCTGAGTTTTTTTCTTTGACTTAAACTTGTTTTTTTAATTATAAAGTATGCAAATGATTTATATGATTTTCCAATCAAAACAACTAAACAAGGTACATTAGGAGGGTCCAACTGTCATCTCTGTGTTATCCTCTCATAGATAGCCATTTTTATTTTTCTGATTTATCCTGTTACCATTTCATTTTGAAAATATAAGCAAATGTGTACACCTTCATATTCTCCCACTTTCTTGAACAAAAGGGTATATACGCTTTCCACATTGCCCTCACTGTATGACTGTATGGAGGTACCCGAAATGGACATGGGTATTCCATTGTATGGATATACCATAAACATGCAAAGGTGATACCTTATTTTTTAGAGGCCCTTTTGAACAATTGAATCCTAGTTGAATATTCTTTCCATTCTTGTAGCATTTATCATATGCCTTGTCTGTAGTCATTAAAATTGATTCAATAATTTTACAAATCTTATTTTCAAGATGCTATTACTCATTTTTAAGCTCCCTGAAGGCAGATACTACATCATTTCTGTCAGTCCTTACTGTATCTTCTCTAAGTCTTTCTTGATCATTGATTTAGTTGTTTTCTCTCTCCTTTCTCTGGCTGTCAGAAAATGGGCATTCTCTGCAGAGGAATTAACGGGAGAAAAGGCACAGAAACAAGACTGCCAGGGGTGTGTTTGGAAACACCAGGTAGCCTTGGAGTGAGAGCCTGGAGCTGGTGAGGTGAGCAAGAAGGGCTGCAATGTTAGTTAGCAAGAGGGAAGGCAGATTTCATCCAGTCCAAGGAAAGTCCTATGTGCTCACCCAAAGTCAAGCAAAGAATGAATGCATATATTGAGATCTGACACTCTTAAATATCTGAAAGTACTAAAAGCAAAAGTGATAAAGGGTATGTGTGTTGGGGGGCAGATCTAGTGTCACATTCCAGGACAAAGAGGTCTTGAATTGGGGACTGTCAAGCCCTCATGATTACCCAGACTCCTACCCTGGATTCTAGTTTCTGGATTTGCTTTCTACTCCCCATCAGGGCCATCTGTTCAGCTTCAGCCAGCCTTTTCTGTAAGTCTGTAATTGTCTGCTCCATATTTTCTCTTGTCCTTTCCAAGTGGGCAATGGTGTCTTGCTTCTTCTTCAGTTCTTCTGACAAGTTTGCTGCCTAGGGGGTTAAAAAAAGGGACTGAGCTAGTTCAGCAGTCAATTGATCTTAACATTTTTACCCATGATCTTTAGTTCCTGGTCTGACTGGCTGCCACGCCTTGCCTCTATGTATGTGATCTCTTCCCATTATAATCTCCCTAACCACTACCACCCTCGAGTTTGTTAACAGTAAGGCAATAGAGACAGCAGTAGCTACAGGAGAGAACAGGGTAAGGAGTGGTGGAAACAGACTAAAGATGAAGAAACATATGAACATTATTATGCAACACCTGTATTAAAATAAAGATGACCAACTGAAGCAATGGCTTTTAATTGAATAAAGCACTGGGATGACTGATTATTGAATAAAGTAACCGGTGTCACATTAATGCACCAGGAAAGATATGGAGAAGTGCCTACAAAAATCTTTTCACATCTCACTTCTATAATTCTGTGATTCACTACACAAACAAGTTTGGCTCCAGGAATTTGGCAGTAACAGATGCTCTCACTGCCAATAATCTGGCAAGAAAAAGGTTAATTGTGAAGCCTGCTCTTGGCTTTGGCTGTGTGTACAAGGGCTTGGTGTCTCAATGCAATCATTAAGAACTGTTTTGAGAATCTCTAGGTACATTTAATGTAAGAACATGGCCCTCACAGCCCAAGCTTTTCTGTCTATCAGGTTACCAACCATCTGCAGAATTTAAGTGTGAGACTTCTATGCAGATGGTGAGGGCAAAGAATGAATTACATTCTGTGATGTGGGGTTGGGACTCAGAGCTAAACTGTGGGAGGCTTGGAGGCTGGGGTCAGAGATGAGTTCACTTTTCAACACTGTCAAGAAAATCTTATCAAGGCAAGATTAAGCAGAGAGCATCTTCATAATATATGATTGCATATGTTTATCAAACAGGAGCAGCTATTTTTATTCCTTTCTACCTGTGTGGATTTTCATAAATGTTACACATATTTGTTCCCTTGGCCATCAAACATCTTCAAGATTTCACACACCTCGTTTTCCTCAGAGATCAGAATATCCGCCTTGATACAAAAGGGATGAGTGAATAGGCATGGTTGCCCATTCTTAGAGGGGGCTGGATTCTACAATGATTAGGTGGTTGGGATTTGGTGCAATGGTTTTGTTTAGTTCCCCAAGTGTTAAATAACTTGAGCAAATATAGATACAAGCTCTTCACCTCCTTTGAATTTTAAAGTGACTAATGTAAAATATAATCAAATGTCCTGTCTCCTAGTTTAGCAGGGGAATCTGCTTCCCTTCATGTGGGAGGATCAGGGCTGTTGCATGTGGCTGTGCATTTGATGGGCTGCACAAAAGCTCTTGATGGAGAAGGGGTGAGCAGAGACAGAAACCAACCCCAAGCCCCACTCTGCAAGCTCTGGGACCTTCAAAGCTGAATCTGCCACACACAAACCTCCCCCTCCACTAACATATTTTTCCCAGTGGTACCTTCCGCTAACCATGCCCGCTGAGAGAAGTGCTGCATCTGCCCACAGGGGGTGCCCAGAGGGTGGCCTTTTTTCAGTCCCTATGAAGGTGCGCCAAAGCTGGCAGCCAACTCTGAGCTCAACATCATTTAGGAAAATCACTGCCATCATCAACTGGAAAATAAAGAAAGTACAGCAGCCCTGAAACCCTTTTTTACCAACCTGATTTTGCTCTTCAAGCAGTAGTACAGGTTGTAAAAAAAATAAGTGAATTAAACATTCTTTCCAAATCATCATCATAAAACTGTTATAGACCCTAGGAAAAATAGCTTTTTGTAAGGAAACACAGAAAGAATTGTTTCTAGACACTAGATGTATTGATTCACAAATGAAAAGTGGCTTAACCAAAACAAAAGAAGACTCCTGCTTTTATAAGGTTTTGCTTATAGCAATTCAACTGCTCCTTTTCATCACCAGGGTATGTTGGTGGGAGGAGCTAATTGGCCTAATTTTTCAAGATGAGAACAGGGAGGCAGAGAGGTCAGACTAACCTCCCCCTGGCTGTATGGGAAATCAATGGAATACTTTTTGGCTGCAGATGTGGCCCTGCCCCTTGGCCACTGCGCCAGTGAACTCTGGGAGACAGGATTGAGTACGTGGTCAAGGGACCCACCTCAATGGCTGCCTTCTTGGCCTTCTCTTCTGCATTTTGACACTCCTGCACCACCTCTTCAGCTTCTTTCTGCATCCGGGCAACATCAGCCTCCAGTTTCTTCTTCTGGCTGAGGAGGCTTGTGTTCTAAAGAAAAGCAGCATTCCTATTAGGCAAGTAAAAACCAGCAATGCAAATGCAAGCTGGTCTGTTCAGGACATGCAATGGGAGTCAGCTCTGGCCAGAAGCAAATTTTATTATAGTGAGCCATAGTCCCTTAAGCAGTGCTCCCAATCCCGAAAGGCTTTTGCCATCAAACTTGAATGGAAGGGATTTCACCCATTAGAAGTTCAAGACTAAAGAGATGGCAGCCTGAATCAGAAGGGAAGAAGGGTATCTAGATAACCTACAAGCCCCAAACGTGTTTGGTTTTCAATGGGTTGAGGAAATGTTTCTCTGCCACTTGCTTTTGGATGTGGTAGAAACAAGTGTTCTAGAGCAGAAGTTGGGGTCAGTTGCAGACATCTGAGGAGCAGAGGTTGGGGAATAAAAATTGTAACTCCAAGTATGCTGCTCCAGAAACAAACAAAAAAAATCATTCCTCTTCTTTTTGTACTTCCCTTCCTATCTTACTTTACAGTGAGGAGGTGGGGAAAGTAGTTCAGAATAAGCCTCCTCCAGCCCTTAGGTACCCTCATTACCACGGAGGATTCTTTGTGTTCTGTGGTTGGTGCTGCCCTAATTCTTTCCTTCCTGAGTTGTGACACTAGAGGCCAAATATCCTTTTGCTGCTATTTGGTCTGTGTTTGAAGCCCAGCTTTTCTGAGGGTGTGAAAACTCGCAGTGTATATAAAAGGCATAGGCTTTCTATTTTTTTATTTCTCCTTTCACTTTATCCGTTTCACATTCACTTGCCTCTGGCTAGTGCCTTTCTCAGTAGCAGGATGAAGACTTGGAAATAGAAGGATACTCCAGGCCAGGTGTGGTGGCCCATGCCTGTAATCCTAGCACTTTGGGAGGCTGACGGGGGTGAATCTCCTGAGCTCAGGAGTTTGAGACCAGCCTGGGCAACATGGTGAAACCCCGTCTCTACCAAAACTTTTACCAAAAATAGTTGGGTGTGGTGGCATACAGCTGTGGTCCCAGTTATTCGGGAGGCTGAGGTGAGAGGATTGCTTGAGCCTGGGAGGCGGGGGTTGCAGTGAACCGAGATTGCACCATTGCACTCCAACCTGAGTGACAGAGTGAGACTCCGTCTCAAAAAAGAAAAATAAAAAATAGAATGATATTCCAGCATCACTGGTTCTATCTACCCCATTTCTCTATGGCATGAAGCATCTTTATCAAGACTGCCATCTTTTGTCCTTATGGAAAGCCAGGCCCTGTATACCTCCTAGATTTCCACTGCCATGGCCTGAGAGATGGGGTGGAATTAAGTTGTATTTTCCTGAAGTGTTTTTTGGATGCTCACAGCACAGACTCCATAGAAACTATTTCTTTGTAGAGGAAGGTATAAGTACAAATACTAATTTGTTTGTACATAGAATCCTTTAAAATTTGCTAGGGAGACAAGGGTTTAAATCTTTGCAAACTGAATTACTCTCTAATTTGTTTTTTTTTTCTTTCTTTTTTTTTTTTTTTAGGAGAAAGGGAGTTAGGAAGTGCTTTGCAGAAAGGTAATCTAGATTGTCACAGCTCAAGTTTGAAAAAGACACCTGTAATCAGTCAAAGATAAGTTTAGCCTCAAATGTTAGTCCTAGGCTGGAGATCTGGAAATGCAGGAGGTAGCTAAGAAGGCTCCCTAAAAGGTTCAGTATGTTTTGCTTGATAATGTTCTAGTAACTGCAAGGTGCCGCAGCATGGTTTAGGTTGGGGAGAGGTCCTTGTGAATAATATCACCTAGACCAGTGCTGGTCAAAGGGTAGTCTTTCTATGAGCAGTAGCACCTGAGAACATGTTCACTTTCTAGGTCCCATTGCAGAGCTTCTGATTTAGTGGATCTGGGGTGAGATCTGAGAATTTACATTTTTGTGTTAGGGATTCTTATATGTACACATCAAGTTTCAGAAACTCTGCCCTAGAGACCAGGTCTCCTCTACCTAATTTTCTTCTTCCCCAAATCCTCTCCTCTCTATGAATGCTTTTTCTCTAGCTGATCCTCATCTCTCTCTAGGCTAGTGATTTTGCATCATATTGGATCCCACTGGTGCATTATCATGTATGATATGCATGGCAAATGATTTGTTACCAACAGCAATTAAGTACTATAGACCAGCGGTCCCCAACCCATTTGGTTTCATGGAAGAAAATTTTTCCATAGACCAGGTAGCAGGGTTGGGGGGAGACGGTTTGGGGATGAAACTGTTCCACCTCAGATTATGAGGCATTAGATTCTCCTAAGGAGCATGCAACCTACATCTCTCACATGAGCAGTTCATAAGAGCATTTGCACTCCTATGAGAATCTAGTGCTGCTGCTGATCTGACAGGAGGCAAAGCTCTCTCCCCTGCAGCTCACCTCCTGCTGTGCAGCCCAGTTCCTAATAGGCCCCAGACCTGTACTGGTCTGTGGCCCAGGGATTGGGAAACCTTGTTCTAGACAGTGGATGAGTTACTTTTTTAAAAAAAGTCTGTAGTCTATTTTATAAGAATCCAACTCATTGTATTTAAACTTTCTTGAAGGAGAAAAAAAAAATGTTTGAGTTAGCCTGTTGGGAATTATCTATAACCTACAGACTATTTGTTCTATACCACATGGTACCCAGACGGGATTGTGTCATACACATGGACACAAAAGTCAAACTGTAGGCACAAACTAATTACAACATCTTTCAACAGGCACATTTCTGGTTTATACTTTCTTTTATCCAGTATTTTTCAGTAGGGGGAACATTGGCATTCTGGAAGGGGCAGTTCCTTGGGATTATCCTTCACCTTGAAGGAGTTTTGGTATCTCTGGACCCTACTCACTAAATGCCAGTGGTATTTCCCAGTCACTGTGGCAACTAAAATGATCCCACAGATGTTTCTAAATGCCCCAGAGTGTAGCAGTTCTGCCCCTAGGTGCTTTAATCTGTCCTTCACAATAATCACCACAGTAAAACTTCCTAAAATGCAAATCTGATAACTTCACTCTTAGCTACTCAAAATTCTTCAGTGGCTCTCCATGAGCTGCAAGATAAAATTCAAACTCCATCACTCTCAGGCTCAGGGTCACTGGTGACCTGGCCCCACCTATCTCAGCATGATTTCTGATCCTTCTGGCTATCCACCGAATACTCTAGCATGTGAATTTCCCTTAGAATCCTAAACTCCTTCCCCCTGCCCCCATGTCTCTGCCCTTGACTTTCCTCTCTACCTGGCTGGCTTCTTACATGTCCTTCATGACTCAGAAGAAGCATACTGTGCAGCTACCTAACTCTTGGATTGTCAAAGAAGGCTTTCTGTAGGGGTGTGCTTGCTATATCATTATACTTTTAGCAGTGTACTACAATTGCTTAGTTCAATCTTCATTTTTTTAGGACAGTGGAGACATTCTGTGTCTATACCATCCATACCAGTCCAGGTTATGGTGGGGGTGCCCTATAAACACTTATCACACAACCCATTTACTATAGATGTTTGTCCTAGAAACTATGGCTTCTTCTGATTCTAGGATAAGGAGAAGGATCTAAGAATTCTTGCTTCGTGTCACTTACATAACCTTCCATTAGAAGCCAGAGTCCAGACGGTGTATCATATTTGTCAGCAGCCACTCAGAATTGTTAGGGCTTTCCTGGCTCCAAGACAGGAGCATTGTTTTTATCCTGGGATGCTGGGGAAGCACATGGCTTAGAGAGAGCAGGAGAACCAGGAGCAGGAGTGGTTCTGGAACATTAGGGAATGTTCATCCCTCCCTCCCCAGCATCCTGGCTGTGGATGCCCTGACAATCCATTCTTCTGGCATAAGGCTTATTGTTATGGGTTGAATTTTGTCTCACACACACACAAAAAGATATGTTGAAGTCCTAACCCCTTATTTATCAGAATGTGACCTTATCTGGAAATAGGGTCTTATTTTGTTTAAAAGGAAGCTGGAAAAAAGGGAGGTAGGGGGTAAATGAGTTAAAATGAGGCCATTAGGGTGGACCTTAATCAAATATGACTGGTACCCCTATAAAAAGTGGCAATTTGGACAGCAACAGACCCTCGCAGCGGGAAGATGCTGTGAAGACACAGGAAGAACACCATGTGAAGGCGGAAGGTTAGAGTGATGCATCCATAAGCCAAGGAATGGCAAAGATTGCCGGTAAGCCACCAGAAACTAGGAAGGGGCAAGGAAGGATTTCCCTACAGGTTTCAGAGGGAGCATGGCCCAGCTGACACTTTGATTGCAGGCTTCCAACCTCCAGGAATGCGAGAAAATAAACTTCCGTTGCTTTACGCCACCCTGTTTGTGGTACTTTGTTATGGCGGCCTGAGGGAAATAACACACTTGGGAACAAATGAAGAGTATGAACATGCCTTGCTTCACAGGCACATCCAAGACTTAACAGGGCGACTGTGCATGGTCCAAGGCCGCCCCAAGTGTGGGAACCACTGCCTTCAACCAACTGGCCCAGCTAATAGGGAGAGTATATGGGCCCCACCTGGGTATAGAAAAGATTGATTCTTTCTGTTGCTTCCAGGAGCTCTTCTTCTGACAGCCTGCGGCCACGCTCTGTCTGCTCTTGCAGGGACCTTAGATCCTCTAGTTCAGACTGAAGAAGAGAGTTGCGCCGCTCAGCCACAGCCACCTGCTCCTTCAGATCACTGTTCAGTTGTGTGCTGTCATCCAGCTGCATTTGAAGGTCCTGGGAGAGAAAAGATGGGTCTGGAGTACAGATCCCTCTGAGTTCAACATAGACTATGCACCTACACATGCATGATCTGACTATATATTTAGACATAAGCATGCTCCTTCTCTCTGGAAAGATTAGATTTGTTGTCCTCATCTTTACTGCTGAACACAATCTGTTGCTTAGTTTGCTTCCATAAGCAGAAACATTTTCCACCCCTCCCTACCCCATCTTACAGTTTTAAAATACCTTGATTTGAATCTGAAGCTGGCCCAGGGATTTGGTTGCTTCTGACACCTGCCGGTTGGCACAGCTAAGCTGGAGTTCCATCTCATTGAGGTCCTCTTCCATCTTCTTCTTCAGCCGGGTAACCTCAATTCTGCTCTTAGCTTCAGAATCCAGACTAGACTGCAGGGAGTCAATGGTACACTGCTGCTTCCTCCTAATTTGAAATAACATTTGGAGTGGGGGAAATGACACATCCAAATTAATCAAATTCACCTGCTATGTTTAAAACAGTACAAGAAACAGAAAAAGAATAAAATCCAAGATAAATTTTAAGTAACTAACAAAATGAGTCTAAGTGCTTTTATTTTAAAAACAGAGAGAATGAGAAGTTAGGTTAGTGAGTATATGTCCACCATAATGGACTACGTAGGGTTTCCAGACCAACTTCCCTGAAGAATTCAGGAAAATACAAGAAGCTTTTCAAGGTCCTGTGAGGCAGCTTTAGTCTTATCTGATATCCCATAAAGGATGACCTAGGGCAAGCACCTGGGTTTCCTGTGGTGGCTAAGGATGAAGGAAGGATGCTCTTTCAGACAGCCGTAATATTTCAACTACTTTCAATGATGAAAAATGTCTGAACAAGGCAGGAAAAAGCCACTCAGGTTGGAACAATTCTTGAGATGCAGCAATACTGCTATAGTAGCCTGGAGACACAACTCTCCTAGAATAAAATGGTTATCTTTCTCTAGGAGTTTGAGAGTACACCCAAGGATTGGCTGAGACAACCAATTGTGTGATATTGAATTACTTTAACACTTTAAATTCCTTCCTAAGAAAAAAAACTAGAACTAAAAACGTATTTGCAAAGTGACAGAAGACAATAGCTATGTGTTTAGGAAGGCCATAAAAAATAAAAAATTGGGAGAATCCATGGGAATTTGTATTTCCCAAACTGTTTGTAGTTAGTTTGGGACTATGTGACTAGATTCTGGTAAATGCACTGTGGAGAATAATGAAGTTTACCATTCCAGGGCTGGCCCATAGAAATGTTCACTTGTGAGATCCTGCACTCTCCCTTCCCCCTTTCTACCAAACTTGATGGCCACATACAGAAGGTCATGGAGTCACAAGATGGAAAGAACCTGGGTCTTTCAATGACTTTGAATGTTATTGACCGACTCTTCATCCTACCTCACAATGGCCTCAAACATAGGCAAAAATAAACTTCTATTTGTTTTAAGTCACCAAGATTTGGTGATTGTTAGGACAGTTTAACTGCTGTAATTGACACATGACCTGTTAAGCTCAATTCATGAAACAGGGACCTGGTGCTGGACAGATAATAGAGAACAGAGAAGGCAAAAACCTTTCTATTCTTCTTTCTCATAGAGCCTATCTCCACAAATCAGATTAGATCAGAATTAGATTCCATGTTGAATTGTCATCAAGCCAGTGTCCTAAGCTCTGTGAGGTCGATTAAGAAGGCATACAGGCCGGGCGCAGTGGCTCACACCTGTAATCCCAGCACTTTGGGAGGCCGAGGTGGGCAGATCGAGACCAGCCTGGCCAACACGGTGAAATCCCATCCCTACTAAAAATACAAATATTAGCCAGGCGTGGTGGCATGTGTCTGTAGTCCCAGCTACTTGGGAGGCTGAGGCAGGAGAATCACTTGAACCCAGAAGGCAGAGGTTGCAGTGAGCCAAGTTTGCACCACTGCACTCCAGCCTGGGCAACAAAGCGAGACTCTTGTCTCAAAAAAAGAAAAAAAGAAGGCATACGGCCTACAGGGGGAAGAGAGAGGTCAGAGCTTGAAATTGGTTGACAGGTGGAGGTGCTACTTTTCGTGACCCCCATTCTGCCCACTGGTGAGGGAGGCCTCAGAAGCAATTATGGAAATGTATAGAAAATAACTCTGTCTGGCTCCAGAGCCCAATGTGAGCACCTATCCTCTGCCAACCCCATCTCCCTGGTCCTCACAAGCTGAGGTTGGTATCTCATGCCTGTCCTTAGGCTCTGGGCTTTTGTCCAGCTTCCAGATCAGAATCCTGTAGGGATCCCACTAGGTAAAGTTAATATGGACTTTTAGGAACTGCATTATGTCCCCACCAAAATTTACACGTTCTTGCCGTAACCCCCAAGACTTCAGAATATGACTATATTTGGAGATAGGGCCTTTAAAGATGTAATTAAGATTAAATGAGGCTGTTAGGATGGGGCCCTAATCCAATGGGACTAGTTAGCATCCTTATAAGAAGAGGAAGAGACACAGGGATGCATGTGCGCAGAGGAAAGCACAGATGAGGATGCAGTGAAAATGTGACCGTCTGCAAGCCAAGGAGGATCATCAGGAGAAACCAAACCTGCCAACACTTTGATCTTGAAGCTTTAGTCTCCAGAGCTGTAAGGAAATACATTTCTGCTGTTGAAGCCACCCATCTGTGCATTTTGTTATGACAGCCATAGTAAACCAATACAGGGATGCTCACACTCACATCACCAAAATCTGTCAGACACTTATCTGTCCTACATTGGGAAACTCTCATTTTTGCCACAGCTGGCTCTCCTTACACAGGAACACTGAAGCATCCCCAGCCTGGTGTCAAAATCCTCTGTACAGAAATACATTCTACTTAAGCAGACAAACTGCATGTTTCAAACTGCACTTTTCCCACAGTTGTTTATGAAACTTCATGAGTGCCTGCAGACAAGTAAAAAGTGAGATGGTTTAAAAGGCATGGGTATAATACAGTCCTGTAGAATGGCTGCTGAACAATCAACATGTTTCATACAGAGTCAAGAAATCTTTAAAATGAAAACTCCCTCAAGTACATTCTTTAAGAAACATGATGCATTCAGGACCAAGGGCAATATAGGAAGAAGTACCTTCTTTTTCCTAAAATGTGAAATACAATTTAAAAAACAAATGCAAAGAAAAATCAAGATGATAGAACTTGGAAGAGCTAATGATTTAAAATCATTAGCTCAGCATTTAAATCATTGACAATGCAGTAGGTCATTTATTTCCCTTACGATATTGCTAATCTATGTATGAGAAATAAGAGATTTTTTTTTCTTAATCCAAATACATATGAGCCAGCTTTAAAATAATTAACAAGCTATTTTGCTACCATGTCTGAGTTTGAGGTTCTAATTTTCAAAGACACTCGAAAATATTTTACTTAGAAGTGAGAAAAGATTTGAGCATATTCTGGCAGAGATTCACTCAGACAATAAAAGAAACCAAGTCAGATGGTGTATATAAATTAAGACCACGTGGCAAAGTTTGACATGACTGAGTTCAGAGGAGTGGACTTTACAGAAGGAACATTACTATATACCTGGGGCTGTAGACCAGGGTTGGGAAAACTATGGGCTGTGGGCCAAATCCCACCATGCCCATTTATTTCCTATTGTCTATGGCTGTTTCCAACCTACAACTACAGTGTTAAGTAGTTGCCACATCTCTGTGGCAAACAAAACATGTAGCTAGCAAAGCATTTAACATCTGACCCTTTAGAGAAAAAGCTTGCCTAGCCTTTCAATCAGTGATCAACCCAAAACAAACAAGCACAGTATGATAGAATAAAGAAGTTCAGTGCCTCATTCCCAAAAACACCTCTCTGGGTGTGTCTGGGAGAGCAGAATACAGCTCAGAAAGACCATGGCTGTGGACCAGTGTGATGACTCTCACATTTCAACATTTCCTCCAATCAGAGAATTCCCTGAAGATGCAGGATGCACCTGACCAACCTGTTGTCAGCTCAGTCTTGGGCCATGCAGTAGGGCTTGACTAACATGGCAATTATGGCAATGATTTGGCCTTCAAGCTAGCCTTGTTTCCTGTCTAATAAGATGGGAAGATCAAAGCCAGCTACCAGCTCTTCTTCTCCTTCCATCAGTGACTGCACCGTCACCTCCCTACCTCTACCTGTGTCAACTATAACATTATTTATTTATTATAGAAATAAATGGAATACCCTATCATCCAAAAATGTCTATGAAGCCCTGACTAGAATATGAGGCACAGTGTCTGGTGAACATTAAGCACTCCAATATCTGTTGAACAAGTGAAACATATCACATACATACCAGCTGCTTGTACTTTTCACCCCCAACAGGCCTCCAGGCTGGGCTCATTCAGAATCAGGCCTCACCAGAGTGGAAGACATGGCTTGGCAGCAGAGAATTAGTTGAATGAGTTACCCAGTTTGCTGTACTATCAAGGTTTTGCCTTTGCCTGTGGGTCTCTTTCTCTTGCTTTCCTGGTCCCTTTAACTTACTTACCAGGTCCTGTCTTCCTGGGCACCTTCTGTTTCTGTGGAGTTAATGATGGGTTATATGGGCATAGGACCTTGAACCTGATCTTGCCCTCAGGCAATATTTTCCTTGTTCTATAACTTCCCTGGCTTATCGTTGATTGCTTGGAATCTTGTGTTTGGCTTTTTTTTTTTTTTTTTCCTCCTGGCATTCTATTCAGTTTCCTTAAGATGCCCTTGCTAGCCCCAAAGTGAAACTATCAGATTAAACCTTGGCAGTTTGGTACAATCTGTGCTCAGAGCAGAAAGGGTCTGGGCTGGTATTTGTGATATTTTGTAAGATAAGCTCATCTTTTCTTTCTGGATCTACCTATTATAGTTATTATGAATCATTAACTAAAATTTATGAATAGCTCACCCCCCTGCCTCCAGTCCACCCCTTCTTTTCTCAGCTCCTCATGGCTCATGCTTATCCTTCAGTTCTTTCTTCTTCCAGCCCTAGCTCTTTGGATCTCTGGCTTTTTTTCGCACTAAGATTATTATAATTGGTGAACTGCTCTACGACATTCAGATGTAGCTGACGAGACACAGGCTCTCTGAGGATTCATTTCTCCTCAGCTGGGTTTATTTATAGGCACAGGTCTGATATTACTTGAAATCAGTGTTATTTGTTGCTTTTTTTTTTTTTATCTGCACAAGGAGACATTCATTTTTATTCCTTGTGGAAAGAAGTAGGGCAAATATCAAGGCCCAGGGTTTTTGCCCTTCATCAAAAAAATTCTTTTAGACACTGACTCAGAACCTCTTAAGTAGATCAGAATTCCTCGCCACAGTCAGTCCTGTAGAAGAAAATGCCAGTGAGTGAGAGCAAAGATAACTCAAAGCACATAGAAGGCCAAATTTGGCTTGACACCCTCATTAAAAAATTGACCCCCTTGAGAGTTTTGTCTAAAAATGGGCTGTGGGAAAGAGGTCAGTTCAATTGAACATGTTAACAGGGTTTTTTTTCTTTTTCTTAAAAAAAGACTGTTTAACAAATACATTGAAAGTAAGTTGCCAGTTGAATCTCAGGCTCAAATGATTTTTCTTGCTGACATATGGCATTGACTTAAGGGAACAGATTAGATAATATAATCATCGTTAATTCCATGTGTTTATAATTGTGCCTTTGATCTACAGCGTGTGAAGTGCTTTGCCAACATCAGCCTACTGATCTTCCTCACCACCTTCTGTGACATGTAGGGACTGCTTTTATCCCCTCACTTCACTGAGAAGCTAAGAAGTGGAATGTCTAAAGTCATCAGCTTGTTATGACAAAGCTAAGAAAACATTCTGCAACCCATGAGTCCTGTCTAATTCAGTTTCCTGACTATTAAGACTCAGCTGCTTTAACAAGGATTCAATAAGCAGCTTAGCTCTTGGCTTCTGCTCCTCTTCAAACAAATGGCTACAGGTACAGGCAGGGGGTATGTGAAAACTTCACTCTGGTCTGAAAGTACAGCACTGAATTTTTTAATTTTTTAATTTTTTTCTCCATGGCTCAGCATTTTCAGTCAATTTCTTAATGCCCAAGAACGTGGCATTATAGGGACACGCAGACAGTATGCACAGTCCTTATACATATAATCATTTATTTGGTGTTGTCTTGAGTCTCACATGACAGTAGAAGCTCCTCAAATATAAGAAAATTATAAAATCTGGCAATAATCGTATATAGATAGCTAGTAAGCTCACCACTATTGATATAAAGGAATATCTGTACACAATTGTGTATAAAGGGATATCTAATTGTGTATAAAGGAATATCTATACACAATTGTGTATAAAAGGATATCTAATTGTGTATAAAGGAATATCTATACACGATTATAGATATTGTATATAAAAGAAAATAATATAGAGTTACACTAAGTTTCTTTGGTAATGCTCCAACAGGGGCCATAAAAGCAGCCAGACATAATGAGCTCTGTTTAGTCAAGGATTCAGAAATACATAATTGTTACACATCAAAATCATCTTAAATACCTAAAATTTTCTATTTCTTCATCTTTCTCTGAAAGCTTTCTTTCAAGTTCTGCTTTAGCTTCCAAGAGTTCAAGCTGGAAATGAAGAATCTTGCTTTCATTACGTTCCAGGGCTCCCTGGAATACATAAATAAAAAGCATTAAATGAAGTCCACTTTTAGACAAAATTGTATTTTTTACCCAAAACATATGTCGCTAATGTAGCTCTCTTAGAGTTACTGGGAGAGATATAGGTTCAAGCCAGGTCCCTAGAGATTGCAACACAGTGAGACAAGCAACTGCTTTCATTTGTCATTTCACTTATAGATTTGACATTCTTAGGTCTTTCAGCTGTAGCTCCAGAACTAGAATTTTAAAGCCTATTTTAAAATAGAAAATTTCACTCTTGTCTGTGACTATATTTAAACTTTTTAATGTATTACCCTTGACTTTTTCTAACATATTCCAACTTTGGGATAAATTTTAAAAAGTATCAGAGCTAGAACAAGGAAGGTGATAACTCCTACCTGGAATCTTCTATTAAATTCTGGACATCACGAGGGGATAGAGGAAAAGTTGGATGTATTCAGAGAACAAACAACAGGGTAGTGTCCAAATATTGTCATATGAAGAACAAATAAAGGAATTTACAATGTACCTGACATGTAACACTCAGTGTGAGCCATTAACACCATAATTGGTACCACTACTGCAAATGAATTTCTTTGACAGGCAGAAGATTCCTTGCCCCTTTGTGTATTCAAATATAGTTAAGGCAATTATTTGCAGGGATGTTATAAAGGCAATTCAATTCTAAAAGCATAGGTTTGGCTAAATCTTTAAAACCCGTCCTGAAGCTAAAAATGTATATAAAAGAAGAAATCCAAAAAACACTTACAGAATACCAAGGATATAAGGGCATAAGGGGTGATGCAATTTTGTGGTCAGTTAGCTACAGGCAGTCCTAAGGGCAGAAGTAATTTTTTCATAGCCTCTTTTGAGGCGTGCTTAGCAGATATGACAAAATGTAAAAAAGTAAAACTGAGTTGCAATTTTAAAATAAAAATAAAAAGATGATGGGAATTTTAATAAGACCTCCCTTGATGTTATCTTGATACTACCTTCAATATAAAAGAAAATAAAATTGCTAACGCACACTCAAAAACAAATGCTTGGATAACAATTTCCTCAGAGGGAATAGTGTAGTAGTTCCTTCAAGAGGAAACTGTCACCTCTAACCCTCTAAAATGCACTGAGAAAGTGAATCTTTAGGGAACATGACCTGGGATAATGTGAGTTTTATGGCTTTAAAAAAATCTGATAAAGTTTCTCATAAAGGCTCACCCAGGAAAATAAATAACGCAATGTTACAAATACATGTCCAAGTTGATGAAGTATTTATGGATGTGGCTGAGGACAGAAGTGGAGAAAATGCGAATAGAATGTGTTGCCATCTAGTGGTACTAAGTGGTTTGAGCATTATGGCCTTCCTGTCATTCTCACCCTTGACCCACGTGATGATCGACTGAATACACAAAGATGCCTCTGTGTTATACAGGACATAAATGGCCCGTGCCAGTTGTATTTTTCATTGGCTTGTCATAGTACTTGAAATTTCTATCATAAAATTTACTTCTTTCAGTTAAGGTGGTGGCTTCAAAAAGTCCCTTGCCAGGATAGCCAGAGAACCAAAGGGAACGAGTAAACAAAACAAAGTTCACCAACTGTGTAAGGACCAGCTGTGCTACAGGGCACCACACTGCCAACGAAAAGGAGTCTGTATAAAGTTAGATAGCCTCAGGAAACATTTATGTATAACAGGGTGAGAGCTGCTGCCTGACAACTCTATACAGAGGGTAATATGGACACATTTGCTTGGAAGTTTCTTCTGGAATCACAACGGTGAGGTAAATTTAACAGACAATGCTTGGCACAGAGTGGTCCTTTGGGGTCTTGTTTTCCATCGCCATACCTTCCAAGAGACCCCTGCCTAACACTGACTGCCACACCTTTCAAAAATCTTTTTTCTTTTTCTACTGGTGGGAGGATCAGGGCTGTATTTTAATGTGTCTGAATACTTGTTCAAAGGCTGAGTCAGGAAGATGAAGTTCAGCTCTGAGAAGAGGCTGCACAGGGCTTCTTAACCACCTAAGAATCATGATAAGATGACTTCCTTGTTAGTTTACCTTCTTTGGCGAAATGTCTTCTTAGAGGTCCTTTCAATTGCTAATGCACACCCAGAGATACAGCCAGAGACTTTTCCTGAACTGTGAATCCATAACACTGAAAACCCTCCTGTCAATCTGCACAAAGATGAGCTTTCAGAAACAAATGTTTGACAACATCACTTTGAATCTTATTTCTGAAACTACCGAAAGTTTTTGGGGAAAAAAAATTGAAAAGCTTTTGTGACTGACTCTTTAAAGAGGGGGCAGCTATGAGAATATTTATTCATTCAACATTTGACAAATATTTACTGAGCCTCTACTACATGCCAGGCAATGTTCTAGGCCAGTGCTTCTCAAATATTAATGTGCATATGAACCACCAAGGGATCTTGTTAAAATGCAGATCCTGATTCAACAGAGATGGGCAGAGGGCTGAGATTCTGAATTTCTAACAGCCTCCCAAGCGATGTCCATGGGCCACATGTTGAGTAGTGAGGGTCTGGGCACTGGGGATAAACTGGTGAACAAGATAGATAGTTCCTGTTTTTACTACAATCAGGAGATTTGCATTCACTGTTGTGTATCCTGCTCTCTGAGTCTCAATTTCCTCTTTTATAAAATGGGGACAGTAGTTTCCTACGGTGATTATATTAAAATTATGCATTTGGCAGAGTGCCTAGCATATAGTAAATAAACATTTGAATACGTGTCCTTTTGTTGGTGCTGCTGTTATTGCTGAATGCAGATCTTCTGCCTTGTCACAGTGAAAACTTTCTTTTCTCCCTGGTGATAATACCTCTGTTTCTTCCAGTGTCACCTGGACTTCTGTCTTCTCTTCTTCAATTAGTTTCTTGACCTTTTCCATTTCAGTTAAGTTCTTGGTCCCTTCTCTAACCTGGTTTGTCAGATTAGAAATCTCTTCTGGAGACAGAGGTAAGAAAAACAAAGTTAGTGAATGGGCTCAGTCTCAAACCAATGATACCAGGCACAACAGATTCTTCCAGCCCACTGGAACAGTGACCTCATGCCACCCTTGGTAACTTGATGACCTATCCTATATGGGACCGAGAAATTTTAAAAGGGTATTCATTTTTTCATATAGTCTTTTGCCATCTGAAAATTGAAAATTGTCTACAACAAATGGTGAGGGTGGTGCTTCAGAGTATTGTACACTGGACAACTTTTGCAACTTTTACATGACAGTCCTGCTCATTAGAGCCATTCCAGGTTCCACCTGGAGGAACACAGACCTGGAGTCCCTACCCTTCCAGTGTAAGTGCTTAGCTATCAACATTAGTGGCTGCCATTGTTTCAGCCACCACTCAACACTGCGACAGGAACTTAAAGTAAAAGCTGGATCAATATCTGCCAGCATTCAAGGCATGGCCCCAGATAGGCCAGAGAATCAGAAGGGGCCCAAGGAAGACAGTGGCTTTAGCTCAAGCACTTGAGTGTTTTTTCCTAGCCTCTCATGAACATAAGCCTTTGACAAACAGAATAGGGCATCCAGAAGTCACAAAACCTCTTCCACCTGATATTGTTATGGTCAGTTCTGCCTTTAGTACCTAAGAGGTGTGGTATAGGGCCAAGTAGCTCAGAGAATTACCCAGTTCAGAGGTGGTGGAAGGAGCTCAATAGGTCACCTGCTCCTCTGGTTCTGAGATCCTGGGCTGTGATGTGATATGATGAGAATTTTTAGAAGTTACAAAGACAAATATGTTAGATGGAAATTTTCATTGCATAATAAATTCTTCTCTGAGAAGTGCTCTCCTAAAGATGGGTTATCAAGAAGAAAATCAGGGAAGAGGTTCTCAACTCTGACCGCACCTTAGAATCACCTGGAGAGCTTTGGAAAAAGCTCACTCAATATTCAAACCCCGCCCCAGTCCAAAGGTGGTGCCCAGATCAGCAGCACCGGCCTCACCTGGAAAACTGTCAGAAATACAAATCCTTCAGACCTACTGAGTCAGAAACTCTGG
The DNA here is from genome assembly GCF_000001405.40 of Homo sapiens. Lineage (NCBI taxonomy): Eukaryota > Metazoa > Chordata > Mammalia > Primates > Hominidae > Homo > Homo sapiens. The sequence goes on from NC_000003.12 coordinate 108,409,463, forward strand.
GGGTGGGCCCCAGCCATCTGTGCTTTAACAAGCCCTCCAGCTGGTTTGGACGTAGCTAAAGTTTTCTAACCACTGTTTTAGCACCCGTCACGTCTCCATCTAGTGCCTTGATCATAGACTATGTAGGTCAACAGAAAGTAAGCTTCATTTACGCCTCCAACAGTAATGAACTTGCTTCCAGGGCATCTCAGGGTTTTCATGCACATTGCTGTTGGTGCTGGGATAAGTTGGCAGCCTCTTTGAAGGGCTGTTTGGCAGTAAATCAAAATTTAAAAATTCATTTCATTACCCCAGCAATTTCTTTTCCAGGGATCCATTCTACTGAAATATTTTTACATGTGCATAAATACATGTATAGGGATATATAATGTAGGATTATTCATATTTGTGAATAATTGGATCTAAAATGAATAAAGTCTAGTTAAATGATAGCCATCTTTATTACAAAACACTATGTAGCTATTAAAAAGCTTATGGTAGGTCTCCATGTACAGGCATGCAAAGACCCACAAGGTACGTGGGAAGGTTGCACAGCTCAGTAGTTAAGTGCGTATATGCTGGAGCCGTGCTGGCTGGGCTCAAATCCCAGATCTGCGACTTATCAAATGTGAATTTGAACAAGTTACTCAACTTATGACCTATATAACCTTCATTTTACAGATGAGAAAACTAACACTAGACTATTCTGAAAATTTAACAATAAATAGTTAAACAGTGCCTGGTACGTAGTATGGGCTATAGAAATATTCATTAAATCGGGAAATATATTCATATATGAAAAAAAGGTGTAGAACAATATGCAATTTGGGTAAAAACTACACACTTGAGTATAGCACACATGGAAAATCTTGGTACGGTTGTGGATATCAAGAAATTTTCAGCACTGGCTTCCTTTACAGAGGGGAACTGAAGTTAAAGGTAGGAAACTAGTCTTACTTTTAGAATTAATTTAATACAAACAGCATCTAAAGTAAAAAAAAAATAAGTCAAACAGAAGTATAAAAATTGAAAAGTTAAAACATGTTGGGAATGTGAAAATGCTGAAGACAGCCTTGCCTGTAGCCAGGGCTCTTCCTGAGCTACCCGCTCTGGCTTTGGCTCTGAGCCCAGCTCGGTGTACCTTGGAGGTTCTTGTTCTCCCTCCTGAGTGTCTCCTGGCCCACGATGCTCTCCTCATAGGTGTTCTTGAGCTTGAGGAGCTCTGTACTGAGAGCCTGAACTTCCTTCTGAGAGGCATCCAGCAACGCCTGGGACTCCTCGTGCTTCTGCTTCCAGTCGGCAAGGGCCTTGCCAGACTGCAGCTGCTTCTGGTCCAGCCTGGCTGCTGCAGAGCGGACCTTCCCGAGGTCAGACAGGGCGTCCCCGAGCTCCAGCTGCAGCTGGTGCCTGGCTCTCTCCAAGGAGGCATTTCTGGCATTGGCCACCCCCATGGCTTCGGCTGCCTCCTGCAATCTAATTGCCAGTTCCTTCCTGAGAAAGGAGGACACCCAAAGAGTGAGTGAGGCAATAACTCTCAGAGAGCTCATCAAGTCTGCCCTGGATTAAAGATAGAGCTTGGGTGCAAAGTAAGATGGCGCCTCTGCAGTGGACTTAGTGGTATAAAGCAACAGCAGCTCCTATCTGAAAGTGACCTCACTGTCTATGACCACCATCCTCTGCCTCCTGTGTGCATGGGGTCTTTATTTTCCCCCTTTGCCAACCTGCACTTGGAACTCAGAATCTCTTTGAATTCCTACAAATATTTGCTTATCCTAAAGCTCTAATAAGCAATACTGACTTGATTATTTCCTAAGAAGGGGGAGAAAAGGAAGATTGTACTGAACACCCTACCAACAGTAAGCACCTTACAAATCTGTAGCCATATGTAGTCACTAAAGAGCTCCTTGGCTGTGTTGCTTCTAAAGAACACTCTCTTGCTTTTTCCTGCTTATTTTCTCTCATCATGTGGCTCCTCAACATGACACAATTCTTTCTTCTCTCCGAGTTTGTTCTCCACCTCAGCTCCTCTCTCCAGATTTATATTCCCAAACCCATCTCATTATGCTCACTTAACAGGTCCTACTGTTCTTATGGGGTTTTTTAGCCCCCATCTGCTGTTCCTTGGGCATCTCTGAGATGGAGTAATTTATTACAGTGCTTCTTTCTCCACCACCCCCGTAATATGCTACTATTAGGAATTCTAATGGATGAAATGTGTTCTGTTTCTTACATCTCCTGCAGGGTTGCTGGCAGTCCCATTCTTACTCATTCATTATACTTCTTAGATGAAAAGTACTGTATGTACCAAAGCTTTTTCTCATCTACTGCTATTAAACAGAAAAAAAGGTTCTCCGGAATTAATAGGACTGCATAACTAGCCCAACAGAGGAATGTGGTAATAAAGTCCCCTTTTGGTGGAATCCTGCAAAAACCCCTATGTGCTCAGGATCCAGGAAGCATCTAGGCTCTAACAACACTCTGCCCCCGGCTTCCTAGCCATACTCACTTCACTTTTCTGCTTCATGTTTCTTAAACGTTAAGAGGATATTCTGATGCTTTACCTGACTTAAGGCAGTAGGAGTCAAGTGAAATAATTACATATATTTTAACTACTTTAGAAATGCTTGTTGATAAAATAGGAGTTTCACTTTGGGTGACTGATCATACTGGACTGCCTGGGACTGAGGGGTTTCACCAGGTGATATGGTTTGGCTGTGTCCCCACCAAAATCTCATCTTGTAGTTCCCATAATCCCCACATGTCATGGGAGGGACTAGTGGGAGGTAATTTAATCATCGAGGCGGTAACCTTCATGTTGTTCTCATGACAGCGAGTAAGTTCTCATGAGATCTGATGGTTTTATAAGGGGCTTTCCCCTTTTTTATTCACTCACTTCTCTTCCTGCCACCATGTGAAGAAGGACCTATTTGCTTCCCCTTCCACCAGGATTGTAAGTTTCCTGAGGTCGCCCCAGCCATGGTGAACTGTGAGTCAATTAAATCTCTTTCCATTATAAATTACCCAGTCTTGGGTATGTCTTTATTAGCAGTGTGAGAACAGACTAATACACCAGGACATGAGACTTTCAAAGCTAAAACAGGAAACATCCAGGGCAAACTGGACAAACTGGTTACCCTTGTTTTACCAATAACTTTGTTCTACGTTTAATATCAACTACTATTTTGCTCCTTAACTTGCCAACCATAAGCACCTACTTAGTTATCTCGAATATGTAAAGGGATATTGGAAATTAAGAAACTAAATCCTTATCCTTGGGGAACTTAGAATTCAGAAGCAGTACAATGGGTCTTAGATAAGCTTGAGTCTGCTAAACTAACTCATCATTTGAACCCCAGCCTGGAAATCAAAGCAGGCAAATCTTTAACTTTAATAATAACAAAAGAAACCAGGACCCTAGATTGTTTTGTAGCTGCCTACCTCCCTGAGGTGATTTAGAGGAAAAGCATAATACAGACAAAGTTTTATTTATTCTATGTCCCACCAATTTGAAAGTAAAAAATTGTCTTCACAGAGTACCATGTTTGCCCTTTATTTTCTTTAGTTATTACATACTACAGAACTAGTTCCAACAAACCCATGTGGTCATAAAGTAATCTATATTCTTTTGCTCTTTCCTACCCAATCCCAAAAGAAACCATCAAACAGAATGATAGATAGGCAATTTCACCTGAATTCTTCAATCATTAGAAGGGGGAAAAATCTTACTTCAGAAGTAAATACCATATTTGGATATAAGAGGGCATCTCAGTTCAAAGCCAAAACTTTCTGTGGTCCAGAGTTTTGATAAAACATCTACTGCAGGTATTTTTAGTATCTGTCATTCTAAAGCCCTTTTTAAGTTACTGTGGGTACAGAGATGGATCACTTGGTACCCCTTCTGGGACAAAACACAGCAGCTGTTCAGCAATTGCACAGCAATGCCTCTCAAAGATTTAGGTGAAGAACTGAAAAACATTATTTCTGGTTGAAGCTAAAGAGAAATGTATTGATCTTCCCTGGATTTTTGCCAAGCTACCAAGCCAGGGACACATTCTTTTGAGTAAACCTTGAATGATTATAAGCTGGGGTTTGACAATTTCTCTTAAAGGTACAGTTTCCTGGCCTCTAAGCAAAATGCTTCAGTTCTATACCCTGGTACTGAGTCTCAATTCAGCTGTGCCCCAAACTTGTGTAACTCCTAAAAACTTTTAAAACCTTTACATAGAAATGGCTATAAAATTGATATTCTAATCTTAGGGGTGGCCTGGGGATGATTTCTTTTCAAAGCAACCTTTGTCCTAGAAGACATGACGACAGATCCTAACATTTTTTTCCAGCTTCCCTGTCCATCTTCACAGACTACTTTGTAGTCTACAAGTTGTAGACCAGGGACACAACGACTTTGATGGAGACACGTACACACATGGACTCAATTATTATGGCGTTACAAATGAAATACAGGGTTTTAAACGATAGCCTATTTTCACACCACGGCTCAAAGTCACATCTTTTATGAAAACTTCCCTTGTGCCCCTAGAAAGAGCCTCCTTTCTCTCCCCAGGACCTCTTTATAGTCTCTGTCACTTTGTATTATACTTTTTATATTTTTAGTCCCTCTACAGAGTGTGCTTCTTACCAGCAGTGCACGTTTCAGCTTTGGTTTTGGGCTTGTTCCTGCACTCGGCAAGGATTTGTTAAGTGCATACCATGAGGCCTTGGAGACAGAGTCATTATTCTCATACTGCTCCATGTGAGTAACTCCAGGTTAAGGATAGCCTTGCCCTACTCACTTGGCATCCTCCAAGTCTTCTGTTCTCTGGATGACATTGTTTTCATACTTCATTCTCCATTGCACCATTTCAGCATTGACTTTGGATAAGGTCCGGTGCAGCTCAGCCTTGACCTCTTGTTCTTCCTCATACTGCTCTCGTAGAAGGTCACAGTCACGCTGAGCCTTCTGCAGGGCATGGGCCAGGGCACTCTGGGACTGTAGGGGACACACATTAACAAAAAGGTCATGACCACCATGAGCAACACAAGTCTTGAAAGTAAGCTAATTTTTTTTTTAGGTAAGATTAATAACAACCTGCCACAAATTCAAGCCGAACCTGAACCTAGTAAGATAACACTAGGGAGAGAATTTGAGACAAGAGAAAGGATAGATAGTATCTAATTGCTGCCATTAAAACAGGGAAGGGAATTCTATTTAGAGAAATGCCAGCTTGGCTCTGTGGACTTAGACAGGCCTGGAATTCTAGAAATAGTGGAGAATGCAAGGATAGCAAAGAGAACATTCACTATCATTTAGGCAATAAGATTTATATTTAGCAATATATTAGACTCAGAGCTTGTTTGAACCAGAAAGAACCACTAAAATTTAGCCTTTTTATTCCACTGATGAAGAAAATAAAATCTTTTATTTCACACTGAAATCTCTAAAAACCTCAGCTCCTAATACTTCAAAATAGTACTACTGCCCAACAGAACTTTCTGTAATGGTGAAAATGTTCTCTATGTACACTGTCCAATATGGTAAACACCTAGCCACATGTGGCTACTGAACATTCAAAATATGCCTAGTACAATGTGTGATCAAAACTGAATTCTTAATTTTATTTAACTTTAATATAAATTTAAATAGTTACCTGTAGTGTAGTAGAGGCTTCTATATGTATTGGACGGCCCTGCTGGGTTTAATAAACATTTTTATCATTTAAATGGTGATCTGGCTAACCTAGCAGCATTATTCCCCAGAGATAATCTAGTGTGGAAAGAACACTAGATCCTGACGGGTCCTCAAGTGTCCTTTATGCAAATTAGGAAAAAAGCACATTTTCAGGAAGATACAGCTCTGAGGGCACAAGGTTTAGTTAATGGCAGCCTCAGCCAGACCCCTTTGGGTGGTAAATGAGGAGCCACAATACACAATGACTCTGAAAAGGATGCAGGCTTTGGAGTCAGATGAACTTGGGTTCAAACTGTGACCTCTCCTCTTGTTTAATTTTATTTTTCTTTAAAGGAAAAACTTTTAAAACCTTTATGTGGCATTTACATGGCATATATTTAATTATAGAAGTAAACAAGACAAAGACAAAATCCCTGCCCTAAAGAGCCCAAAAGAAATAAGGGGATACACAAAATACACAGGCAAATACATTAATAAATAAAATTTCTAATAGCAGTAAAACAAACACAGCAGATAAACACGATCTAGAATGTTTGGCTCCTTCTCATCATCCCTCTAAGACTTCGGTGAAGGGCCTTTAAGCAACGGGAAGGGCAGTTATAAAAGTCCTAAGGCAGGAGTGATGGTGCCTGGTTTAAGAGGCAGAAGGGAAGCCAGGGCAGCTGGAGGGGAGTAAATGAGGGAAGCAGATGTAGGAAGTAGGTCACAGAAGGAGGCTGGAGCCAGATCAGGGGGGCTTGTAGGCCAATTGGAAGTCACTGGGAAGGCAGCCAGAGAGATCTTCTAAAATATAACTCATTTCACTATGCGTTTAAGTTCCTTCACAGTACATCACTAGGTGTATGACCTTGGACATGATATTTTTCTTCTCAGAGCCTTGGTTTTTTCATATATAAGGATGCAATTCTATCTGCTTCATTTGACTGATATGAAGATTGAGATAACATGACAGAAGTATCTGGTACAATGTCTGATGCACAAACAATGATACATTTTTAAATTTGTATATAATATAGAAAGTATGGAGAGTTAAGGGAATAAAATGGTACAATATTTTAAAACAGACTCAACTACCTGTGTTTTCACAGTATACGCCTTCATAGTATGGTCATGTACAAGTAAGATAGTTTGGGGTCTTAGTAATAAGATGCCTTGACTATGAACTAAGAATTCATTTAAATATCAGGGCTCAAAGAATTCATATCTCATGTTAGTCACTATGCTTTCATCTTCCAGAATCACTTCCACTGGAGTCACCTTCTAGCAACATTATACACTCATAGGAAGAAATGACTAATTTCTATAATTTATTGACAATTTAAAAGTAATATTGAGCTAACCCAGTCCCACTTATTTTATTCTAGGCTTTTATTTAATTTCACTTTTTTATGAGCAGTTTCAAAATCAAAATCCTGAAAGAGCCTTGCTGCCCTTCTGTTCAAGTACTTATACAAGATGGGAACACACACTTTGCTTGCTCTAAACCTGCAACGAAGCAATTTGAATCACCGAGGAAGATCCTTCAGTCATCAGGGTTCTTCCTGGCATGGTTTTTCCCCCATAACTTCTAGGGCATTTTCCCTTCTTCTTTTACAAAACATCTTCAGGCTGATTCATCAAGCACTATTTTTTAAAAAAAAAAACACACAGTCAAGAAACTAGTGAGAAATAATAGATACATTACTTTGGTCTCCTTTTCCAGCTGCCCTCTCAGGTCTTCAATCTGCCGAGTGAAGTTGCTCTTTTCCCTGGAAAGTTGGTTTATCAGAGCCTCCTTCTCTTCAAGCCTCCGTAGGAACTCGCCTACAGAAAGATTTCACAAAACTACATAATTACAGTCTTCCTATCTATTGCCTCCTTCACTTGACTTACTGACTTTAAGGGTAGCCAGAATGACTCCTACCCACATATTTTTGATATTTAGGAAGGGTCTGAGAGTCCTATTATTCAGCAAAACCGTGGCAATGATCCTTTCCAGGACTCAGAAGAGAGTCCTAAAAATGAGCTGATTTTTAGTAATAAGTATGAATCGATAACAGATGATATTAGTTACCATTTATTGAGAAACTTCTATGCTCTAGGTACTTAACGTATGTTATCTAGTTTAATTTTCATAACTCCTTGATAGTGTAGGTATTATACTAACCATTTTGCAGAGGAGGAAACAGAGCAACTTAAATATGACTGAAACAGAAACATACACAGTTCGTAATTGGTGAAGGTAGATTCAAATGAAGTTCTTGAAGACCACATTCTTCTATACCATACTCCCTTGTTTATTATATGTGGCTTTGTACACTTCTGTCTATATAATTTTTAGATAATTATAACTTTTATTACCTCACTTGTAAGATGAAGATAACAATAAGATTCTTAATGAAAACTAAATTAGTGTGAATATATTTTATAGACTGAAATGCTAAATAAATATTAGCAGTAGTCACTAAATGGTAGGAAATGTGACGATGAGAGGGAGAAATTCTATCATACTCTAGTCTATCGTCCCTGCTTAACTTATCCTATTAATTATAGTCGGGCCTTCCATATCTGTAAGTTCTGCTTTGTGAATTCAACCTACCGAGGTCCTACAATTTAACTCAATTCTGACACTATTTTCCTGGAGACAGTGTCAGATACACACACACACGTACAGGTATGTATATATATATACACACACACACACACACACACACACACACATATACACACTTAAACACACACATATATACACACCTATATGTACATGCATATATCTTTTTATAAATCACATCGCATACAATATTTTAAAAATCATATTTGTTAACATCACTGCTGAGCTCATCAGAAAAGTCCAAGAGTTGAGAGCCATCAACCTAATGATGGCATATACATGTTTTCTAAAATATAATTTTTACCTAAAAGCTCCTATTTTGTTATTGGCAACAAATGTTGTCAGTTGCTTTCCTTGAAGTGACAGGTTTCCTTTGTTCATTTTTGAGAAATCATCTGCCAAACATGTAAGCCTAAATAAGCCTAGTTTGTTTGTCAGTCATTCTTTCAAGTAAAAGTGATACTCCCTGAAAAAACTACTAGCTCAGCTCAGAGCTTAATCACACATCTTACTCCAGTATGAAACAGGAATTCTTTATGCATACTTCTTGTTTTGTCACACAGAATAGTAAAAAGATATATACTCAAGTTGAGATGTAATAAAATTCATTTTTCCTGCTTCTTAAGGACATCCTTAAGTGAAACTGACTTTTTAAAAAACCGTGAGTACATATTAGCGAATACAATTTTTACCAGTATGTTTTAGTGCTACTACCTTGACTTGTGATCAGGCTGCAGCAATTTTAATCATCGTTGCTTTTGCACCATCAATACAAATGGCAAAATAATTTAAGTTGCAAATAGTATCTTAGTACTATACTAAAATAGCTTCAACCTCATAGACCCCCTATAGGCTCCTGAGAATCACTTGGGATATTTAAATCAAACTTTAAGGGTATTTGGATGAAAACATCTTGTGGCTTTTTTTTTTTTTGACAGAGTTTTACTCTTGTTGCCCAGGCTGGAGTGCAATGGTGCGATCTCAGCTCACTGCAACCTCCACCTCCCAGGTTCAAGCGATTCTCCTGTCTCAGCCTCCCGTGTTGTTGTTGTTTTGTTTTTTGAGACAGAGTCTCACTCTGTTGCCCAGGCTGGAGTACAGTGGTTAGCTGCAACCTCCGCCTCCAGGGTTCAAGTGATTCTCCTGCCTCAGCCTCCCAAATGGCTGGGACTACAGATGCCTGCCACCACGCCTGGCTAATTTTTGTATTTTTCTGGTAGAGACAGAGTTTTGCCATGTTGGCCAAGCTGGTCTCAAACTCCTTGCCTCAAGTGATCCGCCTACCTCGGCCTCCCAAAATTCTGGGATTACAGGCATGAGCCACTCTGCTGGTCCAAAAACATCTTATTTAAAAGGATTCTGAAGAAATATAAATCCACTAGCTGGTTGAGACTAATACATCACGTATATATCACATTTACTATTGGTTTCCTCTGAAAGCAGAGTATGGTAAGCTGACAGAACAGGGCATGAGAAAGAAACTTTGGTGATAGCCACCAACAAAAAAACAAAAAACAAAAACAAATAAACAATCTGGAACGTGGACCCAGTGAGGGGAGGATAGGCTTGAATAAATTTGTACTTCTAATTTAATTTACACAAAAGCCAACCAAAAGGTAAAGTTAAAAAAAGGAAGAAAAAAATCCTGCAGCCTAAGCAGAATTATCATCTCAGACCCACTTTTATTTTACTCGCTACCCACTAATTTCCTCATCAAAAAAGTGAGTAGAAAATTAATGCCAATAACTAGGGGTAGACAGCCAATGCCTATCAAAATAGATTTTACACAGCACTTCCTTTAGGGCCAGACATCCAGGTATTCTCCAGCTTTGTGTCTGGACTGTGGAGTCTACATACCAACTAAATCCTAAATAGCACAGATCAAACTGGGGGCTTGGTAGCAAGGCCAGGTGTCACACACCCTGTGGGCAGTATAAGAAGAGTCCTATTCAGAGTCCTTAATAGAACCAAAAACATTTCCTTCTTCTAGATTTCCAGGTTTTTAGTTTTATCAACTAATTTTTATTTAGCTCTCACCCTAGATTTAGCATCTGGAAATAGAGGTGTCTACTGGAGGAATTGTGTTATATGTAGCCCAAATGTGTTCATTCTCTTTTTAAAACTGTGTGCCTCTTAAGCATCAAGAATACATTGTTTATTTTCATTGACCTAAGAATTCTATCTCTCAGAATATATTACTAAAACTGATTTTAGTTATAGATAAACATCTAGCCACATGCTATTCATAGCAGAGAGGCAAGTCAAGTTGCAGGCAAGGTTAGGTTTAGTCAATCTCAATGAATTAGAAGCAGTCATTATAAATGACCGAGTATGCAAAATACAAAAGCTTATGATAAATTGAAAAAGAAAAACCCCCAACAGATTGCTACAATGTAATAGATTGGAAAAACAGAAAAAAAAAATCCATAGTGGTTGATAATAATGAATAAACTATGGGACATTTTTCTACTTTTAATTTATTTATCAAATGTTTATGGAGGATCAATAAATGCCAGGCAGTGTTCTAGATGATTGACATACATCAATGAGCAAAGACCCTTGACCTCATGGAGCTTATATTCTGACAGATGGAGACAAACATATTTATTGTGTCAAATATGTAGTTAGTTTGAACTTAATAAATAGTATGAAAAGAGAAGCTCTTGAGGAAATGAGTTGACAGTATTCAAATGTCACCTTCTCAGCAGGGCCTATCCTGACTTTGCCCAGATCTCCACTTGATTAACCCTTATCCCCAAGTCTTTCCAGAATTAATAAGGTGTTCCAGGCAGAGTAAACAGCTAGGGCAAGACTCTAGGGTGGGAGTATGCCCGGGGTGTACAAAGCACAGCATAGAGGTCGACGTGGCCAACGCAGATTGAGAGTTCAAGGGCAAGTAGGAAAAGAGGTCAGAGAGAATGGGGTCCAATCATACAGGCTCAGGTAGCCGGCTGTACAGACCATTGGTTTTACCAGGTGTAAAGAGAGATGTAGATTCATTATCCAAACATTAAAAATTTTAAAAAATTTAAATATTCAATGAGGTAGAAATTGTAAAAATGTCATGACTAGTAGACTGTGGATTGCCCCTCCCATCCTTTGATCTTGAGAGTTGCTTCTACTGATGGCATATTATTATAATTTTCTACTTCTTGGAAGGGAACTAGGCAGGGGTTCCCAAGTGGCACAGAGGTAACACTTCCTAGACAAGAGGCATGTGTGTGGCAAAGCTGTCTCAGAGGCTGCATTCCTCCCCTAGGATCTTCAGATGCCCACTCAGCCTCAGTGGGTAGTTCATTATCTCAGTTGTGCCTTCATGAGTCTGCTGGGATTGAGAATTGCCTATGAGTCAAGCAGCATACTTACTTACCACTCTCACTCCACAGCTTTGTCTTTTGTGCTGCCAGGTCATTTGCCAACTGAGTCACCTTATCTAGCTTTGCAGTTGCTTCATGCAAGCGCTCTTCATATAGAGTACAGAGTTTCTCAGCATTTGCCTATAAGTTGAGAAAGAAGGGCTGGTCAGGGCTCACAGAGGATACTCTGAATCAGCTGCACAAAGGAAGAGGGGAGGAGTGGCTCCAGGGATCCGCATGCTCTCTTCTGTAGTAAAGAGCTCAGCCAGCATTGGGAGATCACATCTTCTGATTTCAGCAAGCACAATTAACTCTAGGGTCTGGACCCCAAGAGGCCTAAACTTTGCAGAGTATAGGTGTCACGGGAGACACCCAACTTCCTGGGTATTAGGATCCTTTCTAGAATTATTTACTTTTCTGGAGAAGGAAACATGTCAAACGCTAATGAGATACATGATCCTTTTCTGACAGTACATATTTAACTGTCTTTTTCACTAGAATATAACTCTCATGAGGGTAGAGATCCAGTTTAAAGATATACCCCCTATTGTATAGAATAGTGCCTGGCACATAGGAGAGCAATATGCAAGGGTGGAGAGGCAGACGAAGGGGAAGGAAGAGAGGTAAGAAGGGGAAGGAGGAGGAAGGAAATCTAGAAGGCTGCCCAAGCAGGATAGAAGAAAGGGATGGATCTAAGCCGCAACAGCCTAATAACAAAATGTGAGCTGCCAAAGCAACTGTACCCTCCTGATCACTATGGCTACAATCTCAAGATGACCCTGTTGGGTTAACACTTCAATCCCCAAACCCAACTTCTCAGAATTGGCTTTTCATGCCTGGAGAAAAAGATATGACATTGGCCTTTGCACTTTTACCCAATTAAAGTAACCAGTCTAATCGCCAGACTCTTGCCACACTCTGAGAACTCATGCTAGTGGTTTTGAGACCCAAGATCCTCAGACGGGACTAAGAGTTGCCAAATGTAAGATGAGGTATCCCCTTCACATACAAATTAACTATAGTTTGCATTCTTATTATTTATATGGTCAGAAACAGTAAAATTACATTGGTGGTGGTCTTCCATGGTTCTACAGATTTTACATAGCTGTTTTGATGAAACTCATGTATAAATTATCTTTTTATTATCTTTTTTTTTTTTTTTTGAGACAGAGGCTCACTCTGTCACCAGGCTGGAGTGCAATGGCACGATCTTGGCTCACTGTAACCTCCACTTCCCAGGTTCAAGCGATTCTCCTGCCTCAGCCCCCTGAGTAGGTGGGATTATAGGCATGCGCCACCATGCCCAGCTAATTTTTGTATTTTTAGTAAAGATGGGGTTTCACCATTTTGGTCAGGCTGGTCTCGAACTCCTGACCTTGTGATCCACCCGCCTCAGCTTCCCAAAGTGCTGGGATTATAGGCGATCTTTGAATGCCTTCCATCTGCCCCATCGTGGGTGATGATGATGATGACACTATTAATGATAATAGCAGCAGCAGTTAATTTATTGGGTGCTTGTTACATACCCAGCTCTCTTCTGAGCTCTATGTTTTAAATCTCAATTAATACAGCAGTCCATGAGGCCTTTGTCTGTACAAAGAAAGTATGCTATGGAAATGGAAGAACTGGGAGACAAAGAAGAGATTACACCAATGAAATTTTGAGAAAACAGTGAGGTCTGGTGAGATGATGAAAGCTGATGGTGAGCCTAATAGTTTTCAGTGTTAACCTAATTGTTATGATAGAGCAATGGCCAAAGGACCAGGAATATTTCAAAGGTGATGCCAGGTTTAGTCCTCTGGAAAACTTCTGTATCAGCCAAAACCTAGGCCATCTCTAGCTGGAACCTACGCTCTGTTTAAGATTGCTTCCTTCATGCTATGTTGCAGGACTTTTCCTTAGTTCAGCTAAAGATGGGGTTCTTTGTCCCCGGCCACAAAAAATCAGGCTCACAGACAATTTGAATGGTGAGTAAGACAGGGTTTGATTAGGTGAAAAGGAAGAAAAGGGGGAAACAGGGACTCTCACAAGGCCAGAGTCCCTGCTTGAGCGCTTGCCGCCCGCAGCTTGAATCCCAGGTTCCACACAGGAAGAGGAGGGGCCAGGCTTCAACCCAATGCAAATGGCGTGAAGTTTCCGAGGCTCCACTCCAGTGGGCAGGCTGGTTGGAGTTTCTCCAGGGACCCCCTCCCACCTGGCTGTCTCACTTACTAATGGCTATTCTCTGAAAGACTACTGAATTATGTCTTCTTATATCTCCAATGCAGTGTTATGTAGTTCCAGTTCACAGATGTCCTACAGCACACCCAAGCTTGGTAGAAACAGACTTAACAGAGATTCAATGGCCAGTTTCTCGAACGATGCCATCAACCTCACATAGGTTAGAGCATTAATGTTAAATGCCAGACATGCTCAATTGTCCCCACTCTCCACTCCTAACTAGAAGAAAGCTATAGTAGTGATCAATGTGACAATTTTTAGGTTGTCTGCACAGTTTCTAATTATATGTTGAATTTGTTTGCTCTCACTTCTGAAAATGACTTTGACAGTCAAAGTTGGCATGCTCATTTTCTTCCTCACGATATCTCTCAAAAGTTCAGATTGCCTCTTTCTACAAATGAGAAAACTGAGCACCAGAGAGGCTAAATAACTAGCCCAAATTCACACAGCTATTAAATGTCAGAATTGGAATTCGAACTGAAACTGCCTGTGCAGATGCACACACACACAGAAAATGTCAAATATTAGATTTCTAAACATCTGTTGTATGAAGTGGTGATAAAGGAAATATTAAGGATTAATCGACTTGATGTCCTAGGTGGCCCAAATTGTCATGAATCCTGGGTTCCAGAGGAAAATGGATAAAAATAGGATGATTATGAAAACCATTTTTATTTTATGATGTCTCCAATAGTAAATGACCTGTTAACTGAGCCAGGAGGAACATATCCAGGTGTGAAAAATGGCATCTGTTTAGGGCCCTGAATATGCTGTGCTATGCACCTGTGTGCTTAGGGTGAAAAAGCACGGATCTCTACAAGACAACTTAGTCAATGGTGCGTGGAAATGGTAAGAAAAAGAGCCAAAGACTTCCCAGTTTTTCAAGAGAGGTCTCCACGTGGTGAAGGCCAGCTGGGCTGTGTGTATCTGTAGAGTGGGCAGCCCACTTGGACAGATAGAAAAGGCACTTGCCCTTAGGTATAGCTTCACATGGTAGGTATCCACATAGGCACTGCTAACCACTGGTATAGTGTTTCCATGTATAAAGTATTTTCATAAACAGGATCTGCAAAAAGACAATTAGATTGTTTATCTAACAGTGGCCTATATGGGGATATAGCATGCAAAAGAGTTGTACCCTCAAAAGAATTTTTAATTTAAGCATAAGGATAAGCGGTATGTTTTGATACCAGGGATGAGAAGGTTAATAGAATAAGGCACATTTATCTTATAGCTGATTCTTAAAATGATGCATAAAAATGCTGCCTCCCAGAAATGCAGGGACCAATGGGAATTCAAAATAATCAAGATAATTGTGAAATTTCCTATAACTTCTAAATTGCCCTGAGCCTCTCTGTCAGCATAACATGCTTTTGAAAATGCTTCAGTCTCCACTGTACCACTCAGCATTGGCATTCTTGCCATTATAATTCATAAAATGATAAAGTAAACAATTCAAGGAACAGTTTAGCCTAATGTATATGCCTATGAGAGTTAACAGAAACAATTTATCATGCCAACAAATATTTAAAGCAGTAACAGGACATGCTCACCAACAGACATACACAGGATTTGGAATTGGAGTTCATCTCTTCCATAGAATTGTGTGACCTTGGACAAGTCACTGAATCTATGAGCTCCAAGAGGTATACGTAAAAGTTGATGCTAGTAATTGAGTGCAGAGACTCTACAAAGCACTGTAGTAAACATGAAAAATGAGACCTAGTTTCTGCTTTCAATGTTAGCAAGGTTAAAAGACTAGATAATGCATAAGTATAAAGAGGGACCCCAAAAGTGCTACAGGAACTCAAAAACAGGTAAGTCTTTAATGCAGGAGGTTGAACTTGAGCATTCCAAAGAGAATAATTAGTTTGGAAAAGGCAGATTGGTGTAAAAATGAATATTTGTTTAAAGGCAACCTGAAATGGAAGGTCCATGAAACAAAGCAATGGGATCTAAAACTGGCAAGACTGGTTGACTCTGATCAAAGGTTACAAGGTACCTTGAAAGCAGAAGTTTGGAGTTCATTTTTAAGCAGGGACATAATTCAATAAATCCGTGCTTTATGAATATTCTAAATACTTTACAAATATTAATTTGGGCATATAAATATAGGATGGTTTGAAAAAAGGAAGACTAGAAGCAAAAAAGATAATTTAGGAAACCACTGCAGTAATCTACTTAAAAAGTAGACAGACCTACATGGGAATGGGAATGGAAAACTATGAGATGGTAAAAACTGACCTGCTGCGATAATTGACTGAAAAGCAAATAGGGAGGAAAGAAGTGGTTGAGACTTAGAACGTGAGTTATAAAAAGAAACCAGGTGCCAGTGACAGAGATGTTCAGAGGAAGTGCCAGCTTCAGGAGAAACAAAGACACATGGCAGGGATTAAAGAGTAAGGAGGTAGTGAGATACACACCTACTGCTAGAAAAAGCCTATATTCCCATGAATGGAACATTAAGAATCCTTCTGATGAGGACTCACAAGAAGAGGAGAGCTGTAGAGAGAGAATTAATCTTCTTAGAGATAGTTGGATGGCTGTGATTACAATGCTGGTAGTAAAACAGACAGTAAAGGCAATTCTGCTGAGGTCTTAAATGGAAATGGGGAATATCCTATTGGAAACTGGAAGACAGACCATCCTTGTTACAAAATGCCAAAGAACTTGGCTGAACTATGCCCTGGTCCCTTGTGGAAGGCAAAATTTAAGAGTGATAAACTAGGATATTTGGTGGAAGAAATCCTTAAAGAAAGTGTTCAGGGCTCCATGGCTTCTCTTGATTGCTTAAAACAAAATATGAAGAGAGAGAAATAAAGATGAAATGTATAATCAAAGAGAAGCAGAATTGAAAGATTTAGAAAATTCTCAGCCTGGCCAGATTGTGAAGAATAAAAAAGTATTTTCAGAAAAAAAAAAAAAACCCTAAGGACATAGACAACCAAACATTTGATAAGGAAATTAGTAGGGATAGAAAGAAGACAGGTGCTATTCATCAGGAGGATGGACTAATGACCCTGAAGGCATTTCTGAGACCTTTGTGGCTGCCCCACCCACAAAGGCCCAGAAGGCCAGGGCCTTGATGGAAACGTGATTTCAAGAGAGGATTCCCTTGAGACCTCAGAGCTTGCTGCCCAGGGCTGCCTCAAGTCTTTGCTCCCCACATGCCAGTTCAGTGCTCCTCTGCCACTCAGGCAGGCCCAGGTTCAGCTCAGGTCACCACTCTGGAAGGCACATGCTGTAAACCATAGCAGCATCCATACAGTGCTAACTCTGCAGGAGATATGGAAGCATAGCTCTTCCACCTAGATTTCAAAGGATATTTTGGAGAGCCTTGGGGTTCAGGCAGAGAATTGCCATGGAAGCAGGACCACCACAGACAGCCCCCACTATGGCAGTGGTGGTACTGTGAGGGCAGAGCTGCCCCCAACACCCCAGACTTGTAGAGCCACCAGCATGCAACACTAACCTGGGAGAGCCACAAGCACCCAACTTCAATTCCTGAGAGCTCCTGCCAGGGGGGGGCAGTGCTACATGGGGCCCTGGGGACCCAAACTCCACCCCAGTATGTCCAGAAGGTCAGACATGGAGTCAAAAAGATTATTCCCCACTTTCAAGATTTAATGTTGTTTGCTGTGTTTTCTGTTGGGCTTTTCCCTTTGTCACCTCTTTTTTCTTTCTGATTTCTCTGTTTTTCGGAATGGGAATGTCTATGCTATGCCTGTTCCACTATTTTATTGTGGAAACACATAACTTGTTTGATTTCACAAGCTCACAGTTGGAGGAGGAATTTGCCTCAAGATGAATCATGCCTTGAGTTTCACTCCTATATGATTTAGATGAGACTTTAGACTTTTGAGTTGACGCTGAAATGACTTAAGTCTTTGGAACCTATTGAGGTAGAATGAATGTATTTTGCTTATGTGAAGGACATAAATTTGGGGGGCCAGAGGTAGAATGCTATGGACTGAATATGTCCCCCTAAAATTCATGTTGAAAGAATGGCCAGTGTGATAGTGTTAGATGGGGCCTTTAGGAGGTGATGAAGTCATGAGGATAGGAGCCTTCATCAATGGGACTGGTACAAGGGAGCATCTGTCCCTTTCCCCTTTTTGCTCTTCTGCAATGTGAGGATGCAGCAAGAGGCACCATCTTAGAAGCAGAGAGACCTCACCAGACAATAAACCTGCTGCTACCTTGATCTTGGACTTTCCAGCCTCCAGAACTGTGAAAAATAAATTTCTATTATTTGTAAATTACCCAGTCTGTGGTATTTCATTACAGCAGCAGGAATGGACTAAGACACACACACACACACACAACACACACACACACACACAGAGAGAGAGAGAGAGAGAGAAAGAGAGAGAGAGAGACTGTTTCTTTCTACTCAGTATGGTATTTAAAAGGAATTAATATTAAATATTTCAGAAACCACTCCATATCACTGAAGATATTCTACATTTTTCTAACCATAGTCCATGGAGATCAAGCTTTATTGTCAGGCCATGTCTTTCCCAGATGACTTTATAAAATCTGCTCACAAGGAGAGAAGGTTGCAGCAACTAGCCATTTGCTCTGCTTAATCTAAAGCAAAGCTCCTCTCAACTACCAAAAGACAGGGTCGCTGATTTCGATGATCTCATAGTAACCATTTGACATGACAGCTTGCAGCATATAGGCTAATGGGCTCAGTAAAGAAAGAACATGTGATGAACCTTTCTTATAGTACTGGCTGATTAAAAAGATGCCAGAGGACTTGAGGGAGAAAAAGTTCCCTCCTCTCAGCAAAGCTGTTTGTGTACACCATTCATTCAGATAGGTTCTAGGAGTATCCAGGCCATCACTGAGGAGCACTTATAACAAAAGTCATTCTTCAAGACAGACATAGATAGTGGCCTCAGATTTCCAGCTCACTTACTTGTGCAATCACTAAAAAAATCCATAAGGAACATGGATTTGAATTCTGTTAAAACCAGAGGCCACTGTCAGGTCACATTCTGGTGATGGCTGTGTGACCTTAACAATGACCACTAAGGTCAGGCCTGATCTATTCCGTCCAAAGGACTATAGTCTTCATTAGAAAATACACTGAGTCACTAAGCTGGCTTATTTTTCTTTTCCCTCCCCTCCCATTTCTTCCCCTCCCTACTTCCATGTTCAGAAGACCACGAGGATGGCATGGGAGTATCTACCTTAGCTCTTGTCATCTGCTCAACACGGGTCAGGAGGTCATCTACTTCTAGCTGCAAGTCACTCTTGTCTTTTTCCAGTTTCTGCTTGACCTGCTGTAGATTTTCTACCTGGCCCTCGAGCTCAGCCAGGCTGTCTGCATGTCTCTTCTTCAAAGATGCAGAAGTTGTCTCAAAGTGCAGAGTGGCCTCTTCCATGTCTCGGTGCAGCTTCTGGAATTTGGTTTCCTGTTTCTTAGTTATTTCCAGCTGAGCCAAACTGGATCCTCCTACCTCCTCCAGCCTCTCATTCAAGTCAGCCAGGTCTTGGGTGAGGTCAGCTCTCTCCCTTTCCATCTTGGCTCGAGTGGTCCTTTCAGCTTCTAGTTTCTCTTTCAAATCCTTTATTTGAGTCTGTAGCAAGAAATAATTTTGACTTTTACTAAGCACTTGTAGCAAGAGCTTTACTCTATTTTTTTTTAATCACAAAGCTAACATGAAACTTTTGGTTCCCAATTTACAACTAAAGAAAACAGAATACACAGAAGTTAAGTGATTTGCCCCAATTCAGTACCAAGACCAGAATTAGAATTTGCAGTTCTGCCAAATTGCTCAGCCCCTGATGATGGGCAAGCTCATTAAATTATATAGATGGAGGGGAAAGCTTAGTAAAGAGCACTTCCCAAAGAAACAGGAAAATATCTTTCATACGACCAAAAAAACTGTTTAAGAGCATTTATAAAAATTGGAATGGTAAATTTTATATACAAAAATCTTCCTCATTTGAAATTCGTTTATCTGATCTCAACTATCTAGGACTTGGGCAAAAATCTGATCAATAAAATGAACATCTTCAAGTTCAAGCAATTTAATTGTAAGAAATAGCATCAATTTAATTTTACACACAATTCTAAAAAACTTGGTTACTTGGTTTTCTAGTCTGCAGGAGATTTCAAGGAAGAGATTTGAAATAACAAACGAGAGCTGGTGAAGGAATGTGGACTACTAAAGCGAGTAGAGATACAGTATCATCAGAGGCAGGATTATTGGAAAAAAAAGGTGATAACAACTCTCAGAGCCCCAAGCCCTTTTAGTATAGGCCAAACAGGTCTACAAATCCTGAGAACATTACTGTATTACAGTACAATGAAGCCACTGATGTTATTATCATCACCTTAAGTAATTAGGCATAGATTAGGATAGGGGAGAAAACAAGATAGAAACTGTTTTAGAATATGTTTTCCTTTCCATTAAATAAGACTACTGTGGCTTAGAAAAAACTAATTTCTAGATTATATCAAATAAGTAGTCTATCAGTTCTATAGATGAGGTATGACAGAAAAGGTGCTTAAAGAAAGTATGATTTCCACATTCAAGTAACCATGATCCTCTTCCAACTGGTTATCATGGGATCCAAGAAAATATTTATCCCAAATAATACCACCATTGAACCAAACATTTCTGAAATGTTTTGTCAGAAATAATCTTTAGAGAACTTTTTGAGTCATCAAGGTAAGGAAATTTGTCTTTTGGATATATAGAAAAGTTTGTGTTTTTTTACTTTATTTTGGATAAAGTCAAGAGTCATTTGAAGACAAGCCCAATGAATATGATAACCACTTGGAGATTAATAGTGTGTCTGAAACTAAAATGTTTACAAAACATTGAGACTGGTTTTCTTATTTGGCTCAAAATATCTCAGAAGATAAATATCAGAAAGATGTTCCAAAATTATTTTGAGTCATGGTTATATTACTAAGATATTTATTTAGCTTCAAAGGGAAATTATCCATCTAAATGTGTATGTGTGCAATTGTGTGTAAAATTACTTTACAACATGGTCATATGCTATAAAACTCACATGGTCTAAAACTTATAAATAGCTATCCATTATCAAATAATGTTTTGAGGCCACAAGTACCTATAGAACTTACTGATTTTCAATCGCCTTCTAATCACAAAGAATAATCATCATAAAAATTAAATTGCTAACACTGAATGCATACCATGGGTCAGGCACTGTGCTTACTACTTAAATATATTGTTGCATTTAGTAATATGAGCTCAATCGTTGCCAGAAGGATTCATGAGTGAAAAAACAAGTTTTGGATTTTAGCACAATGCCTGGTTCACAGCAAACAGTCAACCAATTAGCTATTCATTTTTATTATTCTCATAAGGAAATTTAAGCTTAACTCTATCTGTGGAATGCCACAGTTTCCCTTCTTAACCACTGTTCTTTTCTGCCTCTGCCTGTGGTTGGCTAAGGGTATGAATACCTTGGCAGAGAATTAGTCATTGAACCACCAGTCATCACCCATGGATCTAAATATAAATACACAGGCATATTTGATAATTGATTACCTGAAGCTCTTTAACCGTCTTCTGAAGCTGAGCTACCAGGCCTTTCTCATTCTCCACTTTTGAATTCATCTGACTCAATTCTAATTCTTTTCTGTTTAGAAAAAGATATCAAATACAATTGTTCAGAATAATAACATTTTGTTTAAAGTAGTTAGAATTGTAATATTCCTAACACAAAGAAAAGATAAATGTTTGAGGTGATAGATATCCCAATTACCCTGATTTACTCATTGTACATTGTATACAGGCATCAAAATAGCACATGCACTCCAAAAATATGTACAATTATTATATATCAATAAAAAAACACAACCAGGCTTTAACCAAAAGTAAAAAATACCATTTTGTTTAATTATGTTTTAAATTATAGATATAACACAATAATTCATTCTCATTTTAAAACTTCAATGATTATACCTACATCTGAAGTTTTCTTGGCTATGATACCTGATAAGGTTTGGCTGTGTCCACCCGAATCTCATCTTGAATTTCCACATGTTGTAGGGGGGACCCAGCAGGAGGTAATTGAATCATGGGGGCAAGTCTTTGCTGTGCTGTTCTTGTGGTAGTGACTAAGTCTATCTAACAAGATCTAACGTTTTATAAAGAGGAGTTCTCCTGCACAAGTTCTCTCTTTTTGCCTGCAGCATCCACGTTAGATGTGACTTGCTCCTCCTTGCCTTCCACCATGATTGTGAGGCCTCCCCAGCCACATGGAACTGTAAGTCTGTTAAACCCTTTTTCCTGTATAAATTACCCAGTCTCAGGTAACTTTTTTATCAGCAGTGTGAAAACGGACTAATATAGAAATTGGTACCAGTAGAGTGGGGTGCTGATGAAAAGATACCCAAAAATGTGGAAGCGACTTTGGAACTGGGTAATAGGCAGAGGTTGGAACAGTTTGGAGGGCTCAGAAGAAGAAAGGAAAATGCGGAAAGTTTGAAACTCCCTAGAGATTTGTTGAATAGCTTCGACCAAAATGCTGATAATGAAATGGACAATGAAATCCAGGCTAAGGTAGTCTCAGATGGAGATGAGGAACTTGGGAACCAGAGCAAAGGTGACTCTTGTTATGTTTTAGCAAAGAGACTGGTGGCATTTTGCCTCCGCTCTAGAACTTTGTGGAACTTTGAACTTCAGAGATATGACTTAGGGTACCTGGTGGAAGGAATTTCTAAGCAGCAAAGCATTCAAGAGATGACTTGGGTGCTGTTAAATGCATTCAGTTTTGTTTTGTTTTGTTTTCAGACTGAGTCTTGCTCTGTCACCCAGGCTGGATTGCAGTGGTACAATCTTGGCTCACTGCAACCTCCACCTCCCAGGTTCAAGCAATTCTCCTGCCTCAGCCTCCTGAGTAGCTGAGACTACAGGCTCATGCTGCCCTGCCCAGCAAATTTTTTGTCTTTTAGTAGAGGAAGGGTTTCACTGTGTTGCCCAGGCTGGTCTCTAAGTCCTGAGCTCAGGCAATCTGGCCGCCTTGGCCTCCAGAGTGCTAGGATTACAGGCATGAGCCACTGCACCCTGCCTGCATTCAGTCTTATAAGGAAAGCAGAACATAAAAGTTTGGAAAATTTGCAGCCTGACAGTGTGATAGAAAAAAAAAAATCCCATTTTCTGAGAAAAAATTCAAGCCAGCTGCAGAAATTTGCATAAGTTACAAGGAACCAAATGTTAATACCCAAGACAACTGGAAAAATGTCTCCAGGCCATGTCAGAGGTCTTCACTACAGACCCTCCTATCACAGGCCTAGAGGCCCAGGAGGAAAAATTGGTTTCGTGGGCTGGGCCCAGGGTCCCCGTGCTGCGTGCAGCCTAGGGACTTGGTGCCCTGCGTCCCAGCTGCTCCAGCCATGGCTGAAAGGGGTCAACATAGAGCTTGGGTCATGGCTTCAGAGGGTGCAAGCCCCAAGCCTTGGCAA
This sequence comes from Homo sapiens, assembly GCF_000001405.40. Lineage (NCBI taxonomy): Eukaryota > Metazoa > Chordata > Mammalia > Primates > Hominidae > Homo > Homo sapiens. The sequence continues at coordinate 108,432,751 of NC_000003.12, forward strand.
CTTCCACCTGGTATGGAGCCTACGAGTACACAGAAGTCATGAATTGGGGTTTGGGAAATTCCACCTAAATTTCAGATGTATGGAAATGCCTGGATGCCCAAGCAGAAGTTTGCTGCAGGAGCGGGGCCCTCATGGAGAACCTCTGCTATAGCAGTGTGGAAGGGAAATGTGGGGTCAGGGCTCCCACACAGAGTCCCTGCTGGGGCACTGCCTAGTGGAAGTGTAAGAAGAGGGCCACTGTCCTCCAGATACCAGAATGGTAGATCCACTGACAGTTTGCACCACGCACCTGGAAAAGCTGCAGACATTCAACACCAGCCCATGAAGGCAGCTGGGAGGGAGGCTTTACCCTGCAAAGCCGCAGGGGAGGATCTGCCCAAGACAATGGGAACCTACCTCTTGCATCGGTGTGCCCTGGATGTGAGACACGGAGATCATTTTGGAGATTTAGGATTTGACTGCTCTGCTGGATTTCAGACTTGGATAGGGCCTGTAGCCCCTTTGTTTGGGCCAATTTCTCCCATTTGGAATGGCTGTATTTACCCAGTGCCTGTACCCCCATTGTGTCTAGGAAATAACTAACTTGCTTTTGATTTCACAGGCTATTAGGCAGAAGGGACTTGCCTTGTCTTGGATAAGACTTTGGATTGTGGACTTTTGAGTTAAAGCCGAAATGAGTTAAGACTTTAGGTGACTGTGGGGAAGGCATGATTGGTTTTGAAATGTGAGGACATGAGATTTGAGAGGGGCCAGGGGCAGAATTATATGGTTTGGCTGTGTCCCCATCCAAATCTCATCTTGAATTTCCAGGTGTTGTGGGAGGGAACCTGTGGGAGGTAATTGAATCATGGGGGCAAGTCTTTCCCATGCTGTTCTCATGATAGTGAGTAAGTCTCTTGAGATCTGATGGTTTTATAAGGAGGAGTCCCCCTGCACAAGTTCTCTCTGTTTTTGCCTGCCGCCATCCATATAAGATGTGACTTCCTCCTCCTTGTCTTCTGCCATGACTGTGAGGCCTCCCAAGACATGTGGAACTGTAAATCCATTAAACCCTTTTTCCTGTATAAATTACCCAATCTTGGGTATGTCTTTATCAGCAACATGAAAACAAACTAATGTCATACCCAATCCCTGCTTTCCCACTAGAGGAAACTACCATTATCCATTTAGTGTAAATCCTTCCAGAAATTTAAGTACTGACATATGTTTGTGCTTACATGTGTACATGTAGCTGTAGAGTTTCATTTTCCTTACTGTGATAGAATATCACATACATTTGCATGTATAGATTAACAACTTGATTGATATTAATATATTATTACATTAAGATATTGATAATAGCATTTATATTAAATATGTATTTAATATTAAATATTGTTGTATTTAATATTAAATATTGTTGTATTTAATATTTTAAATATATTATTGAATTGAGAATGGTTTTTTTTTTTTTTTGAGTTTCACTCTTGTTGCCCAGGCTGGAGTGCAATGGTGTGATCTCAGCTCAGCTCAATCTCTGCCTCCCAGGTTCAAGCAATTCTCCTGCCTCAGCGTTCTGAGCAGCTGGGATTACAGGCATGTGCCACCAAGCCTGACTAATTTTGTATTTTTAGTAGAGACAGGGTTTATCCATGTTGGCCAGGCTGGTCTCGAACTCCCAACCTCAGGTGATCTGCCCACCTTCGCCTCCCACAGTGCTGGGATTACAGGCATGAGCCACCACACCCAGCCTGAGAATGTATTCTTATCAATATATTAAGCTTAAAAATCTTAAGCTATTATATTTTAAGCTAATTATTATATTAATAACATATTAATTCAATATTTTTCTACACAAGCCTACACAGAGTACTCCATTTAAAAATTAACTATGACATAATATTTCACGATTTAGACATTCCTTAGTTTGAATTTCACAATTAATAAGCACTTAGGTTTTCCTTAATATTTTGCTTTTACAAATCAAACTATTCATAATCATGCCCCTTGTATACATGAGAGTGTTCCTCTAGAGTGGACACTGAGCAGGAAATTACTGGGTAATGTATAGGTGAGTGCTAAAAAAATAAGATAGCCCTGTCCCTTGCTCTCCATTAGCAGTGTGAGATCATTGCTTCTCTACATTTATTCTTAATATCATACTTCTGAAATTTTCTTAGAAAATAGATTACTATTTCATTGTTTTATTTTGAATGCCCTCGTTTACTAGTAATGACTGCATCTTGTCAACTATTAGTATTTTTAAATGGCCAGTAAACCAAATGGACCGCCTGTGTATGTTCTTTGCCCATTTTTCTGTTAGGTTTGTTCATCTAATTATTGAGTTATAGATTTTCCTTGGATTCTTGACATTTTTTATATTTGTTACAAATTTTTATCTCACTTTATAACTTGTCTCCATTTTATTTGTGTTGGCGTTTGCCACATGTTTAAAATTTTGATGTCAAATATATAATGCCTTCCTTTTGTCTTTGGCTTTTTGTGACTTGTTCAAGAAGACTTATCCTGTCAATTTCCTAAGAATTATTGACTGTATTTTATTCTAATTTTTTAAAAATTGTGGTAAGAACACTTAACATGAGCTCTACTCTCTTAAATTTTTAAGTACAAAATGTAGTATTGTTAACTACAGGCAAAATGTTGTAAAGCAGATCTCTAGAACTTAATCATCTTACATAATCAACTTTATACTCATTGAACAGAAACTCTCCATTATTTCTCCCTCCTCCCAGCCCTTGGCAACCACTTTTCTATGAATTTGTTTCTATGAATTCGATTATTTTAGATACCTCTATCAGTGGAATCATGCAGTCTTTTTCCTTTTTGTGACTGGCTTATTTCCCTTAGTATAATGTCCTCCAAATTCATCCATGTTTTTCCACATGGCAGGGGTTTCTTTTCAAGGCTCAATAATAGTCCACTGTGTATGTATATTTTATATACATATATATATATATATATGTATGTATACAGATGTATGTATGAATGTATGTATGTGTGTGTTTGGGATTTTTTTTCATTTTTAAGTTTATTTTTTATTTCAATAGGTTTTTGTGTATATGTATATATACATATATGTATATGTATACACACACACACACACACACACACATCACATTTTCTTTATCCATTCATGTATCAGTGAATATTTAGGTTGCTTCTATATATTGGCTATTGTGAATAATGTGGCATCTTCTAATGGTTTTATGGCTTTGTTTTGACATTGAGTTCATTAGTGCAACTGAAGTTTGTGTTTATAAATTGTATGAGGTAGCAATTTCTCTCACCTCAGGAAATTAATAGCTAATAATTCCAATACCATTTAAGTCTCTTGTCATCGCTAATTTGAAATGCCACCTTTATCGCTTATTGTTTCAGATATACATAGGTCTATTTAGGGGAAAAGTTTTATAATAAAGTTACAACTTTTTGAAAATATGGATTTCTAAAATGCTAAAACTCTTGACCTGTGGCCTACACGACATACAGTATCATTTACACTTTGCTGGTTATCATTTGCACTGAAACACAACTTCAAAATTGAATGCTAAGGGAACTCTATCATCATTTTGCTTTAATTATTCCATTCCATTCATAAGGTCGCTTGTTTCATCGTTTCTAAACACCTATTAAGCCCAGTAACTTGTTAGCAGAATATGAGTCAAGCCTCACCAAGAGCATGTATAATAGCATATGTATATACCAACAAGAAAGCCAGATGCTCACAGCTGGTCACTGGACTCTCTTCCCTCTTTCACTGTGGGCCTCAACCATTGATATACTACTATCTTTAATGTGGCCTTTTTTGAGACAGAGTCTCGCTCTGTCGCCAGGCTGGAGTACAGTGGCATGATCTCAGCTCACTGCAACCTCCGACTCCTGGGTTCAAGCGATTCTCCTGCCTCAGCCTCCCAAGTAGCTGGGACTATGGGCACATGCCATCACGCCCAGCTAATTTTTGTATTTTTAGTAGAGATGGGGTTTCACCATGTTGCCCAGGATGGTCTCAATCTCTTGACCTCGTGATCCACCCACCTCGGAAACCTGACCCATCTTACTCTTCATCCTCACTGTTTTCTTCTCTTATTTGGTATAATCTAAATAAATTGAAAATCCCTAATGGTTAAAAGAAAAAAAAAAGTCTAGTTAAACAGAGGAAGATGACAAAAGGGAGAAGGTGAGAAAATCCATGTCACTGACTAGTAGAACTAAACTGAGAAAGCCAAGTTGCCCTGAGTTCTTTGGGGTGTAAGGAATCCAGATGAATTGAAAGTTTCCCTAATTTTGATCATTTTCATGGCTTGTTTTAGATTTTAAGGTTTAATATTTATATAGTAAATTATTTCACCAAATTCCTATATAAATATTAAGTTATGTCTGGCAAACATATATTATTTAAGTAATCTGAGTATGTAAGTCTTCACATCAGGATCAATTTTTTTTTTTTTTTTTACATTTTATGCCATTGGTCTCGTCATGAGTAAAAAGAAGAGTGTCATTTTTATTTTTTTGACGTATAGCTGCAAGTTCCCAAAAGTTTACATCTCATATACCTTACACCATTCTTTCTCATTTGCTAGTCAGGTATTTTCTGTTACGTCCTTCTAGATTATGCATCTGGTCTCTTTACAACTATAAAATAAAGTCCAGTAAAGAAAAAAAAAATTGTTTCCTAGGCTTGTTATCCTTGCCTTGGGTCTTGAGCTATCTGGCCCTGGAGTCCTAAGGATAAATGAAATGAGAAAGCTGTTCCTTCTAATATAAGGTCTCCAGCAATCTCATGTCAACAGAAAGGTGGCTTACTTCCTCAGCTCTTCTGCCAGGTGTCGCTGGCTGCTTTCCAGGTTCTCCATACTTTCCCGATTCAGCTTTAAATTGCCCTCCAGTTTGTGCAGTTCCCTTTCACAGTTCATTCTCGCTTTTCTCTCCTGCTCAAGGGCACCCTCAAGCTGACAAAAGGAAACATTATTTAGCTAAATAAATAGGTAGAGTTTATACTTCACTAGATGTGTTCATTAACCACTTACCTTCTGGAAAAAGAAAGACACAAGCACAAATTCTATAAATGATGCCCAGTAACATAGATATTTCCAAATAAATATTGCATATGTCAATAGGTTAACAAAAGAATCCAGAAATCACAGGGATGGAAGAAAACTAGAAATAACAGAATATGAGTTCTGTCTTAGGGAAGGAACCAACAAGAAATGGCCAGTGAGCCCTTGATTGATCGTTTTCCAATGATAGGAAGCTCACTTCTTCACATGGCGGCTCATTTCACGGGTGGATAAGTCCATTTACTTGGGAGTGCTTCTTCATAAGAAGCCAAAATATTCCCTGTAAATTCTATCCACAAGTACAAGCTCTGCTCCCTGGAGCAACACCAAGCAAATCAGTTTCCGCATGATCATCCTTAATAATTTGCAAGAACCCCCTGGCATCACTGGCCCATTCAAACACATTCTCACATGTCATGATTTCCAAGCCCCGTCACCACCTTGGTACCCTCTTCCAGTTCATAACATTATGTCATATTCTGGTTCCTCACTAAATGTTCCCCATCAGAACATTCCAGTTTTGTATGGATTAGTATTGCCAGGAATTATATAGAGGTTAATTTTCCAGGAAGCTAGATAACAGTCACAATATGGCTTTTTATTTATTGATATGTTTACTTTAAAACAATGGAAGATATCCTCTGTAACCAGCCAAAGAGATGAAATTCAAATTGGGAAGGAGGGAGAAATTCTGGAAAGGATTCCAAATTCATACGCTGAAATCCTAATTCCCAGTATGATGGTGTTGGGAGGTGGGCCCTTTAGGAAGTGATGAGGTCATGAAGGTAGAGCCCCCATGAATGGAATTAGTCCTTATAAAAGAGATCCTGGAGAGCTCCCTTGTTCCTTGTGTGATGTGAGGACACAGGGAGAAGTCACCCTCCATAAACCAGGAAATGAGTTCTCACTAGACACCAACTCTGCTGGTACTTTGATCATGGACTTCCCAGCCTCCAGAACTGTAGGAAATAAACTGCTATTTATTTGCCACCCAGTTTATGGTATTTTATTATAGCAGCCTGAATGGACTAAGACACCAGGAGAGAATAAGTGTGTGGGTGGGTGTGTGGGTGTGGGTAGGTGTGTGTGATGTGCATATATAAGCACACATATAAACACCCAAAAATCCTTATGCTGAGGCTTTGTGAGATATGTTATTATTGGAAATAGGAACAAATGTAACACAACGAATAGATAATAGAAGAAATTTATATAGAGGCAGGAAGAAAGAGCAGCAGATAAGAAGAAAAAAAAAAAACCTAACCACTCTTGTCAACAATTTTATAAAGGCTACACTTTGGGGACTACTGTGAGCATAAATGCATACACTATGTCAGCTGGGGTGGGAAAAAGGAAGAATTATGAACCCACACATTGAAACTGGTGTGAAACAGCTTTATTTCACAGGGCATTTAGAGGCAAAATAGGGGCATCATCTCTAGAATCTTAAAAGTATTTTCCAATAGTGTAGGTAGAACACAACTTGTGGCTCACATATCTTTCAACCATAAATAAATCTCAGCACACCACTGGAAACACACATGGCCTTTAAAACTAATCCTTCAACACTAGTGGTAAATAGAGTACCAGCATATCTGTGGGGCAAAATACCAGGTTCTGTGGGAGATATGGGGAAAAGCCAGTCACCTAGAGTGATAACCCTTTACCATTCATCTTAATGTTCTTTTTCCATTGCCCAGGGTTGAATGAAAATTGCATTTAAAAACCGACAGATTATATGCAGAGACCTCTCTTATACTATCGTGGTTTTGTGTATAAGAAAAAGAACCCTTTTATTCTCAATAATCAGGAAAACAAACTATGCTACTAGGTTTTTCTGAAACTGTCAAGATAAATTAATGAAGTAAAAACTGGAGTTATGTGTATATGTAGACAGATAGATAACTAACCAGATACACCGTTACTGACCTCATCAACTTGCTGTTCCAGCTTCAGATTTGCTTTGCTCAGGCTGCTGAGCTTCTCCTCCTCCATGTGCAGGTCATCCAGGGTCTGCTGATGGGCCTCCTGCACAACCTTGGCTGCTCTGTTAAGTTTGCTGATATCCTCATTTAGAAACTCTACTTCCTCAGTCAAGTTCTTGACCTGTGGGAAGAAGATGACAGCTTCATTAAAGCCACTGCTGGAAAGTTGGGCATAACACTGAGGGTCATTTCTCTTCTGTCGTCCAAAACTACGCATGAGGTATCCAATGTCACAAAAAGCTGTATTTAGCCAAATTCCTGATACGCTTTCTAAAGCTACATTTAGTTTTTCTCCCACAAAAATGATCTGTTATCTGTCATGGTGAGGAAATGGAGTATTCTGTTTAAACATTAATATGGGTAAATAATTAACATTATTTATAATTATTTAACATTATTAATATGAACTAAATTGGATGGCCAATTTAATTCACATTATTATATAACAGTAACAACACTAAAAGCAATTGCAATTTCTTTTGAGGAGTCATGGCATGTACTGATTGTGTTGTGCCTCAGTATCCCAAGAAAGTGGCAGTTAAAGAAAGGTTCCAGCTGATAAAACATGCAAACATGGAAGTTGACTGTATCAGGCCCATGTGCTTTTTATGAAAGGGAATCAATAAAAATAAGAGTGCTACTTAATAGCCTGCCAAAATTACGGTGTCACTTTGGAGATTGTGTATCAGAGGCTTGATGCGGACTCCTCACTGTCCTCAATCCACACACAGATGCGCAAGTTAAAACCCTCAAACAAACTCTCAGCCAAAACAAAACATGAAAGCCCTTAACTAGAATTAAAGTGACATCTTCAAGGTCAAACTCCAAATCAATGACACAGCTGGGGACTCAGGCACATCCCAAATTATCTTTTAGCAAACCATATCATGCTCCCTCTCCTTCCAAAAAAAAAAAAAAGGGTTCTTACAGGCCCGATGAAACCATTTTACTCTATTACAGAGTTCAGATGCAATAGGATTGAAACAAATGAAAATGTTTCATTTGGGAGATTAAATAAGGTTCCATAAGTTCAAATTGGAAATCTGAATTGGGACAGCATAGTTTATCAGACTCTATATTTTGTGCCAGTTCTGACTCTCAATGCTGTAAAGTTGCAGGCCACTGTGTTAATTAACTTGAATAGAGCAAGTCAGATACCAAAACCTGATTTGAGAGTGGAATTCTGGCTGCTAGGCCTTCTTAACTAACATTATGGAAAAAGTACCTTGTGCTCTGTAGTACGCTTCTCCTTCTCTGACTTCACCAACATTGTTTCCAGGTCATCGATTTCTTTCTTCAACTCAAAACATTCATCTTCGAGTTTCCGCCCCCTGGCAGTCAGCTCAGAATTTATCTCCTCTTCTTCCTCCACCCTCTCCGACAGCTCCTTTACTCTGGCCTCCAGCTGGATCTTGGATTTAATCAGCCACTCGCACTGCTCTTCAACATTTGCCAGTGTCTCTTGCTCCTGCCATGATGAGGAGAAAATTGTTGCCAACAGCTGGAAGTAATTTATCAGCTAGGCGAAAATGCTGCTTAACACACAGCAAAGAGATAATTGCCTGCCCTCTGCCCAGCACTTTCACCTACCTTTCCTAAACAGCTGCAATAATATTCCCAGGTCCCTGATCCGATCACTGAGAAGTGGAGAAGTTGCTTGTGTTTGGAGGTGCTTTCAATCTCTCAGGCCAATTCAGTAGATTAGATTACTTCTTCTAAAGCACTTAATAGAATCCTGGTGGCCTAAAGGAGCTAGCATGCCTCCAAAAATCAGTGGTGTGCTGCTTAAACCACAGCTTCTGGAAATATCCATGTAGGCACAGAGTTTGAGGTTGATAACTGCTCAGGAAATCATCTTTTAAGAAAGCAGAGTTCCCTCTGAATATTGCACTGTAACTGTTATAAGTGCATGGATGTACGTGTTTAATATACATCTCTTCTAATAAATTGAGCTGAGTCATATGTTTTTTAAATTCATAGGCTAAATTTAGAATTCATAAGGTTATTTGCAAGTCACTAACTAGAGTTCACTGTTATTTCCAACTAAAATTTTTGCCTCAATGATTCTGCCAGCACGGAGTTACACAAAGAGCATGTGGTACTCTTTCATTTATCCTTTCACAGGCACTGCCTCCAGCTCTTACTGGGTGACCCATTGTTTCTGTGTTATGGGTCAAGTAAAAAGCAAAGGGGCTTTTTACTACAGAGCACCTTTCATAACTTTAGACCCCTCTAATTTGTCTTCTTTATTGGCTAAATAAAACCTCTTCTTCATGAGCAAGTTCTTAATTGTTGCGGGTCTTGCTGTAATATAACTTTACATACATTTTCACCTTCCATCTCGAGACCTCACCTATCCTTCATAATATGCCAGTTTGGGCAACATATTAATGATCCATTTGCCTCACTTAACTTGTGTCTGCTAATTAGATCAAGAGTGGGGGGCTGGGGGGAGGTAAAAATCCAGGCTATTGGCCTCTGAGTAGCTCCTGGCTGGAGAATGGCTGCCTACCCAGCAAACGGGGCTCAAAGAAGCACAGATGGAGAGAGGTATAGAATAATAAATGTACAACTTCACTGAAAACCCCAGAACAGGGGCTAAATAGAAAGAAGTATCAGGACATTTAGGAAGGGTCAATGCAAATCAGAGAAGCTTCCAATGTATGGGAAATAATGGGGACATTTTATCTTAGTTCACCCCAGGTTGACAAGCAGAACAGTTTTTGCTGCATTCCATTCAGCCTGTATACAAGACCTGTCACCATCACTGAACAAAGAGGACAGTCCAATCGACCATCATTGATCTCTTCATTAAACATGACAGCAGGATTTGGGGGCTGAGCAATGGTGTGGCAGTTTAGCAGTAGGAAGATTCTTTCCCCAATGGCAGCTCTCTGACATACTCACAATGTTAATTGAAATGGGGTCACTCAGTTCTGCTGGAATTTTGACTAAGCAAAGAAGGATTTCAAAATATTTCTTTTTTTTTTTTTTGGATTCTTTTGTGTTTAGCTTTCTCCCTTAAAATAATCATAAATAGATATTATATATAATAATATATAATGATAGCTCTGTCAACTTCTTAATCACAGTTACAATCTGAACTCATCTCAGCCTTCTTGGGTTTGCTCTAGAGTTTGCTTCCATGTGTTTCCCATGCTCCCTACAATGACCTTTGACATGCATATCAAGCTTTTGTCTACCATGCCCTACACAAGCTGGGTCCATTTCTATCTCCTGCATCACCCCAGGTAGCACTGGCTACTTTCCATCAGTAGGAAGAATGATAGAAACTGGGAGGCGAGGTCTCAACCAAAGTTACCTATTCCCTAAACCAAAATATTTTACAAATTGTGATTCTTACAGTTTCTTACAGTAGCTTTGAAATGGGGCCCAGGAATTTGTATTTTTAACAAGCATACCAGGTAAGACTGTATACATTGAAGTTGTAGAATCACTGCTATGTTAAATACGTATCAGAAATGGGGGTTTGGGTGTAAAGTCTTACATAAAATACAGCCTGTTGGCATGCTGGTAGATAATACAGCTCCAAAATATTAAAAAGTAATAATAATAAAAGAATAACTTGTGTCAGTCTGAAAGCACTAAATTTTCTGTTTTTAGTAGAGTTTAAAAACAAGAAAAACTGTTGTTTCTTGTTTAAAAAGCAAGATAAATTATATTTGAACACAGCATTTTTCAACTTAATGCTGTGCTAAGTAGAGAGGAAAGTATTATAAAGGTGGTTAAAATTTCATCCTGGCCCTTTGGGCTGTTTCAGGATCACAGTAGTCCGAGGGCTAGGGAGGAGTAACATGAAAGAGAGTGAGTAATGACACGTTAGCATCATACTGTAGACAGAGGCTTGAATGCCAAAACCAGGTGTTTGGAATCTAAAAATGTATGTATTATATGATCTGAGGGTTGCTCACCCATAAAGCGACATGATGCTTTTTTAAAGACAATGGTTCTTAATCTGGACTGGATATCAGAGTCACCCATAGAGATTATTTGGACCCACACAGAGTCTGCTTAATCAAAATATCTGAGAGTGGAGTCTAGGCATCTTTATTTTTTTTTTTTTAATGTTTCACAAATAAATTTGATACAAAGCCAAGGTTAAGAACTGTTTTAAAAACTCAGCTCATTGAACAATGAGAACACATGGACACAGGAAGGGGAACATCACACTCTGGGGACTGTTGTGGGGTGGGGGAGGGGGGAGGGATAGCATTAGGAGATATACCTAATGCTAAATGATGAGTTAATGGGTGCAGCACACCAGCATGGCACGTGTATACATATGTAACTAACCTGCATATTGTGCACATGTACCCTAAAACTTAAAGTATAATAATAATAAAATTAATTAATTAATTAATTTTTTTAAAAAAAGCTCATTAGTAATGTTGATTTGGACCCAGGAAGGGGAAGCAGGGAGACCAAAATCAGGATATCCGACTAGAAGCACACTGCAGCATTCCTGAAGATCTCAGTCAAGCTTTTCTTGGGACCTACTAAAATCCTGTCTGCTGATTTGCTAATGGGTCATGGGCTACATAGAAACTTTAAATTAAGACCCAGAGCTTCCTGGCCTCCATGATGTGCTATTATACAGTAAAAACCCATCTGATAATTTGTCCCTTTTTAAAAGACATCTTGCCAATTAAATCACTTCACTATGAAACAGGGTATCTCTTTGTTTTCATTGTCTTTGGTTTTATAAAATCCTTTGGTATTTGAAAACCACATGCATCTATTTTTTTGTTTCCGTGTCAACACTGCCTGCTTAACAAGGGAGTCTAATTAAAAACTTGATTTAAAGAACAAATGGTGGGGCTACTCACAGCCTGAAGCTGAAGAATCAGGTCATTTTTTTCCTGAGTGAGGGATACTTGCTTTGCTTTCAGTTCCTCCCTCTGAAACTCTGATTTCTCCAAGGCTTTCTGTAATTGTGCACACTCTTCCTTCAGTCCAGCTACTTCTTCTCCTACTTCTGAAGATTTAACAAGAGGCTTGATCTTGAAGAAGAGCCTCATCCAGGGCCAGTTCTTCACAGCCATGAAAGCTCTTATGTTCCATTGGATCAAAATAAGTGCATCCCTAAATCAAGAAAGAAAAAAGAAAAGCAAGTTAGCCCTGACTATAGGAGAATTAGTTCCCAAATTAAGATCCTCAATAAACACATATTTTTAGGAGTCATAAAAAATTCTTATTAGTCTTCAAAGCACTTTTATATCTGGACTTTCACTTGATTCTGGCAAAAACTCTCCAAGGGATATCTGGGGTTAGCAGTATTATGGACTAGATATCCTAAAAATGTTCCTACCACAAACATTCTTTGAATGAGAGCTGAACCTAAAGAGAGTAAGACATATAGAAGGCACCAAAAACTTGAACAATAAGTGAATGCATGCATAGCTTGGCCATCTTTATGGAAGGAGGAAACAAGTCTTGGTATTGTAAGAGTTTGTATTTTCATATTCACATGGATAAAAAGGCAAGGCAGAAACCTTCAAAGAATCTTACCCTTAATAAAAAGGAGGACTGAAAAATCCACCTACCAGCAAAGAGAGATATCAAATTAAAGCACATCTGATTTGGTGTGAGTGAAGACAAATCCTGCTTCAGATTTTTTTTTAATGATCCAGTACCACTGAAGTATTTAAGGTCTAAATTATACTGCCTGAATGATACACAAATATCCAAGAAATTAGCACAGTGATTTTTTTACTGATAATAAATACCTTTTCAACCCTTGGGGTAGGAAAATACAAAATTACACTGAAAAAAAAATACCTTAAACCCAAGCACCAGAAGTTCTCCTACATAAGGCCCCCTGAAGAGGGCTTACAATCCAAAGTTACAAACCACATATAGGAAAATGAAGTTGAGTGCATATAATAAAAAGTTTGATGAAACCCCCAAGATTTTCAGATAATTGAACTATCTGATGGAGACTATCAAATAATTATGTTAAAAATTATTAAAGGTATAAAGGAAAGAACTTTAGAAACAATGAACCACTATGACAAAAGGACACACAGATTTGAAAGAAGACCAAATAAAATGTCTAAAACTAAAAAACATAGCAGTTGGAATCAAATACTCAGTGGAAAAATTAAGCAGGTTATTAGAAATACTGGGGAAAAAAAACTAGTGAATTGAGAAAAGAATAAACCCCCACAGCTCCAGACTCCAGGATGACCCTTACAACCTCAGGTTCCAGGCCTGCCCCAGTGCCAGTCCAGACATGCAGCCCCAGACTGCAAGCCTACCCCCAGTGACCCAGACTCTAGGACCATCCCAATAATCAGTCCAGTCCCCACAGACCCAGGCCCCAGACCTATCCCCATGAACCCAGTCAACAAGGGTGTTCCAGTAGATCCTAACCACAGACTGATTCTCATGGCCCCAGGATCCAGACATACCCTCACTAAGTCCACTACCATGGACTTAGACACCAAGGCCTGCCCATGTGGATCTAAGATCTAGTGTATACAGCCTCCAGGCTAATCTTCATGGACCCAGGAACTGGGCCTGAATGTGCACTGAAACTACCACCAGGCCATCATGCCCCAAGACTCCAGCAGCATTCCTGCCAGTGGACAATGCCAGCTGGGCTGCCAAGAATCTCTGACCAAGCTTACTGCTGAAGAGGTTTTCCTGTTGAAGCCAGCCTATAAAGACCAAAAGGTGTACTACTTCAAACGCACAAACACTAATGTAAGGCCACAAGGATCATGAATAATCAAAAAAATGACACCACCAAAGGAACAAAACAAAGCACCAGTAACCATCCCTAAAAAAATGGAGATCTACAAAGTAACAACTGGAGAAAGCAAGAAATTACAGGCTTCTGAAACAAATGCACAAACAAACTGGACACCTGGAGCGGTTAGCAACAACGTCCTAAAATCTCTAGCCAAGATGTCTGGTGAAGATTTTGCCCAGTCAAAGCCAGTCCATAAACATGGAGGAGGGGGGATGCTGTTTCTTCAAATGTACAGACATTTATGCAAAGCTATAATAAACATGAAGAATCAGGAACACACAAAAGAATAAAAAGAATAAAATAAATCCCTAAAAATCCAACCTAAATGGAGATCTATGAATTGCTGACAAAGAATTCAAAACAATGATCTTAAAAAAAAGTTTAGTGAGCTACAAGAGAACAACTAAACAAAGTGAGAAAAATAATACATGAACAAAAGGGGAAGTTCAACAAGGAAATAAAAACCATAAAAAAGAACCACATAGAAATTCTGGAATTGAAGAACAAAATGGCTGGACTGAAAAAATTCCATGGAAAGTATAAATGCAATCAAGGGGAAGAATCAGTGAGCTCAAAGACAGGTCACTTGAAATTACTCATTTAGAGGAACAAAAATGAAAAACAAATGAAAAGAATGAAGAATGCCTACAGCACTTGTAGGACATCGGCAAGCTTACCAATATACACATTATGGGAGTTACAGAAGGAGCAGAGAAAGAGAAACAGAAAGCTTATTTAAAGAAACAATGACAGAAAGCTTTTAAATCTGGAGAGGAAAACGAACAACTAGATTCATTAAGCCCAAAGAACCCCAAGTAGATCAAATATAAAGAGATCTTCACCAATGCACATTATAATGAAATTCTCAAAAGTCAAAGAGAGAATTTTGAATGCAGCAAAACAAAAGTAACTTGTCACATATAATGAAACCCTCATGAGACTATGAGCAGATTTCTCAGCAAAAACCTTGCAGACCAGAAGAGAGTGGTGTGATATAACCAAAGTGCTAAAAGAAAAAAAAAAAACTAAAAACCACCAACCAGAAATACTGTATCCAGCAAGGCTGCCTTTCAGAAATGGAGAGATAACAGACTGCCACACAAATAAAAGCTGTGGGAGTTTATCGTCACTACTTGCCTTACAAGAAATGCTAAAGGGTGTTCTTCAAGTTGAAACAAAAGGATGCTAACTAACCACACAAAAATATATAAAAGTGTAAAACTCACTGAAAAGAATATAGTCAAATTCAGAATAATACTGTAATAATGGTGCATAAATCACCTTTAACTCTAAAATTAGTTAATGTACAAAATTATTTTAAAAAACTATAGCTATAATAACTGATTAATAGATATACAATACTAAAAAATATTAAATTGTGACATAAATAACATAAAATGTGGGGACAAGATAAGTTAAAATTAAGAGTTTTTATATGTAGTTGAAGTTAAACTATTGCCAGCTTAAAATAAGATGTTGTCAGCCTTAAGATAAACATATAACTACAAGATGTTTTATGTAAGCCTCATAGTAACCACAAAGAAAAAACTTCTAGTAAGTATTCAGAAGATAAAGAGAAAGGAATACCTAGCATTACAAAATATTATCACATCACAAAGGAAGACAGAAAGAAACAATTTTTTTAAAAAGTTGTAAAACAATTAACAAAATGGCAGTAAGTCTGTATCTATTAATAATTACTTTAAATATAAATGAAATAAGTTCACCAATCAAAAGACAGAGTGGCTGAATAGAAAAACCAAACCCAACTATATGCTGCCAACAGGAGACATACTTTAGCTTTGAGAACATACACAGGTTGAAAGTGAGAAATGGAAAAAGGTATTCTATGCAAATGGAAATTGAAAAAGAGCAGGGATACCTATAGTTACATCAGATAAAATATATATAAGTCAAAAACTGTAACAAGAGATAAAGAAAGTTATTACCTAATGAAAAATGTGTCAGTTCATCAAGATGATATAAATATCTTTATATTTGACAAGATTTAACATCCATCCATTCATCCATCATAAAAATTCTCAACAATGTAGGTATAGAAGGAAAGTACTGCAACATAATAAAGGCCATATATGACAAGCCCACAGCTAACATCATACTTAATGGTGAAAAACTGAAAGCTTTTCCTCTAAGGTCAGGAACAAGACAAGAATGCTCACTCTCAATAGTTTTTTTCAATATAGTACTGAAAGTCCTAGCCAGAGTAATTAGCAAAAAGAGGAAACAAAAGTCATTCAAATTAGAAACAAAGAAGTTAAAGTATCTCATGTAGAAAACCCTAAAAACCACCAAAAAAACAGAATTAACACGCTTGTAAAGTTGCAGGATAAAAAAATCAACATAAAAAATTAGTAACATTTCTATATACTAACAATGGACTATCCAAAAAAGAAGTCAATTCATAATAGCATCAAAAATTAAAATAAAATAGATAAGAATAAATCTTACCAAGGAGGTAAAAGAGCTGCATGTTGAAAACTATAAAACATTGATAAAAGAAATTGAAGACACAAACAAATGCAAAAATATCTTGTGTTCATGAATTGGAAGAACACAGGATATTTTTGGTTAAAAGTCCATAGTCCCCAAAGTTATCTACAGATTCAATGCAAACCCTTTTAAAATTCCAATGGCATTTTTTACAGAACTAGGAAAAATTCCTAAAATTTATATGGAACCACAAAAGACCTCAAATAGCCAAGACATTAGAAACAAAGCTGGAAGAATCACATTACCTAATTTCAAAATATGCTACAAACTATAGCAATCAAAACAGCATGGTATTAGCATAAAAACAAACATATAGTCCAATGGAACAGATCAGAGAACCCAGAAATCAATCTATGCATTTATGGTTAATTGATCTTCAATAAAGTTGCCAAAAACACACAGTATGGAAAGGACAGTCTTTTCAATAAATGGGGTTAGTAAATTAGATATCCACATGCAGAAGACTAAGTGGATCCTCATCTCACACCATATACAAATATGAACTCAAAATGAACTAAAGACTTAAATGTAAGATCTGAAACTGTAAAATTACCAGAAGAACACTTGGGGAAAAAGTTTCTGACATTGGTTTTGGCAAATTTTTTTAATGTGACCCCAAAATCAAAGGCAACACAAGCAAAAATAGACAATGGGATTACATCAAACTAAAAAGCTTCTGCATAGCAAAAGAAACTATAAACAAGGAGAAGACAACCTATGGAATGGGAGAAAATATTTGCAAACTATACATGAAATAAAGGGGTAATATTCAAAATTTATTAGGAATTCAACTCTATAGCATGAAAACAACCCCATTAAAAATCAGCAATGACCTGATAGACATTTCTCAAAAGACTACAAATGGCCAATAATATATGAAAAAATGTTCAACATCACTAATTATCAGGGAAATACAAATCAAAACCACAATGAGATATCATCTCACACCTGTTAGAATGGCTACTAAAAAACAAAAGATAAGAGTTGGCAAGTATGTGGAAAAAGGGAACCCTTGTACACTGTTGATGGGAATGTAAATTGGTACAGCCATTATGGAAAACAGTATGAAGGCTCCTCAAAAAATTAAAAATGGAACTACCATAGGATCTATCAATCCCATTAATATTTCAAAATACTAATGAAATTAGAATTTTGAAGACATATCTGCACTACTATGTTCATTGTACTATTATTTGCAATAGCCAAGATATGGAATCAACCTAAGTGTTCATTGACAAATAAATAAAGAAAATGTGTCATAAATATACAATGAAATATTATTCAACCTTAAAAAAGAAAACATTGTCATTTGTGACAACATGGGTTAACCTAGAGGACATTATGCTAAATATAATAAGCCAGGCACTTAAAGACAAATACAGCATAATCTCACTCATATGTGGGATATTAAAAAAGTCAAACTCACAGAAGTAGAGAGTGGAATGGTGGTTACCAGCAGCCAGGGCATGGGGAAAATGAGGAGATGTTGCTCAAAGGACACAACGTTTCACTTATGCAAGATGAGTAAGTTCTGAGGATCTAATATACAGCATGGTAACCACAGTTAATAATACTGTATTGTATACTGGAAATTTGCTTAGAGAGTAGACCTTAAATGCTCTCACCACACACACAAAAGATAACTTTGTAAGGTGATGATTAATCAGTTTGATTGTGGTAATCATTTCACAATACCTACATATATCAAAACATCAGATTATACGCCATATATACAATTTTTGTCAATGATAACTGAATAAAGTTAGAAAAAGGAAAAAAATAAACACAAAGAAAGTAGAAGAAAAGAAAGAATAAAGGTAAGATCAGAAATTAATGATCTAGAAAAAAGTTTAAGTGATTTATTAAATAGACTAAATAAAGATGTGGCATGAATGTTCAAGAAAAAGGAGAGAAGCCACAAAAAAATACTAGAAATGATAATACTCTAGAAATATAAATAATTTAGGATTATGCTCTAGGAATAGAATTAGAGATACAGTAGAGATTTAAAAATAATAAGGCCAGGTACAGTGGCTCATGCCTGTAATCCCAACACTTTGGGAGGCCAAGGCAGGCAGATCACGTGAGGCCAAGAGTTTGAGACCATCCTGCTCAAAATGGTGAAACCTTATCTCTACTAAAAATATAACATTTAGCCAGGTGTGGAGGCACACGCCTGTAATCCCAGCTGCTCAGGAGGCTGAAGCACAATAATCACTTGAACCAGGGAGGCAGAGGTTGCAGTGACCCGATATCATGCCACTGCCCTCCAGCCTGGGCGATAGAGAGAGACTCTGTCTCAAAAAATAAAATAAAATAAAAAATAAAATAAAAATTGATCAAATTGAAAAATTCAAAAGAAATGTAAAATTTTTTTAATAAAAGAAAGCTTTCCTGCACTAATTCAAGAAGAAAATATCTCATTAGACATGTAACCAATAAATAAATTGAATCAAAATATAAAATCTATCACAAAAGAAACACCAGATCCAGATGATTTTACTGGCAATGTCTACCAAAGATTCAAAGACCAGTTATAAACTGGTTCATGTTTTGAAGAGAGAAAACATTCTTCAACTGTTTTATGAGGTTAAGATAACCTTGATTCAAATTCAGATAACATAGCAGATGAAAAGAAAATTACAGGCCAATCTTATTCATGAATATTGATGCAAAAATCTCATGGTGATATTACAATCAAACCCATCAATGTATGAAAATATTTCTTAACCAAAGTAAGTTTAACATTTTTAAAAATCTGTTAATATATTTCCACACATTTATAGATTAATTCAGAAAAACCATGTGATTGTTTCAATAGATGCAGATAAATGATTAAATAATTTCCTGATAAAAATGCTTAACAAAATAAAATAGAGGGAATGTCCTTCATATAATAAGTCATTTCTACAAAAAAAAAAAAAACCTACAGAAAACATCATTTGTTAAAGGGAAATGATAGCTTTCCCCAAAGTCAGAAATATGAAGACATTTGGCAAAAGTTTTTAAAGGCTGATATACCACAAGTGGGTGAGAACATGGGACAAGGGGACTCTCATACATTGCTGGTGGAGAGTATGATATATTAGAAAGCAATTTGGCAACATCTTGCAAAATTGCAGTTGTGTGTGACCTACAACCTATTATTAATTCATGCCCTAGAGAAGTGCCACTCAAAGTGTGTGCCTCAGACCAGCTGCTATCCACAAATTGTTATCAGAAAATGGAGTATTTTGAGTAATGATGCCCTCAAGAAACTCTTATGTATATGAATGGGGAGACATTTACAAAAATATCACTGCAGAAGTTAGTAGCAACAAAAAAAAAGGAAATAACAAATATTTACTTTAGCTGGAAAATTGATAAATAAATTATGATATATTTATATAATGGAATACTATACAGCAGTTAAAATCAATAATCTAGCCCTAGATTCATTAACATTGATATATTTCAAAGAATAATACTGAATATAAAAGACAAACTTCAGGACAATATATACAAAATATTATTTACATGAAGACTAAGCACATGTAAAATCATGTCACATTTTAAGGATATCTGCATATCGAGTAAGTAAAGGTATGAAAACATACTTTTATATAACATATATAAAACATGGAATGAGAAACACAAACTCAGGATCTGAGAAGGAAAAGGTAAGACTTGGATTACAGCAGAACTATATGGAGGCTTCAACTATATATGTTAATTTTTTTTAATGTTGTTAGCAATTACAGAAAAAAAATATTGAGTTGGCTGGGTGCCATGGCCCATGCCTGTAATCTCAGCAATTTGGGAGGCTGAGGCAAGAGGATTGTTGAGCCCAGGAGTTCGAGACCAGCCTGGGCAACATAGGGAGACCCTGTTTCTACAAAAATAAGAAATTAATAATAATAATGTTAAGAATTGATATATCTTCATGATGGCTCCATGAGTATGCATTATAGTATTTTCTGTATTTTTTATTTACTTGAGAGCTTTCACAATAACTTTTGAAGTCATGATTTAGAGAGAATGGATCATAAAGGCTTCACTTTAGACATGAAGAAAGTAAACTATGGAGAAATTCAGAATCTTACTCAAGTTTACACAACTGGTCCTAGAAGCCATGTTCTGTGACCCCCAAACTCCCATACCACATTGACCACTATATGAGAGTCACAGAAGACCCTTAAGAGTCATCTCTCTAATATCTTTGACATCACCATGTAATAATCTTTTTCTCTTGGGAAAAAACAGAATTAACAAATTGTCAATTAAACAAGTTACACCAAGATCTGTAGACCTTTCTTCAGAAGACAATATATGCTAACGAAAAAGTAAATACAACTTCAGCATCCCTTGCTCACAGTCCCTTTGTTTGGAGATTTTGCTAGCTTGCTTTTCATGATTCTATTAAACAATAGACAAAACCAATGCCTAAGAATGTACAAGCATGGTGATAAATGTCCCTAGTGAACCTGTCTGAAATAAAGTAAGAAAGTTATGATTACATGTCAACAAGAGCCACAGTTTCTGACCCAGGGGAGGTAACAAAGGGGTCAGAACACCTCGGTCTTTGAAGCACACTTCCCCAAAGAGTTGGCTGTGGGATATATGCAAACCTTTCCAGGTCTGCTTCTGATATAAATTGTGAGTCACACCACTCTCAGAGATCCAGACTTCTCAGAACATAAAAATCTCTCTCAAAGGGAAGCCTGAAAGCATGACAAGAAATATCTGAATTATGCTTATATTTGGTTGAATAGGGCAATAAAAGCCCTTTGCACTCTGTCCTTTTGTTATCTCATGATTTAAAAATGTTTAAGACCCAGCCTAAGCAGAGGAGGCAGCTCTTGACCTACTATAAGGCAATGAGATTAGTTGCACTGGTTGAGGCACACTATTACCCTAGCAGTTGGGGAGCAGGGTGGGCATATAATACCTTTCTTCCAGAATCTTCTGGAATTTGATTCGCATCAGTTTGCCCTGTGCTCTGGCTTGGAACAATGTGAAGACTTTAGATAGTCTCTCATCTCTTATTGCTTCCAGTTGGCCCAGAAACCCAGCTTTAAAAAACACCTAAAGGAAAAGTCAGATGTTAGCTCCACTGATAATGGGTATTCAGCAAATGTTTATTAAATGATCCTGTGAGCAACTGTTGTGTTCCTAGGGATAACTGTATCAATTCCATTTCTTGTAAGTTTTATTTAATGTGTAAAATCTACTTCTTAGAAAGTTTGATTTTATAAATCTAAAATGTGAAAAAAAAAACGTTATTAAATCATGTGGTTCTATTGTTTGCCTAAGAACTTAAACTATTCTTCCCCTTATCTATTAATAATGTCTCAATTGTTTAGGGAACCTGGTTTAAGTTTTAAGATGGGCTCAGGCATGCAGTGTGCCAAAGTACCAGGTAGGGTTCTGCAAACATTTTCTGTGAAGGATCAGATAGTAAATATTTTTAGGCTTTATGGGCTATACACAATCTCTGTAGGATATTCTTGTTTTTTTAAACAATTCGTGAACCATCTAAAACCATTTTTAGCTAGTGGGCCATATATTAAAAAAACAGTCCATGGACATGGCTCTTGGGCCATAGTTTGCTGACCTCTGTTCTAGAGTAAGGCACTTTTGTCTAGGCATCAAATAATCCACAAAAGTATTTTTTCAAGAATGATTACTAACAAACAAGGTGAAATGAGTGAGGTGCCTAAAGCACACATTTTATGGAGGCACTAAGTGTGAGAGTGCCCTGAGAGTGTGTGCCTTTCAACCTCACTTGCCCAACCCTGAGAATGAGAGCCTCTTTGAAATTTGTGCCTTAGGAGTTTCACTTGCCTCAGGTCAATCTTGGCCCAGATGAATAGTATACAGTAAAAATAACTAAACACACAAGGAAGGAAGGCATCATCAGTGAAAATCAGCAGAAACAATAAACAGCAGAAACTGATTCTCAGGTACTCAAAATATGGGAGTCAACATTTTATAACCATATCCTACAGAGTTCTAATTCTATGAGGTCTTTATCCTGAATTTTTTAACTCTCCTTCAAATAATTTGTTCCTTATATGAATGTCATTAGGAACAAACTGATGTTGACTGCCAGATAACACCAAATCTATTGATAAGTTAGAAGTTTCCCAAAATATGTGAGTCATGCCAATATCATCTAAGATGAAGTAGAATTTAGGGAATCACATTTAAGGAAGTTGGTTTTGGATTAATTTTTTGATAGTGGGTTAACTTTAAAGTTTTAAATTACTCAGAAAAATTAGTCCCTAAGAGAATACTGTCCCTGAAAGAATATGGTGGATGAATCAGTTCACACACAGACAAGCCATTAGCTCCAGGAAGCTGATTCACTTTTTCTAGCTCTGATATATACACATTTTCTCATAACATCAGGTTGATTCAGTATTTTATATCTTGACACAAATTTGCTTAGTTGACTAATTATAAAAATGTAAATGTAGTCAAAACTGAGGTTTAAAAAACATTGAATATTTTTCTCAAACAGCACCGAAGTTTTCACCTTCAGCTAAGATCTGTTTGTGATATTTATGGTCATGAGAGCTGAAGAATGCCTTATAATTGAGCATTCACAGGTATTTTAAGATACACAGTCTTCCCCCCATTCGTCTCCAAATGCATTCTTTGCAGTTTTCTGGTTACCTTAGTGATTCCAAATCGGTACTGGGTATGGTCTATCTCCAAGGAGCCAAGTAATTCTTCAGCTGCTTTTCTGCTGCTCACAAACTTGCTCTTTGGAAAGGTCCTTGGATTCAGAATGCAGTACCTAATTTAAAATAAAGAAAAAATCATGAGTTTGGGAAATCATATTATTCAAATAAAGACTAATCTAGACAAATGAGGTGAAAGGAGACATAGATTTTTATCTCTGTTACTAATATGTTCAATTTTCACAAGATTCTTAGTAACAATAATGAGGGTACAAGCAATAATCCCTTGCATTGGTATAATAGTTTGTACTTTTCATATTGCTTTAGAGGCAACCTCATTTGATTGATTGCTCAATTAGGCAGGGGCAGGATTGGAAGAGGAAAGAGAGGGAGGGAGGAAAGCATAAGTATCTCTACTGTATAGATAAGGAAACTGAAAAGCAGAGACATTAAATGTCTTTTCCAGGATTCCTTTACCCTGTTGGTGAGTTGGTGGAAAACAAGAAATATGCCTCCTAATTCTAAAGCAAGAAATATGCCCCTTTTTACTCTACCAAACTTTGCTCAAATTGATTTGATGACCTATAATTTAAACTTCTAGAATCCAAGAAATAGAAAAGATGCCACTCCTGCCTCCTGCCATACACCCTGCTGGCTTCCTTCCTTTCAGGGGCTTGCTAGTAAAGCCACAGCCTGCTTGGATAGCAGCTACGATTAAGTATACACAACATTTCAGAGATTCAATTCAGCCTCCATATGTTTCTTCTGTATATATTTCTTCTATATGTGGGTCTATTATCTTTGTTAATAGAGATTTAAGGATATTACAGTTACATGGATGTTGGATTTAAGGGGAAATAATAATGGAACTCTGTCATCATATATCTTCCCACCACCAAAACACATCGATTTGTAGTCTGGAGGACATCAACCAAACAAACAATGCATGCCTAAACACTCGGAAAGGGAGGAAAACAGAATGAACTGCCTCAGGCTTCTTGGATCCTAGAATGTAGGTTTACCTTTGTTTAAAATCAGCATACTGCAGTCGGTTTGGAAAACCTTCACGGCATATCCTAGTCCCTTCCAAGACACCATTACAGCGCAACTGCTGTAGAACCAAGTAAGGGTCCAGTATACCTGGAAAAAAAAAAGAGTCATGGTGGATCTGTGCCTGAAAAAAAATTATTGGGACAGATTTTGAACCAATTGCTGCATCTTGGGTTAAAAAGAAAGTCTGAATTGGATAGTTTCCACATGATAGGTCATAGATGTTCACTCACTTATGGCCTGATAGTACTCACAGTAATCATCCTATTATGTAGGCATCTCCAAATATGATTTCCCTGAAATTCCTTTAACATGGAACAAGCCCCTTAATTCACAGTCAGATGAGATGTTTATAAGCAAATATTCTTGGAAGGCAAAAAGATTACATTTTTTGCTAGAATGTAAATGGCTGCTCTACGTTCATTTGCCAACCAAAACCAGCCAGAAAGGGTGATAAGAACACAAAAGAGAACTGCCTTCTCCGTGCAGGAGGGGGAAGGGATAAGAACAAGGAAGAATAAAAGGAAAGGGGAAGATAGACACAACCACAACATTCTGTTTACAGTTTTGCTTAGGAAGGACCTGTCCACATCCCAGACTTCATTCTCCCCTTATTTTCATGAGAGTGCCTAAATTCTATTCTGTAGTATAAGCATCCTTCTGTCACCTTCTCGTTCATCAAAAGAAGCTCTACTGCAGCTGTCAGCTGCAACGTCCAATAGAAGCCTTTGAAAAACCATCCAAGAAGCCACTGTCCCTGCCCTCAGCAAGTCTTCTGAAAGAAGCCAAGGACCACATCTCCTAACACAAATTCCTACTATGGTATTACATGAAAAATAAAAAAAAAAAAGGACTCCATGCCCAAGGTCACAGAAATAAACTTAAATCATATACCCATATTTCTATACTCGAATCCCTTTCACAGATAGAAACAGATGATGTATAAGAAGGCACAAGTAGGCTGGCACAGCGGCTCATGCCTGTAATCACGGCACTTTCAGAGGCTGAGGCGGGCAGGTCACTTGAGGCCAGGAGTTCGAGACCAGCCTGACCAACTTGGTGAAACCCCATCTCTACTAAAAATATAAAAATTAGCCAGGCGTGGTGGTACATGCCTGTAGTCCCAGCTACACAGGAGGCTGAGGTACAAGAATTGCTTGAACCCAGAAGGCAGAGATTGTGGTGAGCCAAGATCATACCACTGCACTTCAGCCACTGCACTCTAGTCTCAGCAACAGAGCAAGACTCTGTCTCAAATTATTTTTTTTAAAAAAGGGAGGGGTACAGGGAGTAGAATCCTATGACACCTTAACATCAGACTCACTCATTCTCTTTAAGTACATATGAATAACTGTTTTGATTAGATCATGAAGCTTTTCTTATGACTTTGTCTTATGACTTTAAGAAAAAAACCAAACCTGCTGAAATCCAAGTTGACTCGATGGGAAGCAACTCTAATAGGTAACAGAATTGCTCCAAAATAGAACTCAGCTAATTAGATTCCTTGATAGATGGAAGCAGTGTCCCTAGACACATCCAGAAACCCAGCTGATAGGAAACAATGAGGCACAAACATACAGCCGTGAATGAACATGAAAGTATTTGTATCGCAGAAACTCAAACTGCAGCATCATTGTTTTGTATCACACTTTCCCAAAATAGGCCATAGACTGTCAGGATTGGGGTCTTAATTACAGGAGGTTAATAAAAATGCAAGCTACTATGGAACCTCAGAGATCAGAACCAGCAACATCTGGCTATGTATTATAAGGGTGGTTAGTGCTCTGAAGACATAGGGCTTGTCATATACATTCCTTGGAGGCTGACAGCCTCCAAACCAAGCTCCAGAGGGGCCAGTAACTCCAAAGAGGTGGCTGGGAATCTTCAAGCTCATGAAGTAAGGAAAGCAATCCATGTAGTTAATTTTGGTAAAACCCTTGTTTGGGGAATTGAAAACATTAAAAAAAAAAATCACTACCATCCACCTATCACATCATCCCCCTACCACTATTCACTGATCAAAAGATAGCCACTACCCAGAGTTACATAACTAAAAAAAAAAATGAATGCTATTAGAAAGAGGGAAGAAGATGTTGGCATTGGCAAGGAGGACTAGAGGGTGTTCTCAACAATTAGAAATGGATTTAGGAAGTGTCTTTATGGTCAATTTAGATAACTCAGACCAAATAACTTCCTTTATGCTGAAATATCTACCTTAATCCCCTAATTGATTATTCAATTCCATTTTTATTATAGTTTGTCCTTGTAGACAATGGCATGGGAGCTCACTCATGTTCAGCATAAAATTCAAGGAAGAATTTAAATAGTAATATCAAACATTCTAATGTTGCCCAATTGAGACCGCTTTGTGAAACCCTTCTGTACATCCATTTCAATGGCAATATTGAGGAGGTTCCAAAGACCTCATTTTTAACATATTTTCATTTTTCTATATGAAATTCTACCCTTATATAAAAGGCACCAATAAATATTTCTTTAAAAGATATTCAATATAGCTAATATCAAATCTATTTCCTAGTGTGAATTACAAAGAAATCTAGTTCTTACCTGGTATTTTGTTCACATTGGGATTTATGCATCTCACAAAATGAGGTGCTGTTGATTTCAGATTAGTCATCAATTTATTCAGGTTTTCCTAAAATGGAGACCATAATAAACACAAAATCACTTTGCAAATCACTAAAAACACCAATCCACCTCACAAATGTCTCCAAATCTATCAACTTAATCTCACAGCCAAGATGTATTCTAACAGTAAAATAATGAATTCAACATTCTTTACTGCCTACCAAATGCACATTATTTCTTTCCTATGGCAAGTCAATATTTATTTGACAGACATAGTTAAATTGTGAATCATCTCTACCTATTTTGAATTTGATAGCAATATCAAAGTTATGGCTGGGCTATAAAATGGCTTGAAAAAAGAAATTGTTTCTCAAGTTCTCTCTCTGTGGAAAACCTTTATCTTAGGTCAGATTCTCTAGAAGCCAAACCTGAGATGGGAATTCTGGTTCAAGAGATTTTTAGGGAGTGAAGAAAGCTGGGAACAGCAGGGGAAGAGAAAAGCAATGATTCAGACTCAGCTTTAGTCTGATCCTTGCAAGCAAGAGCTGTAAACACGAATGCACCAATTGCAGCATAGGTGGTCTCCCTTGAGGCAAGGGAGAGGCTAAAGTCTGGAGAGGAGGGCAAAGAGGCAGCTTAGTTTCCCCTTTGGCTAAGTGCAATTCTGACAACTCAGAGTTGTTATGAGCCAATATGCACATCAGCTGGAAGATGGGTGCAGGCATGATAAAGGGGATGTAAGTGGGAACAAACAGTGTCCTCTAAAGCCCTTGATAATAACAGCATAAACTTCAACTTTTCCAACTTGCTAGCTCCTGATACTTTATCCTTATTTGAAGATGTGAAATGTCAACTAAATAATAACATATGCAGATTGTGAGGCAATTAATATATGAATAGACGCAATTAAAAATTACTTTATGCAGAGATGCAACCGTTTGGAATGAAGCTCCTTTCTTTCGTTTCTTCTCCCCAAATGGTATAGCTAGCAAAAAAAAAAAAAGAAAAAGATGAAAACATGTAAAAAGCTCATTTTTATCACATTATCCTACCCCACTGATGGAAGCATAAATTCACCAGAGTTCTAGAACAATATGGCAATATCTACCAAAAGCTTCAAAATATTTATGTCTTTTATCACAAAATGTATATTTTTAGTGTTTTTCCTTAAGGATATAATCAGGCAACTGTGCAATGATACTCACTGAAGCATTATTTAGTCATTGCAAAAAAATTAAGCAAAAATAAAATTCATCAACAAATGCACATCATAGGAGATTAATTTATGAGAGAATATGCATACAGTGAAACACTGTAAGCTTTTAAAATGATGATGTGGATCCATATAACTTATATGGAAAGATTTCTAGGATGTTTTTAGATAAAAAGTTAGTTTACAAAGCCTAAATTTTATATATGATGACCCTGAGTATGTATACATGTTTTTTTAAGTGCAGCTGTGTTATAGGTGACTATAAACATGAAAAATGTTGGGAGGTGTAAATACCAAAATGTAAACAGTTTGTTAATCTATATGAGATTACAGATAATTTTTATGTTCTTCTTTCAGTTTTTCTATATTGTCTGTGTTTTTAGCAACATTCATGTATTTATTTTCATGATTTATAAAAAATAATAAGTCTATTTCCATTTTCTTGAAGAAAAAGAACCTGTGCTAGGCCAACCAGCTTTACAAACATTTGAATAGTGCTAAGTTACTAAGATGTGCAACACAGCAACAACAAAATCCATAGGCAAGCTGGACAGAATAGGGTAGCTGTCAATATGGAAAACTAATAAAATATTCTCTGCGCCTGAGTAGCAACTGTGCGATGGCAGATGTCATGAAGCTCAATCACTAATGTTCTTTTGAAACACCCCAGGTCTCTCAGTGAAACACTTGACTTCTTTGTACTTCAGTTTTTCCATCTATGAAAAGGGAATAACACTACCTTTCATTAATTTTTTAAAAAGAATTATAACCCTGGTTTAAATTATTTGGATTCCCCAGGAGAAAGTATGGTTATCACAAGCAATTTAATGTTCAGATCCGTCAGAAACTTGGAGGCAAGTATTTTCAGAGGGTGCTTAAAGAATTATTTAAAAAAAAGGCCATTCTGAACAATTCTTGTCTTTTAGTTCCAAAGAACACAGTACACAACCTGAAGAGTTAGAAGACGATTTCTCCTCTAATTCTCTGCCCAAACCATTCTCTGATCTCTTATGATCAGAGAATTACTCAAATGGGAGTCATAAGCTTATGTGGCTACTATCAAACAGACTTCTCAGAGGTACTTTAGCAGCTATTAGAATCAGGCAAATGTACTGCCTGAAGATTAGCCGGGTCCAGTCACAATAGCTTCCATCTCTTCTTGAGGCAGGCCCAGAGGATTTCAGGCATGTTCCAGAATTATGTCATCATGTGCTGATGAAGCCAGAAAGTGCTAAATTTTCTCTCCATTCCCTATGTCAGTCGAGAGAACCAATCAGCCTGATAGGGGCTGGGAGTTAACATGCAGCTGGGTGTAAGATAACAGCAGGGTATGTTCGAAAGTGAGAGTACACACCCCATTTAAAGAACAGTTGGTGTACTGTTGCCATGGGGAAATCAGAACCCAGGCTGGCTAGATTATCTATTTCCCCAGAATTTCCATTTTTCAAAAGAAAACGGAAACTCAAATGTGCATGTGAAATCTGATTTTTTTAGCTTGTGTGGACCAAACAAAACGTGTTTGAAGGCCAGTTTCTGCTCAGAGGCTGTCGATCTGTGACTTTTGCTGTAAATCATGGAGAGCTTCCCTCTGTATGTAGTTAGCATTTCGTTCAGTGAGGCTGGTGTTAACAACTTTGGCTCAGTATCTTCAAATCCATCACATGATGGTGCAGAAGTTTTCACTGCATCGTAAATGCATGTAGCCTGTCTGTCTCTGTTTTGTTCATTCCTGGGAGACAGTGAGTAGAATAGGCACTAAACTAGAAAACAGAAGTCTATCTTTCTACCTAGCCTTTTGCCATATAGTAGATTTGTAAAATCAGGGATGCTACTTAACTTCTCTATATTTGTTCCTGTGAGAAGTTAAGTAGGATCCCTGATTTTATAAATCTACGACATGGCAAAGGCTAGGTGGAAAGACAGGAACATTCTGTATATATCTTAAAGTGTCAGGTAAGAAATGAGTAAGATAATGTATCTAACAGTACTTTGTAAATTACAAACTACTAAACAAGATTAGTTGTCAGAATAGAATGCCTGTTAAACAGGTATTTGCTGCATGCTAGAGGCTACAGTTGAATAAATCAGACATAATCCCTGCCCTCGTGAAGCTTCTAATAACCCTAAGTGCACAGAGTGCTGTGAAAGAGAATATTCTAAGATATTTGGGGCAATAACTATAATTATATATATATAGTTATATAGATATTTGGGACAATAAGTTATTGCCCCAAAATCATTCATCAAAACATGTTTTTTGTTTTCCCTTTGTAGCTAGGTGAAGTAGAAGACAAAAGCAGGCCAGGAACAGACTTCTTGAATCTATCTTAGAGCACTAGTACCATCTCCCTGAAGAACCCCCAGCCTGAAGACAGAAAGACTAATAAGAGGGGACGACTCAGACCACAGGGAGCAGAAACATATCACAGGAAAGAAGCAAGAATTTTTGCAAAAGCTGAGGCAGCCATGGGTTCCATTCTGAGGCTGAAAAATCAAGGAAGATTGTATGACTCACCACTGTCAGTACTCATGTAATTTTCAAAAAGGCTCGCCAGGAGTCTGTTGGAAGACTTCTGAAATACAGCTACCACTGTTTCATTAAGGAGGTCTTTGTTCTTTTCCAGCCAACCACTGATATTATAAGGTACCTTTGGAAAGGCATGCATTTCAGGTTAAAAAAAGAAAAAAAACTGCATAAGTTAACATGGAAGGCTGTGCATTACCCCTTTTTTTTTTTGAGACAGGGTCTCATTCTGTTATCCAGGCTAGAATGCAGTGGCATAGTCACAGTTCACTGTAGCCTCGACCTCCTGGTCTCAATCAATCCTTCCCCCTCAGCCTCCAGAGTAGCTGGGACTATAGGCACATGCCACCATGCCTGGCTAATTTTTTTTGTATTTTTATTTATTTTGTGTATGTGTGGAGATTTGGTTTCCACATGTTGCTCGGTTTGGTCTCAAACTCCTAGGGCTCAAGCAATCCACCCATCTCAGCCTCCCAAAGTGCTGGGATTACAGGGAGCCACCATGCCCAGCCTTTGCATTACTTTTAATAAATCACAAATTATATGGGTCCTTTACCTTTAAATCAGTTTAATGTAATAGTACAGAATAACCTCCAAAAGCCCATTGTGCAGCCCAGAAAGATTCTCAAGATTCTTATCATTAACATTGTCAAAAGAAAGGAACAGACAGGAAGGGAAGAAGGGAGAGAGATAGGGGAAGAAGTAGAAGAGAGGAGAGAAAAGAAAGGGGGGAGAGAGCAACAGAGAGGAAGGAAGGATTGAATGGCATTTCACACCAGCAGTCCTTTAAAGGCAAGAATGGTGAAATAATCCAACTGTCTCTGACATACAGTGAACATTCAAAAAAAAAACCAGCAATTGCAATGGTATTTTACTGTATATATCATTATAATTAATATGCCAGGATATCAAAGAAGAGAACTATAAACATATCTGTGTACAGCTGGCAGGCCATTTTTAGGTCGAAGTATTATTTTATCTTTTATCAATTCTCTTTTTGTTCCACCAGAGTCACCAGCCAGAAGTAGAAATGCAGAAAAAGGGGCATATACACTGGTGAGGAAATGAGGAGAGGTAGCAAGGGTCATTAGAAACCGTTTTTGGCCATAGTTTGGAGACCATTACTTCACATTGACTATTTCTTTACGGGAGAATAAAAAAATCTTCAACAAAAAGATCAACTGAAATCATTCATTCACACAACGTTAAGTTAAAAGGAAGGACAAATGGGGGAAAACCATGACTTTGATGGTCTCCATGCCTTTCTGAAGCTGCCTTGCTTTGAGTTGAGGTTGACAGAGTCCATTTGGAGATTTTTGACCTCTGTGCACATGGAATGCTATTGTTCATTTCCTGAGTGCTAAAAGGCTACACTACCTTTTTTGTGGAACTGAGATGTATTTTGTTCTTCTCTTCATTTAATCTAAACATTACTTAAATATCATCTAAGGACTTTGGCTGAGCGCATTTGAAACAAAGTCAGGAAAATTCAAGACCGGGGGTCCAGAGGTAACTCACCACTCCTGCATAATGGACAAGTTCAAAATGAGCTTCAAATTTCTTCTTATCAGGCTTGGGCTTCTGGAGATGAACCGACTTTCCAAAATGGTTGTCAAAGAGTTTGGTCTTGAAAGTCAGGTCTGTAGCCTTAGGAAACATACACTCTTCTTCAAGGATGGAAAGGATGCCCATTGGCTGTTGAAGAGACATAAGAGCAGCAGATTTCTTTAAAAACACCGGCACTTTCAGTAGGGGGTCAGTATAAATTCTTTCCCAGGAACCTAATCAGTTGACAAAGGGAAGAATATTCACTGCATAAAACTAGCAATCATCCATTCAACAAATATTAATTAAATATCTGCTACTTAATAACGATACCAATAGCCGCTGGTGATTGATGCAGCTGTGAGCCACATATACAAAGTGCCTGTCCTCAGGGTGCGTACATTTAGTGGAGTGGCAGACAGTAGGCAAGTAAACAAAGAAATAACTCCAAAAAACAAATGACTTAGTTTCATATAAATGCTCTGAGGAAAACACTCAAAGTAAAGAAGTAGAGAATGACAGGGGGTAAGGAGGTTTTAGATAGAGTCATTGGGTAAGACACCTCTCCTGAATGAGAACAACAAGCTGAGAAGATCTGTGCACAAGTATTCCAGGCAGAAAAATGAAGAATGCAAAGGCCCCGAGGCCAGAGCCCACTTGGCAAGTCTGAGGTCCTGCCAGAGGCCAGTGTGGGCAGAGAAAAGCTAGCTTGACGGAACACATTTTAAGAGATAATGTCAAAGGGGTAAGGAGCAGCTGGAGCTCAAAGGCCTTATAGGCTGTAGTAAGACATGTGGCTTTCATTTTAAATGTAATAGGAAGCCTTTGGAGGCTTTTTAAATGAAGTGCTGTGATTTGATATATGCTTAAAGAGGATCATTGGTTTAGAAAGTAGGGCTCATGGGCTCAGTCCTGCCTGCACTCTGTACTGGAAAGCCAGTGAGCTAAGAATGGCTTTTACATTTTTAAAGAGTTTTAAAAAACAAACAGATTGGGTGAGGTGGCTCACGCCAGCACTTTGGGAGGCTGAGGCGGGCAGATCACCTGAGATCAGGAGTTCGAGACCAGCCTGGCCAACACGGTAAAATCCTGTCTCTAGTAAAAATACAAAAATTAGCCAGGAATGGTGGTGTGTGCCTGTAATCCCAGCTACCCGGGAGGCTGAGGCAGGAGAATCGCTTGAATCTGGGAGGCACAGGTTGCAGTGAGCCCAAATCACACCATTGCACTCCAGCTTGAGCAACAGAGAGAGACTCTGTCTCAAAAAACAAAAAAACAAACAAAAAATGTTACTGCAAATCTCATGACCTCCATTAGCACACTTTTTCTCTAAAGGACCATATAGTTTCTGTCAGACCCTTGCCATCCACTTAGTCATTGAAACACTGAAAGCAGCATGCAACAACATGTAAACAAAATGAGTGTGGCCATGCTCCCATCAAACTTGATTTACCTAAACAGGCTGCAGGCTAGATTGGGTCCACAAAGTCAGTTTGCTGACCCCTGGTCTAGAATAGTGGTAGTGTTGGAGCTTATGAGAAGTCATTAAAAATAAGATATGCGTCAAATTTAGAGCTGAGTGCCAACTTGCTGATGGAGAGAATGTGGTGTGTAGGAAAATTTTATTGCATTTATATAGCGCATAATTTTTAAATGCATTTTTACTTTTATTAGACTTACAAATCCTTTACTTGACTGCAAATTTCCTGAAGGCAAAAACTATTTATAAAAAATGCTTACATTTTTCTACAGCATTTTACGCAGAGTCTTATACACAGTAGTGTGGTAGAAGGCCTAAAATTAAGGCCCAACATTATGTGTGCCTTGACATCTGGGAAAAACCAGGAGGGGCTCAAAAGTTCCCTTTCTGTTGTGCTCCCATGTGTTAGATCCCTTAGCCAAACACCTTCCTTATGGCAGGGACCATACATAGTGCCTGCTTATACCTGAGTAACGGGTTTCATTTCTCTATCAGCCCATGAAATTATTCAAACAAGCCTGTTGCATCCTTCTGTAGGATTCTATTGTCACGTCACCTATAATTACTACAAAGCCTGCCTCCTAAAGCCCCCGCTTGTTCACTCTATTCTCAGCATAACCCTCTCATGGCCCCGCATGGTTCAAGGTGTCCCCCCTGCAGGCTGTGAGCATAAGTGGCTAATAAAATGCTGGTCTCATCTGTCTAGTGTTGGATGTCATATGTTCAGCCTTTCCCATAAACCTAGGGCAGGATTTCCTCCTTCAGCAATGGGGTGAACAGGAAGCAACCAAAACAAATAGTTGCAAAATAGACTTACTTATTGGTTTAATAAAAAATAAAAGCCTCTGTTTTAAGGCTTATTTCCAATAATACTAGAAGTTCCTGGAGTGCCAGGATGATGCCTTCTGGGGTTTGTACATCATAACCCTTATCATAGTAGGTTCCGAGGTAACTAAAGTGTAGGCCCTCAGCACATTTCTGCTGAGTAATTAATTGACAGGTGAACCCTGAGACATACAGGTCTGAGTTCTGGGAACTTGACTGCTTTGCTGTGATCAATTATCAAACAAAATGTAAGAGTTGCCAATCAAAAAAAGGATGGAGTTATGTGTTTAAAGAGAATACTCATGTGCATACAAGATACAACTAGATATTAATATGATTCATTTTATATTAAAAACACAAGAATTAACACATCTGAAAAGCTTCTTTTGGGAGGTGATAACACATAATGCCAAGATGCTGCCAGTATTTAAAATATTTTAGAACTTTCTTTGGGATACCTGATACTATTGACTACTAACATGAAAAATTCCTGTTGTCTGATGGTATATCATTACATGCTAGGTAGTATAGTTTGGACTCAAAAACCAGTGAATGAAAAGTATTGAAGCCAATTTTCTCTTGAGGCTGGTAAAATTCTAAAATCTATCCTAATCCCAATATCGTGAGAAATTTTCCAAAGAGCTAAATTATTGGAAGAAGTATGTTGCCTTCTAGGGTGTTTACACCAAATGAATAGTAAGTTTTTAAATGTATAACTTGGAGAGTATTTATTAGGAAATAATAGGGAAAATCTCTTTACCAATGCCTTATGTATAACCATAAATATGTAATCATATATTAATACTTTAATATGTAAATTATTGATGTACAAGTTCTAAACAAACTAGAATATTTCAAGTAATAAAATAAGTATGAGCAAATCCTATAATAAATTTGTTCACAGCACAAATGTGAAAGGAGGTCACGGTAAACTTGAAGACCAAATTAACAATTAAAGTTTGTGTTAGAATACATTTTTTACTTTAGTTTGATATAAACTTTTTTTTTTTTTTTGAGATAGAATCTCACTCTGTTGCCCAGGCTGGAGTGCAGTGGTGCGATCTCAGCTCACTACAACCTCCACCTCCCAGGTTCTAGCTATTCTCCTGCCTCAGCCTCCCTAGTAGCTGTGACTACAGGCATGCGCCACCACATCTGGCTAATTTTTGTATTTTGAGTAGAGACAGGGTTTCACCATGTTAGCCAGGCTGGTGTCAAACTCCTGACCTCAAGTGATCCACTCACCTTGGCCTCCCAAAGTGCTGGGATTACAGGCATAAGCCACTGCACCCAGCTGATATAGACTTTTTTGTAAACTTACAAATATGAAACTTTTATGTAATGAAAATCCTTTTTTCTTATACGTATACAGAGATGCATGTTATACAACATTTTATATATATTGATGTGTTTTAGTACTTTCAAATTTTAAAAACATCCCATTATGCATTTTATTTCAAGGACTGAGTTTGATCATTAATATTTGCTACAAATCTTCTTCAGATAGCCCCAACGAACATAATGGGTCTTTTCAAAATTTAGAATCTTTTCAAGGAAGGCTTTGGTATTTTCATTTGCCTGACCTGGATCCTGTTAAAATTGTTTGTAGAAAACCAAAGACTTATCTTTTCCTTTTATCATTTGGTCAGTAATTTTTTCTCATTTTATTATATCAGTAGAAAATACAACAGGAAATTACATCCGTGATGCTAGTGTGTTATTTGGAATAACCAAGACTGGCATAAATGAGGCAACAGACTTCAGATCAACTAAAAATCAGTAACATTCACAGAACTTGTCAG
This sequence comes from Homo sapiens, assembly GCF_000001405.40. NCBI lineage: Eukaryota > Metazoa > Chordata > Mammalia > Primates > Hominidae > Homo > Homo sapiens. The sequence continues at coordinate 108,468,772 of NC_000003.12, forward strand.
GATCTGAACAATGTCTATGTCCCACGTTCCTGCCTGAAAACAGTATCTTGTCATAATCAAAGTGAGTATATATTATAGGTGACAATCGCCAGAAGATAAATCTGTTCCTCTGAGGACCTCCAGTTCTTTTGTTTCATTTCTAATGAGACAACTACGGCTCTTATAAGGCCAGAATACATACCACATCATAGTTGGTTCATCTTTATCACTGTTTTTAATCAGCTCATGTTTGATTCATTATTAATATGTTTTAATCAGCCTGTCTTTCCCCCAGGAAGTTCACTTGTTATAAAATAAATAAAATCAACGGGATATCTACTCCTGTTGGAAATAATAGTTATTTTCAAGAAGATCTAAAGCCTAATAAATGAAATTGATAGGACACGGATTGATAAAACCCAGGGCTTGCAAAGGACAGGGAGAGGTCAGTTGCCCTAGCTCCTTCCTAGCAGGATTGTTGAGAATCAACTGTGACAGCATAGCTAGAGTATTCAGGAAATGAAAGGCTTCAGACTGCCCAGATCCATCTTGAAGATTCACTGCAATCCACGATTATGGCGAGGCCCAAGAGGCATGTAACTGCTAACATGCCGCCATGCTTGCTCCCATGGAGAAAGCCACAGAAAGGACCATACGTAATCCCCCAGCAAACCTTGCTCATCTTTCCCAGAACATGCAGAAAGATTTCAGAGTATTGGGACATCACCAAATTCAGAAACTGTACACTGCAGCTAATTTACTAATAAGCCATGAAGTATTGTCATAAATTACTTAAACTAACTGGTACTTGTCCAATTAAATGAACAAACTACATCCTGCAAGGTAGTGGCCTTGAGGATTGATGGCAGTTGTTTGTTTGCATGCTAATTTGCCAAATTTTGTTAAGCTGCTCTGGGTCTACTCATTCACCTTATGTTAATCAGTTAGGCCCTACAGTGCTCATATTTTTAGCTCTGTGTTTTTCCAGTCAAGAGCATGACCATTTTTAAACTCAACAAGTTTCCGCTCACGTTAACAGTGGAGGCCATGCATTAGCATCAAATGTGCAGTGAAAGCCTGCATTAGAGATGATGGAGTGGGGCAACTGACAAGAGAGTTTCGTTTGGATGCCACAGGTGATGCACACAAACACCATTAAGATAAAATGTGCAGGGCTTTCCGCCCCCATTTCCCATCCTCTGATAGGGCCTAAGTCCTGACATGGATCAACATAGCAGGCAGGGACAATTCTCCCGAAATGAAAATGGACAAAGAGAAAAACATATATTACCTTCTCAATGAGATCTATGCAAGCTTGCAAATCCAGACCAAAGCCAATAGACACCCATTCAATGCTTTCTTTCTTATATTCCTCTTGCTCCAGAACAAACATGTGCCAATTGAAGAATTGTTGTAATTTTTCATTGGTAAAATTAATGCAAAGTTGCTCAAGGCTATTATACTTCAAGGATATGAATAGGTAAGAAGAAGAGATAAAAATAAAATTGAGGTCCACTTTCAAGAATGTCCAGTAAAGAAAAAACCATAACCATTATTATATGATCAGAAATAGACCCAACAAGTAACAAATGCTCAATTAACTTAATTAATTGTAATTTTGAATTGTAATATCATTAAGTACAATTTTCTAAAGATTATTACAATAATATAGCACTTAATGGTATTAAAATTTAAAATCATAATTAATTCCTTTACCTCCATTTACCTTTATGTAAGCCAGAATTAAGAAATCAATAAATACTTAATACCATTAAGTATAACAATAATTATTATTGATATTAATTATAGCTCTTTTCCAAACAAGGTAGCCCTTAAGGTTTGCATAGAATGATCCCCATGCTTTGACCATATTTTCCCATCTTCAAGTAACGTTTTCTAATCTTCTTATAAATATGCATTGACTTCCTTCTTACCAGATACACTTACCTCAAGGATTTCAAAACCAGTGATGTCAAGAATGCCAATGAAGAACTGCCTTGACAGCTTGGCATCCAGGGCCCTGTTGATCCGTGCCACTAGCCACTTAAACATCCTTTCATACATTGACTTGGACAGGGCACCGACAGCACAGGTTACCTAGAAATCACATTGAAAACACTCCTTCATCTGACTGAAGTGTTCATTTTAATCCCGGGCATTCTCTATCAGCAACTGCCTTCTAGTCAAATTAGGATGTCTTTATTGACCTTCTGTGCTTCCAACATTCTGCTGAATACAATGAGAAAAGGAAGAAAAGAAAGAGAGAGAGAGAGAAAAAGAAAGAAAGAAAGAAAAGGAGAAAGAGGAAGGAAGGGAGGGAGGGAGGAAGGAAGGAAGGAAAGAAGGGAGGGAGGGAGGGGGAAAATGAAGGGGAGAGGAAGGGAAGAAAAAGGAGGAAAGGAGATGGGTAGGAGAAAGGAGTAAGCTAGCCTGGTGCCTCTTTATGAAAACACAGATGAGAGGAATCATGTTCCTATTATTAAAGGACTAACTATCCCGGGGTATGGTGTGGTGATGTGTCCCAAAGCCTTGCTATTCAAAGTGTGATCCTAAGACCAGCAGCAGCACCACCTAAGAGTTTGTTAAAAATGCAAACTCTCAGGCCCAGTCCCAGACCTACTGAATCAGAATCTGTAAGCTAACAATCCCCAGCTGATTCCTATTGACAAAGACTCTCTCCTTGACCAAACTTTAATGAGGATCCTCTGACCCCTTGCCTCCACCTTACCTGTCCTGTCTTCAGCCTGTCTAGCCCAGCTGCAGGAAGAAGTCTGCTGAATCACTCACCCTTGATCTCTGATTAAATTCCTTATCCCTCACCTTTGATGTATATGTTCTTGGCCTGCCTTTAGCAAGAATCCTGTTAGGTCAATTTAAAAAAATCCTCCTACCCCCTGTTAGTAATTTTCCATCCACTGATCCCCTCCTTCTGGTCTTGGGCTGTAAATCCCCACTTATCCTTGTTTTACTTGCAGCTGAGCCCAGTATCTCTCCCCTGTTGCAATATATCTATTGCAGCAGTCCTGAATGAAGTCTTCCTTACCATCTTAATAAGATTCAGAATATTTGTAATACTATGCACAATAGTTTGAAAAGTAGTGGTATAGTACATTAGAAATTTATAATCCCTAACCCTTGTTCTGCCACTGCTGTAGCTGCTATAAATTGTGTAACCTTTGGCAAGTGATCTAACCTTTCTGGAAAGCAACATCTTCATCTGAAAAACACTCTTAAAGGATCTTCCTAGCCTTAGCTTCCAACTCTTTATTATATTAGTTCCCAGTTTTGCTCTCAACAACCTGGACAGAGAATAGCCATTTGTGAATCATTCTGACTCAGATTCTCCTGCTGTAAAACTGAGGCTGCCTTTTCCTTCCCTGGAGGGGTGTGGAAAAGGTTCTAAAGTAACCTACTGGGGAGAGCGCCAACCTTTGTGCCTGGATGATGCTCTACAAATGCAGATCCTACTTCCATAACTCCAATAGCGCTGCTGTAGTAGCAGGTTTCTGACATACTCCAAGGAAGGGAGAATTTTAGCTGGCCATTCTCCAAGCCTGGAAACAGAACGTGCTCCAATCACTTAACATTTAAAATAGACCTATCACATCCATCCTTCTGCCCAGGAGAGAGCACACAGCAGGAGCCAGTTGGTGTCTGGTGGTGATTTAGTTATGAGTCACCCACTCCCTGATCAGTTATCTTGAGTCATTTCCACAGTAATCCATAAGCCGGATGGCATCACAGTTTTTTATTATCAGCATCAAGAGCACACACGTACAAATAAAGCATCAAGAATGATTTTCATCCTCTGTAACACTGAAGAAATCACTCTGTCTACAGCAGTCACTCTGAAACTTTAAAAAGAACATGACTAACTTGCTCACCCCCTTTTAATTCCCTAAATACTTGAGAAGTGGGAGTGGGAGAGACACTGTTAGGTCAGGTGTGGCAAGTAGTGGAGAAACACAAGAAGAAAGCCTGGAAATGTAGGCAGTAGGATAAATGGATGGTAAAGGTCTGCTGAATGAATTCATGAAACAGATCAATATGTTGCTCACTAATTAATCATTTTCATCATTTTCTGTCCAATGGAGAGGAAATGAGGTGGCTAAATCTATATTTCCACTTTTCAAGGGTTAAATGCACCCATTTCTTAGCTCTTTTTAAAATAACCTCACAGAAGGCTTTGGTTACTGGGGGGCAATAGTGCATATAGAAAACAACAACAGAAAAAAAATAACAAAGTCAAATAGTTAATCTTTTTTGTTTGTTTTTGAGACAGAGTGTTGCTCTGTTGCCCAGGCTGGAGTACAATGGCACGATCTCAGCTCACTGCAACCTCCGCCTCCAAGGTTCAAACGATTCTCTTGCCTCAGCCTCCCAAGTGGCTGGGATTACAAGCACACACCACAATGCCCGGCTAATTTTTTGTATTTTTAGTAGAGACAAGGTTTCACCATGTTGGCCAGGCTGGTCTCAAACTCCTGACCTCAGGTGATCCACCCGCCTCGGCCTCCCAAAGTGCTGGAATTATGGGCGTGAGCCACCGTGCCCAGCCAAAATTTTTAACTATGTTGATCCCTCTCTTTCTCATCTGTAAAATAATAATAATGAAATATGTGTAGCTCAGGGTTGTTGTGAGATATCCAGTGAGACAGAGGATATAAACTGACAGCATATTTGACGCTTAGTATCCAATAAATGTTAATCCTCCCTTTTCCACCCCTTTTCTGCTTTTATCACTTTCTCATCCTCACCCCAGTATTTACTTACTAGTTGTGTCACCTTGAGTGGTTAATCTTTCTAAGGGTCACTATCTGTAGCTGTAAAATAGAAATAACAAGACCTACTTCATAGGCTTGTTATTCGATTAAATGAGATAATCCATACAAAGCACTTAGTACATCACCTATAGTTAGTACTCAGTGGACATTATTATTATTTTATTATTAATCATAAAGTAACTTATTTCTAGGTGACATAGTTAGAAATATCATGGAATCATAAAATACTAGACCTGAAGATCCTTAGTTCTTGATAGTCATATATAGCAGCTTTCACCTTGGGATGGTATCTCCTCAAAGGAGGAATGCATTTAGAAATGCAAGTGGCATTTTCTGGTTGTCACAGTGACTAAGAATGCTACTGGCATTCAGTTACCTGGGGGCCAGGAATCCCAAACATCTACAGTGTGCAGGACACTCTCATCCATAAAGAACTGTCCCATCTTAAATGCCAATTACCATTGAGAAATACAAAGTTGTTCAACCACTTCACTGTGGGGCTCAGAGAGATGAAGACAATTAACCAAGGTATCAGAGTTAGTTAGCATTATAGCTAGAACTAAATTTTGTATAGAATGTTAACGTTGCAAAAATTTTTCCCATCTTTTGCAATTGTCATCAACAGAGCATACATGTCTCTATTTTTAGCAATGGCAATTGTCTCTATAAAATCAGAAAAATTCCTAAGGGAAAAAAAAAAGCCTTAGAGCATGCTTTCTTACTATGTCTCCAGGAGAGAGAGAGAGAGCGAGAGGAGGAGGATTTTTTATTTTAATGTTGAATAATAATATATTAGCTTGTTTCACTGGTCCTATTATAGTAAAGGCTGGAGTCCTTACTATAATATTGTGTCTTTAATTCCTCAGAACACAATATTAGAGAGCTGAAGACTTGTTCTCAGCCCTCCTAGGGGCTCCTTATTTTTTTTTTTATTTTTTATTTTTGCTTTTTTTTGTTTTTATTATTATTTTAATTGATAAATAATTATATATATTTATGAGGTACAGAATGATATTTTGATACATGTATACAATGTGGTAATGATCAAATCAGGGTTATCAGCACATCTATACCTCAAACACTGATCATTTCTTTATATTAGAAACATTCCAAATCTGCTCTTCTTGCTATTTGGGCTCATTAGTTTTATACAGAGAAAAACCCTGTTCTATAAACATAGCATGTCATGCATGCATGTTGTGGTGAATGTCTAAGAAGGTATGAAACTGCTGAACAACTCTAACCCCCTGCCAAGAAATAGCTCAGTTATGTGTCCTGCTGATCGTGATTCAAGTTTAGCTCAATGTAGTCTATTTTAACATGCGTGGAGCACTTACGGCTTACAGGGCATTGTTTTAGATGCTTGGAGTACTAAGATGAATTAGACACAGTTCATGCTTCAAAGAGGTTAGAAGACAAAAATCTAAGCAGATTATTTCAATATAGTATAGTTAGTATTATAGTAGAGGTAGAATTATCCATTTATAGAGTAAGCTAAATTAATAAATTGATTTTGATCAGTCATTTAAATGTTTTAAATAACACAGACACATCAGTTACCTTAATATACCAAGGGAAACACATCTATTCTAGTCATCATATATAAGATGACTGTCTTATATTACAAATTTGTACATTTGTCTATCTCTTTTTCAGAGTTAGGGTGTATACTGAGTAAGACAATCAGTATCACCTGAGTACTAGCTATATATCCTTTGGAATGTTACTTAACATTCTCTTTGACTCAGTTTCCTCAACTAGGAAAAACATAAATTATGCATTTCTGCCCTACTTAGCTCTGAGTATTATTGTAAGAATAGAAGGCAATAATACTGTGAATGCTTTATCCATACTATGTGTGACACCACTTCCTCTTTCCAGAAAGGCTACATTTCTCAGCCCCTTTCTGTAGCTAAAGGTATTATTTTACTAATTCTTACCAATGGACTGTTAGTGAAAGTGATATTACTTCTAGCCCAAGCAGTTAAAGGTGGTTGTACTTTCTCTGCAAATGATCTTTTCTCCTTGTGCAGTCACTTGGGAGGCCGTGTGTCCCAGATGGCATAGAACTACAAAGAACTACATAGAACTACAAAACAGAGAAGGCTGTATACTCTGTATTGCACTTGATGTAAGAAATATTTTGTTGTCACTGAGATTTTAGTGTGTGTGCATTACTGCAGCCCAGCTTATCTCATATTTTCCCTTACACACTACAGATATAAATTATTATTTTTGAAACATACTAGCATGCTTAGATGGTCTCATTACCCAGTGGCCCTGGGAATATTTACTGCATTAAGGCAAAGCCTCAAAGAATTTGTTATTCTCTACTATAACATTCTCCTGGATGCTAAACAAAATCTGCATGGCGTTCCATCTCTCATTTCTGTTTTCAACACACACCTCCTTTCAAATATTGATTTTTAGCATATGTCCTAAAACTGTTTCTCAACTAACGTGTCACCATGTGTCTTTTATGCCAAAGGAGCCAATATGCCAAATACGTGAAGCATGCCAATTTGCCAATTTTATCCATGTTAGGAATGAACAGCTTTGAAAGCTTCCTCGCTGGATGACAAAGATGTTGATCACAACAAGTGGAGGGTTTGTCTGCATCTGCAAAGATACTTGCTACCTAAGGGAAAACTTTCAAAATGTATGTTTCAGACAAGAGCATTTACTGTGGTGTGCATCACAAGTAAAAACATTTGGAATAGTCATCCCAAGAGCTCTTTTTTGCTTATTTATAGAAGCTTTCATTATTGCAAACATCCTTAGTAGTTGAAAAATATACAGTACAATATATATACAATTATTGGAAGATCATAGAATAATAATGCTCTTGAAATATCACCTTACCTGTTCTATAGTTTGACCTCTGGTAACATATTCGTTACCAACTTTGATTCTAGGATGGATCAAGCACTTTACCAACTCAGAGGAGTTAATGCCCATGAGGAAAGCAGCTTTGTCAGCATCTGGTCATCAGAAATAGAAGAAAAGGAAGGAGAGAGGAAAACACTGTTAAGATTCATTCCATTATAGCCAAACTAACTACCCAGAGGACAGAAAGATAGTGTGTTTACATCAGCGTAGCAAAGTAGATTGTAGTTTTCAAATAAATGCCTGAATCCTAAAAGTTTAAAGGAAATTATTTCTTCGAAATACAAGTCAAAGCCACATTGAAATCTCACTTCTTCAGTTTGTTGGCATTAAGGAAAAAGAAAATATAATGCCACTCACAGCCACTAGAATGACTATAATCAAAACGGCAGACAATAACAAGTGTTGACAAGGATGTGGAAAAATGTGAACCCTCATGCATTGTGGGTGGGAATGCAAAATGGTGTGTATTTGCCGTGAGAAACAGTTTGACAGTTACTCTGAAGTTAATCATAGAGTTACTATGGAACCCAGCAATATCACTTTTAGGTACACACCCAAGATAAATGAAAACATATGTTCACACAAAAAATTGTACACAAATGTTTCTAGCAGCATTATTCACAATAGTCAAAAGGTGGGAAAAAGTGAAATGTCCATCACTGATGAATGGATTAAAAAATGTGGTATACTCATATAATACGATATTGCTAGTCATTTTACAAAAATGAAGTATTGATGTGCACTACAACATGGCTGAAACTTGAAAACATTATGCTAAGTGAAAGGAGTCAGACACGAAAGGCCACATATTGCAGGATTCCATTTCTATGAACTGTTCAGAACAGGCAATCCATAAGGACAGAAAGTCGATTTTGGTTGCCACAGGCTGAGGAGAAGCAAAAATCAAAATAACTACTAATAGTTGCTACTAAAAGTTTATTTTTGTGATAATAAAATGTTCCGGAATTAGATAGTGGTGGTTGCACAGCCTTGAGAATATACTAATACCCAATAACTATACAGTTTAAAAGGTGAATATTATGGTGTATGAATCTTCTAAAAGAGGACTAGTATCAAGAAACAGAATCTTTTAAAAATTGAGATATAATTTGTCTGAAGGACATGGAAAATGCCATCTTTATAATTTGTTTTCTCTTTCTATGTATGTACTTGTGGACTCTTTCAACAAAACACGGACTTGGGCCATGTAATCTGATAATTATAGACAAGCACCAATCAACAGAAGCCAGGACACTTGCCAGCTATCTGTAAAACACCCTTCCTTTCCCGGCAAGGTCTCTGTTTGCTCCGTAGTGCCCTCTGCTGCCCAACAATAATACTTACACCCCACAAAATTGTTTTATGAAACAAAGCTTCCATTTCCTCAAGAAGTGGAGAATAAGTATTATCAGAAGGAAAAGTAAATAGGCATGTATCACTTCAGGTATGAAAAAATGACACAAAATAATGACACAGGCAAAAATTTATAAGCTTATTTCAAATTGTAGATTATTTCAGTTACCAACAAAATAAATATTCCACTCATCCAAAACCCCTCTCTGCTTTCTATTTTAAAGGAATTTGGAGATATGCTAGTATGTCTGGCATAGTCATTCTGTTGAATAATGTCTTATAATAGAAGGTAATGCAGCCTTTCTTTAATTCACTAAAGAAAAAAAAAGCTGCAAATTTTCCAGAGCAATAATCACGAACAGAAAATAAAGTAAAAACAAAACACAATTAGAGAGCTCTATCTCGTCTGTATTAGCAATATCAATTTCCTTTTCACAGCCTTTAAAATGTTTACAAGGCTTAAAATGTTTGAAATGTTTGATTTTCTTATAAACTAAAATCAATATATATAATACATACATTGCTACAAGTTACATACCTACTTTATGTTAGTTTATTTGCAGTGATAATAGCCTGGGTACTTGGTTGCTATGAAACCTTTCAAAACACAAAGCCTATTTGGAAAAATAAATGAAAATCAAAGGTAGAGCAGACATGCCCATCCTATACTGAGATGTGCCTGCTAACAGTGCCAGGTTTGGCGGCAAAAGCTTGATAATTTCAAATTGAGAATCCAGTATGTCAAATCATAGACTTTTTGAACTGAAAGAGACTTTATAGAGTATCTAATCCAATGTGAAAATATTTAAAAGACGGGAAGAAATACAATGTGCCTGGCAACCTGAGTGGAGATGAACAGTAACCAACAATGTGAAAAACAATTTTCCAGTATCTGTCCAGGTTTAAAAAAAAAAAAAGAGAAACATTTGTTTTTTCTAAGCTTTGGAAGCATGAAGAGAGATAATACAGGTAATAATAGTCTCAAAGAATAGTTCCCCATGCCGAGTCTTCATATATCCTTTTTCCAGTGTTAAGCACAGTCCTTTGAGTCTATTTTTATCCATGAACAAAAGAAATTCAGATTCTCTGAGGAGTATCCCACCTTAAGCTTAACAGAAATAGCATCTAACATTACAGGATTATTTGTCACTTACTCCAGAGATAGTTGAGTATCTACAGACAGGACTAGTGTACCCTGGATTTACTCCAGAGATTTACATTATACATCACATATGTTCTCTGTTTTGGGGGGAAAGAGGAAACAATAGAGGTCATCATGTTCCAAAAAGTAAATTACTTCATTTGCACTAAATGTTTACAGTTTGCAACCAAGATGAAAATGGCGTAAATCTATGACTAAATGCCCATCTGACATTCAGGAACTACTGTTGTAAAGATAGCAATATGTGTAAACATATTTTAATCATATTCCCAAATAGGCTTTATGAAATTCCCACCCATAAGCATCAGTTCCTTCAGGACCTTGTGAATGAACCCATGGACTTCAATTAGGCTGCATGATCTTACCTGGGAGAGGTAACATTTAGCTAGAGAGGTGGTTCTCAAGCATCAGTGTGTATTGGAATAGCCTGGAGAGCTAATCAAAGATTAAACAACAGGCTCCCTGAAGCAGGTTAGGGGCTGGGCCGCTCTAGTTTTATCGTGTTACCCAGGTGATTCTGATACACATACAAGTTTGAGAACAAAGTTGTTATTGTGGTAGTCCTCAACTTTGACTGCACACTGGGGTCCCTGGCAAGTTGTAAAAACAAATACTGATGCCTGAAATTCACCCACAGAAATCTGGCTTGTCTGGCTTGGGTAAGGCCTGAGCTTCAGGATTTTAAAAGTTCCCCAGCGATTCTGTTGAGCAGCCAAGTTTGCAAACTACTGTCTAGAGAATAATAACCAGGTTTCGTAAGTTTATTTTGAAATCAGGAAGATGGAAAGAACAAAGTATGACTTCACCTGAAAACAGGTAAAAAGGTAGAGAAACTCAAAAAGGAATCTTTTCCAAATTTCCAATTCTGTCCCAGTTCAGTCCCATCTGCAAATAACCAGATATGAAAGAATGAAGCAAAATCCAGTTTTGTCAGTCTACAGGGGTTATGATAAAGATATTAATCTCTTTTATGGAAGGTTATAATACAATTTTTGAGCTGTTCATATTTCATTAATTTATTAAACAAAGTTAACTGAGCATTTGCTATGTGTAAGCCCTGATGCTAGATAATGTAATAAGAAGATAAATAAACAAGGCAAAAATCCCTGGCATCAAGAAATTATAATCTATGAGAGTAAATAAGACATGGGAAAAAATAGTATGTCAGTAAAACAACTGCATAAGAGACACACAAATCGAGTATCACAAAACTGTGAAGTAGGGAAAGAGCCCTTCTGGACTGCATGACTGGGGAAGGATTAAAAAAGAAACAACATTCAATCTGAGCCTTGAAGGATGACAAGAGTTTTTGTAGGCAAATATGGGAGAAGAAGAGTTTCCTTAACAATGAACAGCACGACTTGAAGCCACAGGCGTTGAAGAGTACAAGGTATGGTCAAAGAAGAGGTTGTAACCCAGAGGGACTGGACTACGATACCAGGGAGTGAGTGAGAAACTGAGAAAAGCGGGTGACTTCTGGTCGCAGAAGACATCTAATGCCGCTATAACATATTAATTAAAGAATGGGGAAATGTTAAAGGAGCTGTAAGCAGAGAAATGACATAATTAGAGTCATGCTTTAGGATGCTTAATTTTGGAAATGTGCAAGACAGACCAGAGTAGGAAGTTTTAAAGTACAGAGTGAACCCATTGCAGAATGCTGAAGTGTGAGATGCTGAAGCTCCAAATTTGTAATGAGAAAGGGAGAAAGAGAGACTGAGAAATATGACTAGGAGGTTTCCAGTCTGAGAAGTAGAAAGAAGAACAATACCATAAATATGAATAGAAATGCCAATAGGAAGACATCACTTAGGGGAGAAGATGATGGACTTTTAGCCATGCAGAGTTTAGGATACTAGAAAATATGCAGCTGAGAGTTGGAAATATGGAGTTGGAACTCAAGAAAGAGGCAAAGGCTAAGATGCCCCTTTGGGTTTGGGTGCCCTTCCCCGTTCCTTCTTCTCCATCTGTCCAGCTCCTTCAAAACCTTCCTAAATAATTAACTGGGAAAAATTTACCAAAGCTTAATATATTAAGAACCCTTAGAATTAAAGAAAAATTCAACACCTCCATTTTTAAAATGAGCTAAAGGTAGAAGCATACTGAAAAAAACTCAGTATCCAGTAAGATGCTTAAGTTAATTATGGTACATTCATACAATGGAATATTTTGTAGCCATCTAAAAAGATATTGCAGAAAAGACAAAAAGATGTTCACATATAATTTGGTAAAAAAATACTAGGCTGAAACAACATGAATATGATCACATTTTTATTTTAAAAAGTTATATGTGCATATTCAACTAGAAAATGCGTAAAAAATATGTCCTTTGGCATTCACAGTGATTGTCTCTGAGTAGGTAGGGTTCACTTAATGAATAATTAGCCATTACTATGTGCCAGGCACATTTTAAAACCTGGAAATATAGCAGTGAACACACCAAATGAGGTCCCTGCTCTTACAAAGCTTACATCTGGTGGAGATTGAGGGGTGGAGGCTAGGACATTCAATAAAAACTAGCTGTATGAATGACATGAAGAAAAATATTTAGATTAGGGGGATAGTGGTGGAGGTAGCTAGAGAAGGCTTTTCTAATAAGGTAACATCCAAGAAGTTACTTTAATAAGTGAGGGAGTAAGACATGAGGACAGGAGAAAAGTTCCAGGCAGAAAGAAGAGTTAGTGAAAATAGTCCTGCAATAGGAGTGCTTACATGCTCCAAAAACATCCAAGAGGCCAGGACATGTGAGTGGAGGGAAATGAGAGACGAGAAAATGATAGATTTCGCTACTAACGGTAGGGATTAGAGAGAGACAGAGAAGTATTGGTTGGTGCAAACATAATTGCGGTTTTTGCTGTTAAAAGTAATGACAAAAACCAAAATTACATTTGCACCAACCTAATATCATAGAGGTTAAGGAAGCTGTGACAGGAACGTGGGGTTTTATTTGGAGCCATTGTTGAGTTTAGAGCAGAAGCAGGACATGGTGGAACAAGGGCTGACTGACACTGTGAAAGGACTGACAGTAGCTTCTGGGTGCAGAGCTATCCACCTATCCATCGTAGGCAAGGATGCAAGCAGGGAGACCAGGAAGGAGGCTGTAGTAAGAAACGGTGGCTCGGGCTAGGTGGTGGCAGTGGGCATGGCCATGGTGATAAGTTGTGAGCTTTTGGATGTATTTCAAAGGTAGAGACAATGAAAAAGAGAGGAGTCCAGGATGATTCTGAGATTTGAGTCAGGGCAATTGGGAGAACCTAGGTGGCATTTTTGAAGAAGACCGAGAAATGAAGAGTTGGTAGTAAAGGCAGGGTGGGATGAAGAGTTCAGTTCTATTCATGTTGAGTTTGAGATGGGCACCAAAGAAATGAGCATAGAAAGGGAAGAGGAAAGATTCAAGGCTGGAGCCCTGAGCAGCCCTAGAGCAATTAGCAGTAGGGAAGATAAGGAAGCTCCAGCAAAGAACCTGAGAAGAAGCCAAAAGGGAGAGTGGAGGAGATTACACATTTCATTTGCTCATCTGTGTTTTTTGATTTATCAGTAAGTATGCCTTGTTTTTGTAATAAAAACCATTCTTTAAGAAAAGCCTTTGTTTTAAAGCATGGAAAAAGCAAACAGGATGGCAAAAATAAAATAAGATGCCATAAAAGCATATGTGAATATGTTAATATATAAGATGTTTACAAGATCTTCATAACACATTGTCTCACTTCATTCACATCTGTGCTGTGTCCTCTTCTCTGAGGGACTGACTTCCTGACCACCCTATCTACAACAACCTCTGTATCCTATTATTCCTTATTTTTTTAACTCTGCTTTACTTCCTTTTTGTATGGAACTTGTTACGTATTTATGTATTTATTGTCTAACTCCCACACTAGACAAGACAGGGACAATATCTTGTTCACGGATGTATCCCTAGCATCAAGAATAGTCCCTAGCACAGACTGGCCTCCAAAATTATTTGTTGCACAACAGGCCAGGCATGGTGTTTCAGGCCTGTAATCCCAGCACTTTGGGAGGCCGAGGTGGGTAGATCACTTAAGGTCAGGAGTTGAGACCAGCCTGGCCAACACGGCAAAACCCCATCTCTACTAAAAATATAAAAATTAGCCCAGTGTAGTGGTGCACCTGTAATCCCAGCTTCCCAGCTACTCGGGAGGCTGAGGCACAAGAATCGCTTGAACCTGGGAAGCAGAAGTTGCAGTGAGCTGATATTGCCCCCCTGTACTCCAGCCTAAGCCACAGAGCAAGACTCTGTCTCCATAAAAAAAAAAAAAAAAAAAATCACAAACTTGTCAAACAACAACAAAAAAATCCTAATTTTAAAAATAGGCAAAGGACTTAAATAGACATTTCTCAAAAGATATACAAATGGCCGATAAGCACATAAAAAGATGTTCAACATCACCAATCAGTAGGGAAATGCAAATCAAAACCACAATAAGATACCACTTTATACCCATGAAGATGGCTACTATAAAAAAAAAAAACCAAAAAACAGAAAACAACAAATGTTGGCATGGGTGTGAAGAAATTGGAAACTTTGTGCATTGCTGGTGAAAATGAAAAGAGGTATGGCCACTGTGGAAAACAATATGATGGCTCCTAGAAAATATAACAGATTTACCATTTATTCTAACAATTCCACTTCTAGGTATATACACAAATGAATTGAAAGCAGAGACTCAAACAGATATTTATATACTAACATTCATAGCAGCATTACTCACAATAGCCAAAAAGTGGAAGCAACCAAGTGTCCATAGACTGATGAAAAGATAAGTGTGTTATATGCATACACTGGAATATTATTTAGCCTTAAAAAGGAATGAAATTTTGATACATGCTACAACATGGATGAACCTTGAAGACATTATGCTAAGTGAAATAAGCCAGTTACAAAAGGTCAAATATTGTATGATTACACTTACATAAGGTGTCTAGAGTCAGAAGGTAAAACAGTGGTTACCAGGAGTACAGGAAGGGGATAATGGGGAGTTTTGGTTTAATAAGTACATAGTTTATTCAGGCTGACATGATGAAAAAGTTCTGGCAGTGGATTACATTGCTAATTACACAACAATGTGAATGTTCTTCATGCCACTGAACTGTACACTGAAACATGGCTAAAATTGTAAATTGTATGTTATATATATTTTATTCATTAAAAATATAAAATTTAAAAAAGTAGTTGTTGAAAGAGTTGAATGAATGGGTTTTCTCTTTTTGTTTCGGTTGTAAGGAATTTTAATATTAAAGGTAATAACAACTATGCTTTCTTCTTTTCATAATTGTGGGGATTTATTTTAATGATCATTCTAGACAGATCATTCATTGTAAGATGCCTCAAATATTTCTGGTAAGCAGATAAGAGTATAGATTTTTTTAAATGTGAAGAAAAAACAAGGAGAAATAAAGCCTCCTGGTCTCACCCCTGTGAGTTAGTTACTTCCCACTGGAATTCCAAGGGCCTTAGTTCACATCTCCATTATGTCACTTAATACATTTTATCATAATTTGCTCCTTATTTTTGTATTTTTATTTTATTTTATTTTTTTGAGACTGAGTCTCGCTCTGTCACCCAGGCTGAAGTGCAGTGGAGCGATCTCGGCTCACTACAACCTCTACCTCCCAGGTTCCAGCGATTCTCATGCCTCAGCCTCCCAAGTAGCTGGGATTATAGGCGTGCGCAACCACGCCTGGCCAATTTTTTGTATTTTTAGTAGAGACAGGGTTTCGCTATATTGGCCAGGCTGGTCTTGAACTCCTGGCCTCAAGTGATCCACCCACCTCGGCCTCCCCAAGTGCTGGGATTACAAGCGTGAGTCACGGTGTCCGGCCATAATTTGTTCCTTTCTCTCATTGTTCTCAATAATCTATGTGCTAAAGGCATACTGTGTCTTAATTCTCCTTCACCCAAGTTTAGCAAATTGACTGGATCATCAATAATTATTGAGGAGTGCTTCTTATTCTGTGATAGGAGGATTCTACATTAGAATGGTAGTTGACAGAACCGTTTTTGAAGAACAGCAATCAAGGGAGACACTATTGATTAATTTTAAGTAAGAGATGAAGTTAACTGCAAGGTAAAGGGGAGCAGGCTTGGGCCCAGAGATTTGAAGTATATACCATATCTTCAAAGTAATTCTTACTTTCTGTGCCATCTGCTTCCAGTTGCTCTTCTCTAGGTTTCTGTTTAAATTTCATATTTCCAAAGTGCATGATGGCTCCAGTGAGTTTATAGCATCCATACTTCTCATCAGGAAGAAAGCCCAAGATGTCCATGGCTTGCTGTAAAAAGAGAAACAGATGGCCCTGTCTTCATTTGCTTAATGGCTGCAGTGAGCACCTCACCCCCGCTGTGTTACACCTCGGGCTGTGGGCTGAGGGGAATGAGACAGACAGCTCTGTTCAAAGCAATGCAAATCAGCCCTGTTGGCACTTGGTCACCCGCAGTCTGCTCATCCCTTTAAAAGAGAATTAGGAAGGCACAAGACTAGGCTTGTTTAGTTCCCAATAGTTTTAGAACTTTCCTTCAATGCCCTGCCTCTCTCTTGTTCCTTCCAGCAACAGATCACTAACTGGCTATATGAGGTCAATTATTTTGCCTTTCGTGGTTATGGCAGAAAGCACCATATCTGCTGAGTTGCTTGTTTCTGTGATCCCACAGGTTCTGACTTTATTCCAGAGGAGACACATTTCAAAGACTGGTGAAAAGAAAGGTTTAAGAAAAGCCACCTCACCATAAAATTGCATCCTAAGAATCCACTGCACAAGGTGTGCATTCTCATACACCCCAGGAGGGAAAAAATTGGTACAATCTTTCTAGTGGTTAATTTAGAATATGTACCAAGAGACTATAAAAAATTCATAATCCTTAGTATTTTCACTTCTAGGAATCTAGCATAAGGTGAATCTGATATACAGAAAAAGTGTTTAGCTACAGAGATATTCACCTCAGTGGGAGTGAAAAAAAACTTGAGTCTAACACTAAGAGAATAGCTCAATAAACAACAGGACAAATGCCTGATAAAATCTTAAGTATCCACTTAAATGTTTATGAAGAGTTCCTAACGATATTTGAAATGCTTAAACGATTAAACTGAGAAAGCAAATTCTATATGCCAAATGTCTATGCAGCATAATTACAGTCTTTTGGTAAAAAACAAAAAACACTAACATGACCATACAAAAGCAGCTGCAAATAGATAAAAACAGAATAAAAACTGTAAAGATATACACCAAATAAAAGAGATGTTTGCCATTGAGTTGAAATATCTTTCTACTTTTTCATAGCTTCCAAAGTTACTATATTGACAATGTGCAGTTTTCTCATAAATAAGTAAACTTTGGACAGAAGCAGCCCTACACCCCTACGGAAGCAAGACCACTTCTCTGGGTCCCTAAGAACAGAACTCTAAGATTCTGTCTTTCATTTCTCATTGCCATTACCAGATTTTGCTTTGACAACTAACAAGCCTTACTTCTGTGGCCAGCAATTCTTCAGCATCATCCAAGCTCTCCACAGTAACTGCTCCACAGGAGCAAAAGTGGAAGTCTGAGGGATTTGCAGATACCAGGAGCAGGTCTAGAGTGGGAAAACGATTCGTTAAACAGCTTAAAGAAATCTGCAAGGCCTTAGAAAATAATTGGTCAATATTCGCAGTTTAGTCTACAGTTTATATCATACTTGTAAACAAGCCAAAATAAAATCCATATTTTAGACCCAAACTTCTACAATCAATGTTTGCCCTCTATTAACTTGTCAGTCATGTGTTAATGCCTCCCAAGAGAAGACAGGCTGGCAAATTCAAAAAGCGGATTCAATTGCAGCAGTTTCAATTGGTGTAAAAAAAAACAAAAACAAACAAACAACAACAACAACAACAAAAAGACACGTAATGTGTGTTGGCAAAACTCTGAAAACAGGAATTTGGCCTAGATTTATGACTGAGGGCTGGAGGATAAAAGTATTTTGTAAAATTATAAGTAGAACAGACCTGAGCTTCAAAAGCTACGAAGCAGCCAGAAGCTGGGGTCAGCGCCCAGGGAACATTAGCAGGGCAACCCTGTCACATCACATCCTCGCTATTAGAGAACTGAGTCTGTCTTTCAAGGGATCCATAAATCAGCTGCTGTGTTCAGTGCTGCACCCTGATATGTCTAAGAGTCCTGACATGATTCACTTAGTCAGGAAACATAATCCAGGCTGAAGCAGAGGCAGGCTGTCAGCCGCGCATCATCAGCTGACTTGGCAGAATCACATTAACCTTTCACTGTCCAACACTTGCTCCCAGTGAAGTTTTTTTGAGCTGATCTTATTTTTCTATTTATTGCTCAATAAAGTGAAAATCGGTTATCTTGAACTCCAAATCTCAGAAACAAAGAAATTGGGCTACATAAATGTTCATAGCAGTTTTGTTAGAAAACAAGTCAAATAACCATCTGCAGTTGAATGGGTTAACAAACTGTTGTATATTCATACAGTGGATTATTATTCAGCAAACAAAGGAATAAGCTATAAATACGTGCTAGAACATGGAAGAATTTCAAAATAATTATGCTGGGTAAAATAAGCCTGACAAGAAGAATATACACTCTATGATTTTGTCTTTAAACATTCTAGAAAATGCAAACTAATCTGTGGTGACAGAAAGCATATTAGTGGTTACTTAGGGACTGGGGCTGGGAAAGGAGGGCTCCAATGAGTGAAAAGGGACAGGAGGGAGGTATTATAAAAGATCCAAGGACACTTTTGAAAGTATACATGCATTATGTTGATTGTGGTGACAGTTTCATACACACTCATATATATGTTAACACTTACCTGTTATATACTTAAAACACGTGCAGTGTACTTTAGGTGAAAAGAACATCAATAAATTTGTTTTATAAAACTTTAAAAATAAAATTGGCCTAGCTTAAATCCAGCAGAAGGTGAATATGTGTATTTTAATAAAAATATCCTGTAAAAATTTTTACAGTACTTGTTTTTGAAATGATTTTTATTTTTTAAATTGACAATTTAAAATTGTATATATTTATGGTGTACAACATGATGTTTTGATACATGTATACATTGTGGAATGGCTTATTCCAGCTAAGTAATGTATCTGTCATTTCACATACTTTTTTTTTTGTGGTGAGAATATTTAAAATCTACTCTGTTAGCCATTTCAAGTATATAATACATTGTTATTAACTATAATCACTATGTTGTACAATAGATCTTCTGAACTTATTCAACTTTTTTAGATTCTACATGGGTGAGATCATGTGGTATTTGTCTTTCTGTCCCTGCCTTATTTCATTTAGCATAATGTCCTTCAGGTTCATTCATGTTGCCATACTTGACAAAAATAACAAGATTTTCTTTCCTTTTCTTTTGAGGCAGGGTCTCATTCTGTCACCCAAGCTAAGGTGCAGTGGCATGATCACAGCTCACTGAAGCCTCAATCTCCCAGGCTCAAGTGATCCTCCCACCTCAGCCTCCCTAGTAGCTGAGACCACAGGTGTATGCCACCATGCTCAACTAATTTTTAAATTTTTTGTAGAAACGGGGTCTTGCTATGTTGCCCAGGCTGACCTTGAACTCCTGGGCTCAAGCAATCCTCCCTCCTGGGCCTCCCAAAGTGCTGGGATTACAGTCATGAGCTACCATACCCAGCCAAGATTTCCTTCTTTTTTTAAAGGCATAATAGTATCCTATTGTGTATATATACCACATTTTCTTTATCCAGTCATCCTTCATGGACACTTAGGTTTTTTCTCTATCTCGGCAATTGTGAACAATGCTGCATTGAACATGGAAGTACAGATACCTCTTCAGGATACTGAGTTCATTTCCCTTGGATGTATTCCCAGTAGTAGATGACTGGATCATATGGTAGTTCTGTTTGTAATCTTTTGAGTGACTTTCATACCATTTTTCATAATGACTGTAGTAATTTACAGTTGACTCAACAGTGAAAAAGGGTTGCCTTTTCTTCACATCTTTGCCAACATTTGTTATCTCTTGCCTTCTGATAGTAAGACAATATCTCATTATGGTTTTTGCTTTGCATTTCCCTGATGATTATTGATGTTGAGGCTTTTCTCATAGACCTGTTGGCCATTTGCATGTCTTCTTTGGAGAGATGTCTGTCAGGTCCTTTATCCATTTTTTAATCCAGTTGTTTTCTTGCTATTGAGTTGAGTTCTTTATATATTTTAGATATTCAGCCCTTATAAGATGTACAGTTTGCAAATATTTTTTCCTGTTCATTCAGTAGATTCTCTCTTGATGATGCACAATTGTTGTATACTTTATGAAGTGAATACACAGGGTTGAGGCCAAATGTCAAGGATTCCAGGACGGAAGGACCTCTTGGTCACTTACCATCACTCCTGGAATTTATACACTAGTTGAATAGCAAGAATAGACACAATAAATAAATAGAAAGAAAAAAAGTCAAAAGAAAAAGAGGAGAAAAGGGAAAATATATGTAGGACCAAGCTATACAGACGGCAGTAAGAACTAAGGATTTTGAATGAGCCCTGTCCAAAAGAACTGAAGAAATGAGCCTTAGCTATGCCTGGAACAAGGGTCAGATATAATTGAGAGCAAAGGAGTGAAGGGGTGCTCATGGCCATGTAGAGGTCAAATAGGGGCTGGCTCTGAGGTAACATGTCACCTCATTTCCTTCGCTCCTTCAGTGGGTGACCAGCCTCTCTGCTGTGATTTCCATACCCAATTCTTTTGTAGTATGGACAAATCCTCATATTTCAGGATATGTGGACATCATCCTCATATCGTTAAGATATGCCCTCTTGTATTAAGCCTCAGGATACTCTGAAGCTCTTCTTTAGCAAACATGGATGGTAAGAGTTCCAGATCATCTTTTAAAATGTCCCCCAAAAGGACAATGGGTGCTAAAACAGGTAGACTGACAATACCCAATTTGGACCACCAGATGTCAGACTTTGCACAGTAATCAATCTCAGCAACCCCCAAAGACCGAAGAAGATAAATGAACTCAGGATAAGCATGCATTTTCCATAGCAGCCCAAAGGCATCAGATGCTTCTATTAGTAAACAGAGTTGCTCTGAAAATAATCTTGCAGTCTCTGCTGGTACCCACATTAGATCTTACGTGTCAGTTGCTCTATACCATCCAGAAACACATGTCAAGAGTGTTAGATTTGATAGGACTAATCAATGGAAGATCAAAAAAAATCCTGTTCCAGGTTGAGGTGGAGAGAAGGTGGGGAGGAGAATACGTGCTGCTTACATGACACCAATTACATCTATGGCAAAAATAATTGTCTCGTTTGCAGAGCTTTCCCCATTTGGTAAGGGTACTTTAAAAACCAAGTAGTCAAAACACTGCTAGATTTATACCATACTTAGTCTAAGCATAATGGACTGGGAGAATTGTTCCCATCAGTTTACTAGCCTGGATCTGTAATCTTACCCTATGTCCACTTCTGTGGGAGCATTGTTGTCCTCAAAGGCTTACCTCAAATGCAATACCTCGGAAATCAAATCAGCGTGTAGTTCTCCCCTTCCAATGACTTCCTATGCCACTTTAAATGGTCTGCCATGGCCTGCAATGCACTGCATGGTCTGGCCCCTGCCTATTTTACCCTACGTTACCCTCTCTACTCTACCACCCACAGTGGCCATTTTGCTATTCCAAGAATAAATCAAATGCATTATTGCCTCAGGACCTTTGTACTCACTGTTCCCTCCTCCTGGGATTTTATTCCTGGAAATCTTTGCCTACTTGCTCCCTTACTCATTGAGGTGTCTGCAAAGAATGTTGTCTTTTCAGAGAAATTCCCTGACAATTTCATCTAAAATAGAACTATCCACAACCCTACCAAACCCCATTTCTTTCTGTCCCCTCACTGTACTTTATTGTTCTTTATAGACCTGCCATATAACCTACAAAGAAATTAGATCATGGTTTTTTTTTTTTCTTTTTTGAGACAGAGTCTCACTCTGTTGCCCAGGCTAAAGTGCACTGGCACATTCTCAGCTCACTGCAACCTCCGCCTCCTGGGTTCAAGTGATTCTCCTGCCTCAGTCTCCTGAGTAGCCAGAATTACGAGCACCTGCCACCATGCCTGGCTAAGTTTTGTATTTTTCGTAGAGACTGGTTTTTACCATGTTAGCCAGGCTGGTCTCAAACCCCTGACCTCAAGCAATCCATCTGCCTCAGTCTCCCAAAGTGCTGGGATTACAGGTAGGAGTCACCACGCCCAGCCTAGATCATGTATTCTTTACTCATTTGTTGCCTGTCTTCCATACTAGACTATAAGCTCATATGGGCAGAGGCCTGTCTACCTCGTTCACCACTGTACCCCCTATGATTAAAAAGCAGTGCCTGGTGTACACATAGCAGCTCCATAATAAATATTTGTTGAATAAATACATGAAATTCATTCCCTTATTCCACATTTTTTTTCTTATTTTATGTTTATGGCACTATCATTCTCCTAATCAAATCACAAAACTTGGGGATATTTTTGACTGACTCATCACTCTTCCTCATTCTTACATTCAGTCTCTACCAAGACCTGTCTATTCTTCCATGCATCTATCCCTTTTCCCCCACCCTTCCATTCTCAGACACTCTCTTAGATCACTGTCTTGTCATCTCATACTGGGACATTTGCAATCCCTTCCATCCAAGTCTCTGCCTCCACACCATCCTGCCCATTACCAGCTTAATCGTCCCAAACACTGCCTTCAATAAATCATGACCTCCTATTGCCGCACCCCCCACAACACACTTGCTCTGCCAACTCCCTGAGTTCAGAAACCATCGGAATAAAATCTCCACTATTCCTCTGTGCAAACCTTTTCCTTTAATCAACCTGGTCTCTCTGTTCCCTGCTCCTGCTTTGCCCTTTCCCAACATTGTGTACACTCTTCCTCCTACCAGAAGTAGCCTCCACTCTTCACTTTGTCTGACTGAATCCCCTTCCCATTCTTCATATCCCAACCTAAATTCCCCTTCTTTATAAAACTCCCTGAGCCAGACACGGTGGTTCACACTTGTAATCCCAGCACTTTGGGAGGCCAAGGTGGGAGGATTTCTTGAGGCCAGGAGCTTGAGACCAGCCTGGCCAACATGGTGAAACCCCATCTCTATTAAAAAAGAAAAAAGAGAGAAAACTCCCATTGACCACCACACACTATGATGCTATTTCCCTCCCCTGGTCCTTATCTATACCACCCATGTAGCTCTAATTAAGGCCTTAAATTAATGCTTTTATACACACACACACACACACACACACACTCACTCACCTCTGCTGGGCATCCTACCCATTTCCAAATACTCTGCTTCTTTTTGCTACCAAATTGAAAAAGAAGTGTTGCTATTTACTGTCTGTCCATATAAAATTATACAACACTAGTTCTATAATTGATTCAATTCCCTAAGTTTTAAGGATGAATATACTGAGGTCTAAATAGGCTAAGAAACTTACCGAATAACACTTTTTCATCCCCCAAATATGACTTATTTTTCTTGTTTTGGAATAACCCTAAGCTCCAGAATCCTACACTTACCATGAAGCTCTTTTTGTCCAGATAGAATTTGATAGAATATGTGGTAGTTCCTCTCTCCAGCCTGCTGGAAAATCACCCTGGACTTTTCAAGCAAATCTGGATGATGAGAAATGAATAAAAATTCATACTTAGGCATTCTTGCAAAATGTAGAAGAAAAGTAATCAGGCTGAGCGCAGTGGCTCACAACTGTAATCCCAGCATTTTGGGAGGCCAAGGCAGGAGAATCACTTGAGGCCAGGAGTTTGAAAACAGCCTGTGCAACATAGTGAGACCCCATTTCCACAAAGAAAAATTTTTAAAATTAGCTGGGCATGGTGGCACATGCCTGTAGCTGCAGCTACTTGAGAGGCTGAGGTAGAGGATTGCTTGATCCCAGGAATTCGAGGCTGCAGTGAGCCATGATCATGCCACGGCACTCCAGCCTGAACAACAGAGTAAGACCCTGTCAAGAAAGAAAAGAAAAGAAGGAAGGAAGGGAGAAAAAGAACGAGAGAGAGAGAAAAGGAAAGAAAGAAAGAAGAAAAGGAAGGAAGGAAGGAAGGAAGGAAAGAGAAGGGAAGGGAAGGAAGGGAAGAAAAGAAAAAAGTAATCAGACAGTGCAATGACTACTTACAGATATCAATGTCCACAGATGACAGCATGCCTCTGGCACCAAAGTGCATCCTGATGAATTTGCCCTAGTGTGGACACAGAACACAGTCAGACACAAAACACAGTTTCCTATTCACATTTTCCAAGCACTTGCAATGGCTTCATTATATGTAACTCTCAAAAGGACTACTTCCCCAGAAGTAAAAAACAAACAAAAAAAAAAAAGAAAGAAAGAAAAGAAAAGAAGAGAAAAATGCAATGTGGGTTTGAGATGAGACAGCACCAGCTAATATCTGGAGGAAGCCAGAATGATTGTCAGGACTAGCAGTGGTTCTGGCTTGTAGCCCCAAATCTGCTGATTGCTACCTGTGTATTCTTGTGGGCATTGTGAAATCTCTCTGGGCCTCACTGTTCTTATCTAAAGATGAGAAAAATATTTCCTCAGCATATTTGTTTATTCATGCAACAAACATTCATTGAGCATCTACTAAGATCCAGGTAACCTTCTAGGCACTGGAGATACCGCACAAAAAAAATAGACATGGCCCCTACCCTCATGAATCTTATAGTCTACTGGATAAGCAGCTACTGCAACAGCTCTGACATAAAATCACAAGAAAAGCCAATATCTTAGAATTTAGAAAGTCAGAGAAAGGGGGGGCATAAAATGGAGTCGAAGAGGTAGACAAACTCCATATCATCTAAGCCATGTAGAACACGGGAAAGGGTAGAGTTTTATTTTATGTGTGCTTGGGAGACATTGTAAGGTTTTAAGCAGAGGAGTGATGTGATCTAATTTATGTTTCATAGCACACCTTGGCATAAATAATAGACGGGCACCCTTTCTTCCTTATCAGTGAAAAGTCATAAGGCAGGATCTAGAGGGGCAGAAATGCTGTCCAGAGGTGCCAGTGCCCATGTCAGAATGCCAGATGCAGCTGAGGAGGTGGCACCATCTGGTGGCAGCTAGAGCCTGTGGGATCAGGATGCTGGAACAGGGAGGAAGACAGCCTGGGGGAGGCTGGCCCATGCCAGGAAGGCATCAGGGCAGGACAGCAGCCTGGCAAGAAGA
The DNA here is from genome assembly GCF_000001405.40 of Homo sapiens. NCBI lineage: Eukaryota > Metazoa > Chordata > Mammalia > Primates > Hominidae > Homo > Homo sapiens. The sequence continues at coordinate 108,494,164 of NC_000003.12, forward strand.
CGTGAGTGGCTCTGTACAGGGGGATCAAACTAGTACATTAAAATATGTAGGACAGTGGGAGTCACACACACAAACATACATGTATATATACCCATACACACAAACATGCAAGTAAATATGTATGTGTGCACATACACATATACAGAAGTATATGTATACATACCTATTTAGTATTAATTGAAAATTTTAACCCAGATTTCTTGATTTTTTTGAACTCCTTTTTCTTTCTCTCTTCTTTCTTTCCTTCCATTTATCCATCTTCATGTTTATTTTTCTCCTCTACTTCTTTCCTTCTATCTTTCCAACTTTTCTCTCCTTTCTGTTCTCTTTCAATTGCTTTCTTTTCTTTAAGGCAAATTCCTACTCTGTTACCCAGCAGGAGTGTAGTGGTATCATCATAGCTCATTGCAGCCTCAAACACCTGGGTTCAGGCCATCCTTCAGCCTCAGCCACTTGAGTAACTGAGACTACAGGTGCGCACCACCACTCCAGGCTAATATTTTTATTTTTAGTAGAAACAAAGTCTCACTGTGTTATCCAGGCTGATCTTGAACTTCTGGGCTCAAGTGATCCGCCCACTTCAGCCTCCCAAAGTGCTAGGGTTACAGGCATGAGCCACCACACCTGGCTATCTTTCTTTTTACCTGATGTTCTTCGCTTTCTTCCTTTTATTTTTTTCCTTGTCTTTCTTCTTTCCTTTTTTAAAATGTTCTTTTTCTGTCCCTTTATTGCTCCCCTTTGCCTCCCTTGCTTTTCCCCCAGCTTTCTATCTTTCATATTTCAGCAGAAAGTCCTTTAGCATTCTAAAACATCCCAAATCTACCAGTTGTTTTATGAACCAGTATTAGCACCTGCTATGACCAGCCAGACACTGTAAGCTCATCTAAATGTGGACAGAGAAGCTCTAAGGCTTTGGATGGAAACTAGCCAAATCGGCATGAGGTTATTATTTAATTATGCCCGGAGACTCAAATAGGAAGCCTTCTGCAAATTTTCTTGTAAATTATACAGTGGCTCCCTGCCACTGATTCTTGGCATAATATGGATTTGTTAAACTAGGTTTAGAAATCCAAATTCTTCCTCTTTTATGGGAGTTCTAGTTATCAAAAGCTACTTAAAAATACTTTCTCCCCAGCCCGCCAAAATGTCTCCAGTGAAAAATATGCAGGGGTTAAGGAGGCCACAGGCAACAGTACAAACAGTAATTGTAGTAAGTGAATTAGGAAGTGCCTACTAAACTGACTTGTTATAAGGGGTTTAGGAAATCATGAATGAGAAAATAATTCAAATATGTAAAACATAATAAAATATAAAACATTATTATAATTTTTTGGATGAGCTTCTCTACTGGGAGTGGAATTTGAAACTATTAAGATAAATGCTTTTTTCTTGAAATTGACCAAATAGAAACTCCTAAAATGCATATTTATTTATAAAAATTTAATTGTCTTAATGATATAGATAGTAATTTTTTTTGAGAAATCTAACATTACAGACTTTAATCAAAGACCTTCTTTGGTGTTCTATAATTTTTTCATACCTATGTGCTTACATATAAGTTTTACCATTGCTTACAAATTAAATACTTTGATATTATGCTAAATCATGTTACTTACAAAACGAGAGGAGTTGTCATTTCTCAGGGTTTTAGCATTTCCAAATGCTTCCAAGATAGTATTCGCTTGCATGATTTGATCTTCTAACGCCCCCTGAGACACATGCAAGAGAAGTACAGCTGATGAAACTATTAGTAGAATTCTGTAATGCGGCAAGCCCTCCATCTCCAGGTCAAACCCCATTCTTGCTTTGATAACCAATGGCCAAAAGCTGCTTCCAAATTTGGTTATATTATCTTCGAATGAGAAATCAGAAAAACAGTTGGATGACAGAGGCTAACAATATACAATACCCCTATGAATATGTGGGAGCTCGTTTATTTGCAATGCTTCTTTTTTGGTTGGCATTGGCCTGAGGGGGAAAAGCAAATGGTCACCAAATAAAAAAGAAAAACATACCAAAGCTTATTTCCAGACAAACATATCATATATTTCCCCCATCATTAATCTTCCTCTCTTCCCATCCGATCTTTGCACTTGGAAATTTATCCTAGGATAATACAACAGACTCTTGGTGTTATTAAACTATACTTTTGCTTGCTTCTTTTCCTAAGTAATCTAGAGGTTCACATGAGTAGTGACTTTTAATAGTATTGATCTTGAATTTGAATCACGTGTGCTCAGGCTGATAGGCAAAAACAGATCATCTACCTATCTACCATATCTACATGGCTTTGTTGTTTTCCAGTCAGCCTCAAAGACCAATTTTATGGGGGTAATTATGTAGTATATGGTATTTAATAATTTGTGGATTTATAAATATTATATCCCTTCTTATATCCCTACTACTATATAATATTCCCCATCTTATGGGGGGACTTATATAGTATACTGTACTCAATAATTTATGGATTTATAAATATTATATCCCTTTTCAGTAATATGGGTTTACTGTCCTTCAAATAAGTTAGAGAACATTATATATATATGAGCAAGGATTTCCATAGGAGTGTTATATTTATGTATTGTATTATATATTATCATAAAACTCAATGGCTAGACCAAACCATTTAATGCGCACCAAAAAAAAAAAAAAACCACAAACATCTAAAATGCTTGTAAAAACAAAGTTACATCTAGTGAATAAAAGAGTTCAGTGATGGCCAGGGGCGGTGGCTCACGCCTGTAATCCCAGCACTTTGGAGGCCTACGCGGGAGGATCACGAGGTCAGGAGATCGAGACCATCCTGGCTAACACAGCGAAACCCCGTCTCTACTAAAAATACAAAAAATTAGCCGGGCACGGTGGCGGGCACCTGTAGTCCCAGCTGCTCAGAAGGCTGAGGCAGGAGAATGGCGTGAACCCAGGAGGCGGAGGTTGCAGTGAGCCGAGACAGCACCACTGCAGTCCGGCCTGGGCGAAAGAGCGAGACTCCGTAAAAAAAAAAAAAAAAAAAAAAAAAAAAAGAGCTCAATGATACCCAAAGAAATCAATAATCAAATTCAGGAACGTGGTGGTAAAAAAAAGAAACTTCTATAGTTTAAAAATTAGGTCAGATGGCTATTTTAATATATTTCTTACTTTGCAAAAACAGCAAACATCCAGTATCGAATTGAAAAAAGCAAAATAATCATTCCAGACATAGAAAAATGAGAGGTCTAACAGCTCAATAACTCATTGATTTTGAGTTCCATTCAGCATTACCTGATTTTATTTTGCATACCAATGTTTATGGTCTTAGTTATCCTCAAGTTATTATGATGTCCATTAACATGTTAATGGAGCTAAACAAAGTAAGCTAAACTAAAATGAACAAGGATTTTTTTTTTAATAGGGAAGGCAAAGTTTTTCTGAATGTGGTATGTGATTAACATTGAGGGGTATATTCATTGGGCATTTAGAATTTGATCCAGGAGTTAGGTATGAATGAAGAAAAATTTTATTGGTGCATATTTGTGGGAATCTGATATCTCACAGTAGCTAAAGGGATTCAGAAATATCCAAGCCACTGATGACCCTAGCCTTTAGGTAAGATGGTTTGAATCTTGAGGACTTAACTTACAGGTCCAATAAACAAAGACCAGGCCAGAAAATGCCCCTTTAAGCAGATGTGAAATTAATTACATAATTCATGTTTTCATGTTATTGTTTGGAGCACTTGATGATCCTCTCAAGGACCAAAGGAAATATTTAAAAAAATACTTTTCTATAATTTGCAAATTGTCCTGTGGTGCTTGTGGCCTCACTTCCCAAAAGTGGTCCGGACACAACCTCCATGATCCAGTGGATAGGGCCACCTCATCTTTTCTACCAAGCTATATAAACACTTACCTGCTTTTTCCTGGATTCAATCATGGCTGCTATGGTGGCAAAATACTGGATAATATGTTTGCTGTTCACAGTCTTTCCAGCACCAGATTCTCCTCTGTGATTTGAAATTCAGTGATACAGTTAACTGGTTCTGATTATCAATGCAACGAAAGTTAGGTAATTTTGATTATATAGGCTATGGCAAGCAGGGAAGCTTTTACATAAAAGTAGAGCTTCAGATGGAACTTGAGGATATATTGACATTTAATTGGTTGGGAGAAGGGCAAGGACATTTCAGGCTGGAAAAACAGCATGAGCAAAAATCTGGAGTTAGAAAGATCACAACTTTTTGTAAATATTAGGAAGCCTGTTCCTTGTGGTCCTAATAACAAGCAGCAGGAAAGCACCTCTTCTAACTAGACAAGTCTCCTCATTACCAGCTGTTCAAGAGATTTTCATGTATGAAGGCTACCACACAGCCAAGTCCAACCCTCTTCTCAGAAGAGGGCTACCAATCACTTCACCAGGCAGTTGGGCTTTAGGCTTTACCTTACCTTTGACAACCAGCTAACTTTGCAATGTGGGAAGAGCACAGTGGCAAATTTATAGCCTCCTCAATGTAAGCATCATAGAATCAAGGCCTGCCTGCCTTTATCTATACAAAACTCCAGAAAATAGTTTATCCTGTCTGTGAAAGGCTGAACTCCCAACTGTTCATGTAGCTCTAAAATTCTGAGACCTCATGATCCCTCTTGGGATAACTGAAGCCAATGGAGAGCCCAATGTACAAGGTGGTAACACCATCATTGCATGGGAAGGTAAAGGACTTTAGCACTTCACAGCCCCTTGAGTCTCAGCCACCATGCTGACACTTTACCTGGCCAGCCAGGGCTCTTTTCATCAAAATTCACATACAATAAGATATCACTGTGACACTTCCGTCTATCCTTTTTACGCCCTTTCTTATTTCTCTAAATGTCACCATCTTTTAGTTTCCACTGCTTCATGTACTTTGACCTGCCCCAATCTGGCTGCCCACAACTGCTTGTTATCTGTTCCATGGGCATACCTATTGGACGTTCAGCCCCTCTGCTTAGCCAGTCCAGAGGCCTTTGAAGATGACCATTTGGAACAGTGTAGCTCTCTTAATCCTCAAGAAGGTAATTAAGACCAGCTTGTGCACTATTTCTAAAGGATCTCTGAAAATGAGGGAGGCAGACTAGCTGACCCCATATTTGGAGTCATCACTGACTAAAGCACTATGACAATTTCCTGAGTATCTTTTTCTTACCTCAAATGTATTGCATCTAAAGGGCAATTAATTCAAAGATGGCGAATCAAAGTTTTATTCCCAGTGAAATGGAGGTATCTATTTCACTGAAACTTACTTCAGGCCAAAAAAGAAAAACAAGGCAAACACTTACGTGAAGAGTATAGACTGATTTTCTCGATCTACAAAAGAAAGAAAAATGCCAGAATATTCTTATATTCGATATTTATGTATTAGTATGAACTTACTCAAAATTTCCCTAGCTACAATTTGAAATCAGACACAAGGGAAAGGATTAGCATCATTTATAGTTAGAAAAACATACCCCTCAAATGGTACAGGGTAAAATCGATTTTCTCTTGCCCCTATGTATGCCAATCATAAGAACATATAAAGGCCTACTTCTTTGCGCTACATATAAATGGTAACCAACTAATGATTGAGATTCTTGCCATTTTAAGCCTTTTAAGAATCGTTGTGTAATAATATCTATAGAATAACTTCTTTGTGCCAGACAATATAGAAGATGCTGTATATAATAAAGGCTAACATCTGCAGGGGGCTTACTCTGGGCCAGCCACTGGGCCGAGCACTTTAAATGCATTATCTCACTTTGATGTACAAACTAATCGGCCCAATAACCCTAGGAGGTAGGTACTATTTCACCCACATTTTATCCAGAAGGAAACAGAGGCTTCAAGTGATTAGCTAACTGTAAAGGCCATGCTCTGCTCACAATGCCTAAGTGCCTCTTAGGGACATAGAGAAAAAGTAGATCAGATATTTTTACTTTTCATTTTGTAGGGCAGCTACTCACTGTGAAGCATGTCCTGAAAGGCGTTATTGGCAACAGCAAAGATGTGAGGGGGAGCCTCTGATCGCCTCTTCCCTTTGTAGGCGGCCATGACTTCTTTCTGATACACGGGAAGCCATTTGTAAGGGTTTATGGTCACACAGAAGAGACCTGAATATGTCTGAGGGAAAATCAGAAAAGATTTCAGAAACTAGATTAGAAATACTTCCAGGTTTGTCAGCTCTTCCAGTGTCAAGTAATATTTGCTCAAATATTACTTATAAAGGAACTCAGAGGGGAGCTTTTGGAATCATGTAGAGAAGGGACTTCTAACAAGAAGAGACAGAACCAGGTTAGAGTAACATCAGGACCTGGGATTACCTTTCTCCTGGGAGACCTGCTAATTACTAACAAGTCTGACACATGAAGCTTCTGAAGACAGAGAGGACCCTGATGGCAGGACTGCAGAGATTTCAGTAACCAGCCATCAGGCATTTGAGGCCAGCGGGGACTCTGCCTCAGCAAGATTAGGGGTTTGATTTTTAGGGCACTGAGAAGGACTAGCTCATGTGGGTCACTCAGTCACTGAAGGGGTTGAATTGTCGCCCCCAAATAGATATATTTATGTCCTATTCTCCAGAGCCTGTGAATGTGATCTTATTTGGAAAAAATAGTCTTTACAAATGTAATTACAGGTTAAGGGTCTCAAGATGATGACATCCAGGTGGGTCTTGAATCCAATAACTTGTGTTCTTATAAGAGACACACAGAGGAGAAGGTGATGTGACAATGCAGGCAGAGACTGGAGTGATACAACCAAAAGGAATGCTAGAGCCGCTAGAAGCTGGAAGAGACAAGGAAGGATTCTCCCCAAGAGCCTCCAGAGGGAGTGCAGCCCTGCTGATTGGATTTGATTTTGGACTTCTGGCCTCCAGCATTGTAAGAGAATAATTTCTGTTGTTTTAAGCCACCCAGCTTGTGGTAGTTTTGTTACAGCATCCCAGGGAAACTAATACAGTTACATGGTAAATCAGAAAGCTGAGGAGCAAGCTGGTTGCATGCCATGGCTCCTATGGCCATGGGTCCCAGATGCTACATCTTAGCTTAATCTACTCAGCACTGTTTCTGCTGCATAGGTTTTGAGTAAGTCAAAGAACTTGAGCAACCAACCATCATCAATTTAAAGATGATGAAGAAATCATCTCACTCATTAATCACTAACTAGGTGACATGCATTGAACTACGTGCTTTACCTACATTCTTTTATTTAATCCCCCAAGCTCCCATGGAAAGGCAGACATTGTTATCCCACTTTATAGATAAGGCAACTTCAAGAAGTTAGGAAACTTAACAACTAGTAAGTGACAGGGCTGGTGGCTACTCTGTCAGGCTCTAAGCCTCATGCTTTTAACTAAGGATGACCTGTGGGAAGGCATATGAATGTTGACAAAATAAAATTGGGGAAATGCTAAGATAAGGTCCCTTCCCAGTAGACATTGCTCAAGGACTATCCCTGTGCGAGCATGCTTAAACTCAATGTAAGAGATCACCCAGGAGAGATTGGGACATGCAATGTGACTGCCAACATGACAGTTTAGCAGGAAAGCATATTACACACATAGATCATCCACTGGCCATAGCGCCGCTTCAGGGTATGCAGCACGGATGCCTCATTGAGGTGAGTCAGCATTGCCATGTCTTCAATCATTTCAAACTCTGGAGGATTCATCTGCTGGATTTTGTCCTCCTTTATGCTCAGACTCTGCAGAGAGAAGAAAAATATATGATATATTCCCCTGTCTCCTATGCGTATTCATTTTCCCATGAATTAGAAAGAATATTCAGACTCAAAAAGAAAAAATGATGCCTCATTAGGGGATGGGGCCAGAAGAAATTAAGCCAGCCTTCATGGAAAAAAACAGGTGTTCTCCCTGAAAAAGCCCTCTCCTTCCCTAAAGATGAAGTAAACATAGTATTTTTGTTATATCAAGATTTTCTATCATGCAGTACCCTAATCTTATGGCTTCTGGCTAGCCCTGATTCCCTCTAAGAGTACATGGATCATATTATGTACAATCTAACCCCTAACTCCCAGCCCTTGATGTCCCAACACACCTTGGAGATTTAAAAGAAGAAACTTAGAGTGGAGGATTAAGGAGGCAGACCTTATCCTTCCAGACCTAGTTCAAAACCTGTCTCCTCCCTCAAACCTTCCCAACTACTCCAGCTTATTAGTTTGTCCTCTTCTGTTAAGTCTTACCATTTGTACTATCTTTACATTAATACTCTTTTGTATATTTTAATAATTGACTATGTTAGACTATTTTCTGGCTAGATTATAAATACCTTAAGAAGGATTTTTGATGTTGTCTTCTTTAATGAAGTTCAAAAACTTGCAATGCATGTTCATTTTTGATGTTGTTGTCATAATAACTATAGTTATTAAATATAGTTATTAAAGCACCTATCACAATGCTTGGGATATAATAAATAATCAATAAATATTAATATATTGATTAATATGGATGCATTTCTACTATCAAAGTTTCTTGGGATTCTTCTCACAGGTTTCCTAACACCCTTTCTATAGCCCTTTTCCATGATTAATACATATTTGTGTCAACTGATTGCCCCATTTAATCCCAGTTGGTGATGGCTTCTTTCCAAGGCTCTCACACTCTTTACATTCTTGATTCAATTTCTATCCATCTGTCTTCTTTGACATTGTTCTAACAGTAATCCCTCTTCTTTTGAGTCCCTTCACTTTCTGTATTTCAAGGACTCATCTCCCCTCAAACCCATGCAGAACGTAAACATATCTCATACATCTTCAAAAACCTCCCCTTTTCCCTAATTCTATTTTTCTATTTTTTTCATTTCCAACTTTCATCAATAAGTAGTACTTTACACCCACTAGATTTATTGCCTTTGCTAATGTTACAAAGACCATTGTAACATTGTGATTGGAAGTGTAGTCACTTCTAACATGAGGAAGAGGAATCCTGGAGCCAGGGAGATAGTGAAGCTGGGGGAATGGGACCTTCATTACATCAAAGAAGGACAAGCAGGACAAAATAAACCACCTTCAGACTCTTCTTTCTACCTGCATTAATGGCCTTTTCTTCCTATGGTTGTAACCACATTATAGTCACAAATCACCTTAAGTGCTGTTGAAGGGACAGTAGTTTGTTTTGGAGAATGTGCTCAGAAGAGCAAGCCTCACATCTGGAGGCCTAATAAAATTTAGTTGGTCATCATTAAGAAAATGAAAAAATACATAGACTGAGAGAAAATATGTACAAATAATACATGTGGTAAGGGATTTGCAACCAGAAAGTAAAAAGAACTCTTACAACTGAATAATGAAGAGGCAATAGCCCAATTTAAAAAAATGGGCAAAGAGCTTGAATAGACATTTCTCTGAAGGAGATAAACAAATGGCCAATATGTACATGAAAAGATGCTCAACATCATTAGTCACTGGGGAAATGCAAATAAAAATCACATTAAAATACCACTTCATGCCCAATAGAATGGCTGTAATCAAAAAGAAAATAAAATGTGTTAGTAAGGATGTGGAGAGAGTTTAATTCTTATATGTTGCTGGTGGAAACGTAAAATGGTAGCCACTTTGGAAAGCAGTATGGAAATTTCTCAAAATGCTTAGTATAGAGTTACTATATGATCCAGCAATACACTCCTAGCTATACACCCAAGAGAAATGAAAACATGTGTCCCCACAAAAACTTGCACATGCATGTTCATAGAAACATTATTCATAATAGACAGAGCATACAAACAACCCAGTGACAATCAACTGATGAATGGATGAACAACATGGTATATCCATATAATGGAATACTATTTATCCATAAAAAGGAATGAAATATTTATTCATGTGACAATGTGAGTGAACCTCAAAAACATTATGCTTAGTGAAAGAAGCCAGAAACAAAAGGCCACCAATTATATGCTCCTATTTATCTGAAATTGCTAGAATAGGCAAATCTATAGAGTTAGAAAGTAGATCAGTGATTGCCTGGGGCTAGTGCAGGAGGAAAGAAGGGGGAGTGACTGCTAATGGGCACAAGATTTCTTTGGGGGATCTTTTCTAATAAAATATTGTCCCAAGGCTAAGTGACCCTGATTGAGTCTATTTCTTAGTTTACTGATTTAGGACTAAGGAAAATTTCTTGCTGAATTTTCCCTTGTCCACCTATTTATGTTCCAGTTAAAAAGCACCAAGTTCTTTTCTTAATTTCCTGAAGAGTTAAATAACATCTACCTAATTTGAGATTTTTTTACGTAACAGATATTGACTGTCAGGAAGACATATGAAAGCATTCTATGTGGTAGTTTATGAGTGGCTTCCAGAATTTTAAAAATCAGATGGCAACATGTTAGATCGTAAATTGCCTAAAAACAAAGATAGCATTAAAAAGACAAACTTTCTCGATATCAATAATATCTGTTTGTTACAGGATGTGGCTTGTTATGGATTTGGGAAAAGGAAGAATTTAAAGGAGTTTAGAGAAGTGAATATTGGCAGGGAATCATCTGTAAAATCTATAAGGAAGAGTTCATTTAAGTAGGACAGAAATGGGGCCCGGCTTACACCACGGGGTGGCAGGTAATGTGAAGTCAGCAATGTAGGCAAAGGTTCTGAGAGTGAGCTGTCTTCTCAATGTTACCCTGCTGCTCTGAATGCCTTGGTGGCAGGGAGAAGGGGCTGGCGGGTATTATGGCTTCACTACACATTTCTTCTGTGAACCTTACAGTCTAGCTTGTACCCCAACACTTGATATAACCTTTTCTTACAAAGGTCATAGATGACCTCCTAATTCTGAAATCCAAGACTTTCTCCAACTCTTAATCTTCTTCTGTGGCATTTGTCATTACTGGCCATTCCCCCATCTCTTGGCTTCTGTGACACTATGCCATTTTTACTCAAATTATACATCTCATTCTTGATCCTACAAACACAGCTTGCTTCGTGGTTCCTTAAGTCATTATTCACCCCACAGGATACCTTTTTTTAAAAATACTGACTTGAAACATTGATGAAAAAGTAGAAATGGCTGTGAGTTCTAGTCAATAATCCTTGCCACTGGCAATTGTTTTACTCTGATTTATTCACTGTTCTTCATTAAATCTTTGATGGTAAGTGGAGTTTTTTTGTTTGTTTGTTTGTTTTTGGTGACAGGATCTCACTCTGGTTGCCCAGGAGTGCAGTGATGTGATCTCTGCTCACTGCAACCTCGACCTCCCCAGACTCAGGTGATCCTCCCACCTCAGCCTTCCAAGTAGCTGGGACTACAAGCATGTACCACCACGACTGGTTTATTTTTGTATTTTTTGTAGATACAGGATTTTGCCATGTTGCCCAGGCTGCTCTCAAACTCCTGGGCTCAAGCAATCTGCCTGCCTCGGCCTCCCAAAATGCTGAGATTACAGGCATGAGCCATTGTGCCCACTGACTTAAGGAGGAGCTTCTTAAAATGAATGACTCCGAAGTGAGTCAGTGGCATCTCCTACCCCAGATCTTTAATTAAAATATTATAGAAATAATATATTTAGTTATTTGATAGAGAACATAGTCATCACTGCAATGAAATAAAAATTTCTTTACCTCTCCATCTGCTGTCTCAACAATTACTGTTCCATCATCTTCACTCCCTTTTACCTCAGCCTCGATATAAGCATTCTCACCATCAGGAATCCAGCATTTCTTCTTCCCTGTAGAGCAAAAAAAAAAAAAAATGGATTATAGCTATAGTACTTACAGAAATACATACTGGACACTTTCATACTGATAGATCTAATCTCATTTCTGCTAAATCAGCTTGTTGACTACAGGAACTTGCAAAGTCAGATAAAATCATGAAAGCTCATTCTGAAGATACACTCACTCACATAATGGCACTACAGGAACAAGAAACATCTCAGCAAGCAGCAGCTTGGGGGCACCATAGACCATTTTGCTACAAGAAAGTTACCTCCCAACACCCCTCCCAACCCCAACACTTTCCTCCACTCACACCCCAGGACTTTGGTGGTTGCCCTGGTGCTTGCACCCCTTCCAGATTCCCTCCCCCGAGAAAACTCATTCAGAAAAAGTCTGGGAACAACTAAGTGAAAATTTAGATTAATGGTTATGTTCTTCAGGGTTTCTTTAGACCTTATTTCTAATCTTGGAATGGAAATCAGCTAAGTGAATTACATGGTGGAATTGGCAGGGGGGCAGGTTGAGGAGAGAGAATATGGGTTGTTTTTGTTAAACAACATAACCGGCTCATATTATTTCCCCCAATATGTTATTTTTCTCTCTTCAGCGTCCTCAGTTCCTATACCCCATCCCTAAGCAAAGTAGCCCTCCATAAACTGATTAACCAACAAGAGGTCTGGGGTGAAATGAGCCAGAACTCTTATGAACACCTGAGGCAGCTTCTCTTTCTCTCCCAGTTGAAGCAGATAGACAGTGATGATGAATAAAAAATATGATTTTAAGGGCCTGGGTGCAGTGGCTCATGTTCATAATTCCAGAACTTTGGGAGGCCAAGGTGAGAGGATCTCTTGACCCCAGGAGTTCAAGACTAGCCTGGGCAACATAGCAAGACCCTTTACTCCCCCAGTCCTGTCTCTACAAAAAACAAATAAGGCAGGGCACAGTGGCTCACGCCTGTAATCCCAACACTTTGGGAGGCTGAGGCGGGCAGATCACGAGGTCAGGAGTTCGAGACCAGCCTGGCCAACATGGTGAAACCCCATTTCTACTAAAAATACAAAAATTAGCTGGGCATGGTGGCGTGTGCCTGTAATCCCAGCTACTCAGGAGGCTGAGGCAGGAGAATCACTTGAACCAGAGAGTCGGAGGTTGCAGTGAGCCGAGATCGTGCCATTGCACTCCAGCCTGGGTGACAGAGTGATACTCTATCTCAAAAATAAAAAATAAAGAAATAAAAATTAACCAGGTGTGATGGTGCATGACTGTAATCTTAGCTATTCAGGAGGCTGAATGGGGAAGATCACTTGAACCCAGGAGTTGGCTCATTTTCTTTTAAAAGCATATTATATATATGTGTGTCTATGTATGTATATGCAATATATCATACTTTCCTTTTAAAGGAAAATGAATATATATATATATATATATATATATATATATATATATATATATATATATACACATATGAAAATGAGCCTTAGTAGAAGCTCACAGAAGTCCCCAGGTCACAGCTACTCAGGTACATGGGGAAAGCCTTTGGCTGAAGGAGGGAAAATGTTAGCCAATGGCTAGGGAAGACACAGGTGAAAACCCCACTATAACCACAGCACTAACAGGTAATGCGAACTCAGTCACCAACCATCACCTCCAATATATGAGTCACAAAAGCTAGAGAGGGCTCACTGCCGCAGGACAGGTGGTCCTTATTTCCCAGAGGAAGGCAATAAGACTGGGGAAGGAGTGTGTACAAAGGAGCTGAAGTTGGGCACCATTTGCCCCTTCTTCCACCATGCTTGTTTCTGCAAAGAATTTGGTTGCTCACGACTTTCTTGCTATCAGTGCTGCCTTCTTCGTTTCCCTGATTACAAACAATTCACCACTAAAACTGCTTGGCAAGAGGAGTTTATGTTCCCATCTAGCTGATTGTGCATTTGCTTTCTACTTATCATTTGTGTTTTAAATACTGGCTTTGCATTGTATTCATTATTTTGGTCCCTTTTTGCAAAAACTGATTTTGCTTTGTGTTATGTCTATGAAAATATGCTTGTTTTTGAAAAGCACCCAGTTAGCATACATTTTGTGTGTGTGTTTAAGGTAAAATGCTCTGCATTTTAAACCAAATGTTATCACTTGAAAGAAACTTGAAGGTCACCTGGCACAGTCTCTCTCCCTCTGTCTCTCTTTCTCTTTCTTTTTAGAAAAAGAACCTTGGGAGAGAGATGAAGAGAGTTGCCCATAGTCACATAGCTAATTAGTGGCAGTCACTACAATAATGACTCTAGAAATGAGATCATCCACCTCCTGAATCAGTGCTCCTGCATTACAGCCTGCCTCCTCTAACACATTCTTAGCTTTTTCTCCTCCAATTCTTCTCTCCAGGAGTAGGCTCACCACCTGCCTCATGATGAAGTCTCTCTCTTACCACCCCTGGAAACACTTAGTGGGGAATAAAAATTATCAGAAATCCTTTCTCATAGGAGACCCAAACCCTGACAGGGACATTTTAAAAAATGAAGTAAATGAACTCTGTCAATTTTAATTCCTGGTGTTCATGAATAATGCAGAGCTGGAAATGTAGATAGCAATGGATTTGAGGGAGGCAGCCAGGATTTTAACACTGGCTTTGCTGGTAAAAAGATATAAAGCCACATGACTTCATCTCTTTTGGCCTTCGTATTCTCATCTGTAAAGTAGGCCTTTTTCTATATGATTCCATTTTTTAGACAATTAAATATCTTTTCCAATATAAAGCTAATATGTGCTTATTGAAGAAAACTTGAAGAATAATGTATGAAGAAAAGAATGTTTTTAATCACCCATAATCAAACAACTCAGAGATAACCACTGTTATGTATTGAAGCATTTCTTTTGAATCTTTTTTCTAGGATATTGATTAAAACAGGGGTAATACTATATTCAGTCTTATAGTTATTTTAAATAGATCGCTTACATGTTCTAATATAAGAATTATTTACATTTGGCTTTCGAATGGTGTTTTGTCCTAGCTCTACAACCACCTGGGCTTCTTCACTGTCACCCAGGAATTCTAGTTTTCCTTCTCGGGTATCATAATAATGCATTATATTTATTTTTCACATTTATAGTCTCATTTGGTCCCCACAGCAATGGAGGAAGGCAGACCGGACAAGTATTATTATCTCCTTTGATACATGAGGAAACCAGGGCTCAATAAAGTGAAGTGATTTGCTCTAATTACCCAGCCAGAGATGGTCAAGGACAGGGAATTTGATCCCAAGACTACCTGCTAAATACTCGTCATCACACTACTTCCATTTGACCCGAGTTCAAAAAAGCAAACTCCATTGTCTACCAGCCTGGGAAGATGAACAACTTTTGCTAACACTTGTCTCTGCTGCCAGTGCATTTCTATGAGGAAGGATTGTTTGGTCCAAAAAATTAACAGGAAATTATGTAGATTGCTATGTTTTAAGTAATTATTTATGGTGCTGATTTTAATAAATGCATCATCCAATTATCTCTAATGCTTAGGCTCAATTTTTTTTTCTTCCTGGCATCACTATTATCTTGTCCTCCATTATCTAACTACCTGCGATAAGCCTCTGCATGACCAGTTCTGACCTCAGGGATAGTTCTGTTATCGTATTTGATTTGATGGATTATAATTAGCCTAAAATCCAATCACAGTCATGAATCCAATGACTGGAAACTGGGAACTGATCCAGGACTGGTCTGTGATGGAAATATAATATCCTCCATAACTGGCTTGAATTATAATTGGTCATATTAAAGTCTAATGTTGACTAATTCTGAATACTAGAACGACATTCAGCCAGTCCTTATGTTGCACTGCTGAATAATTTTGGATTAAGACATGTAGGTAGCTTCATGTTATATCATACTGTGAATCTGATTTCTAAATCTCCAATTAGCTGAAATTCAACACAGACATGTAAAGGTAGCAGGAAAAAGAATAACATTTATTTAGAGATTTCAATGTAGAACTTAGCCTTTTTTTTTTAAGGCTAAATCCTCATTAACCTTTGTCCTTGCCTGTAACTACCAAGGAATTATGAATCAGGGTGAGCAAGTCTCCTAATTACCTTTTGCTTAGTGTTGGCTGAGTGACCCTGCTGACCTAGAAGACCGCTAGAGGCAAGGCTCCAACATCAAAAAATTCTGGAGAGCCAGAGACAACTTCAAAGTCTGCAGCCTTACCAGAGTCTTTCCCTTTCTTCTTCCCCACAATGTACAAACCCCACCCACCAGTCTAAGTCACAGGCCCCTCTCTCTACTGTGGCATTCACTGATAACTAAGAGGTTTCTAGGAAAGGCTTTGTCTGGCCATTCCTGCAGGTGTCTGTGTTACAACAGGGGCTCCTTGAAGAGAAAATCTGTCTTAGGATCAAGTGTGTAGGGCCCGGGCCTAGACTGCCTCCCAGCCACCCTCCTCTTCTGTGGGTACTTCCATTCCTACCCTGGATACTCAGAGGCCCTCAATTGCTCAGTTTCCTAGAGGCTGATCATACCCTAAGCAAATAAGTTAGGCTCTAGAACTGATGGCTCTTCTCTGTCAATCAAATATCTTAGTCACCATCTTGAAGGAGCAAAATAAAGTGAAGCCAGCAACCACCACATGTCTCACCATCCAAGGCTGTGGCCTGTAGTAGAAGCAGCTCAGCTTCACTTCTTCTGAGGAAGGCTGCGGCTTCTCCAAGGTCTGACAGATCCATCTTTATTAAAGCAATCCACCAAAAAAAGGCCCTAAACGTGAGTAGGCAAGATTCAACCTGAAAAAAAAAAATTGATACAGAGAAGAAAAAAGTGGAAATAAGGCATCAAGCTCTAAATGAGCAACCATTCACATAGATAGACTAAAGAGTGTTAAGTTTTCCTGTAACTACCTGTGCCCCTTCTTTCTCTTCGCTATGTCTCAAATTTATACAAAATTGGACTCAAGAATATCTGACTCTAGCAGGGCTGACTTACCCACTAGACATAGAAGGCACAGTGCCTGAGGCCCACAATGCTTTTAGGGGCCCATGAAAATGTTTAATTTATTTTTAAATCAGAAGAAAAATATAAAAGTAATATGAATGATACATATTAATGAACAGAGCCTGGATTATATTCATCTTTAGGCCAACACAGTTATGAAATCTGATTTTTAATATTTTTTTGTGGAGAAATGGTCCTTAAAAGACAGAAGTGCCTGTAGTCAGTGAAAGTCATAATGCCACCCTGCGCCATGGAGTTCTGACAGGTGGTAGGATATTCCAGATGGAGAAACATCAAGTTGCGGACACTAGGCCTTTGATAGGCGTGGAGGGGGGTTTCGAGGTATCTAATTACCCCCAAGCAGACAGACCGTTATAGACAGAGTATGGTTACAAAGAGAAGTGATTCAGATAAATGTTCAGTAATAGACAGTAAAGGGATAAAAAGATAAGTATCTTGGCAGAGATAAGTGTCTGGGAGCAAATGATTTACAAAAATACAGGCACAGCTGGGCATTTGGGAGGCCTGGCCAAGAGCAGTAATGAAGAAGCCCAGGCTGAAGGTGGCAAGCAGGTTACATGGTGATGTGAGTGAAGCTGGAATAAATAAAGAAGTTCATTGGCTCAAGCAAGGCAAGTATCAGTCTTAGAGGGACTAAGTTGCTGGACAAATTACCAAGGCTGAAGTCACTGAGCACCCACTGTATACCAAACACTGGACATAGTTTATCTTTAATTTTCACACTTTACATTTGATAACAGGGAGAAGAAGAAATGGAAACTGGGCCTTCATGATCTTAAATGAGAAGCTATTCTCTCTATTTGGACAAAAAAAGTCTTCCTCTTCACTCAAGCATGCAAGGCAAGTGTTACTCATCACATTTATAGGTAAGAAGGTAGAGAAGGACTTGCCAAGTTTGCTTAGCTCAGGTGCTGTCTTTGAGGACAGATCAGCACCCACTTCAGAATGAACTGTAATCACTTACTATCTTGCAATGAACAAATCCAATAAACTAATGTATTTTACTGCACTTAATCTGCTCTCTTCTTTGTGGTGGCTTGGATAGGTATAGTGATACCACTTGTAGGATCTAGTTTAAAGGAGTATGATTTAAAGCAAAGCCTACTGGTTCAGGCTAAGAGTTAGTTTTATTTCTGCCAGCAAATAGGCATGTGACTTGTGGGAAATCACTTAGTCCCTGTAGATGCATTTTCCTCACCTATGTAATGCAAGGACTAGTCTTAATGTATAGGAACATTTCCTAAAGTGGAGAGAAGAAAAGATGCTCAAGAGAAACAACATAAATGATGGCCCTCCAGAGATGCGACTGAAGGCAGCATTTCTCAGGGAAAAAGACAAAACTGATTTTTCTGCGGGTGAGCATTCAGATTCAGGTTTTGTAATCATTATAACAGCAATAACATTGTTAGACATCTGAATATAGAAGAACTCAAGGTAAAGGAAAGCTCTGAAAATAAGGCAGAGAAATTTAGAAATAGATGGTAGGAAACATCATCAACTCTGTGGGCAGGAACATGAGGAAAGCAGTATTTTGGGAAAATGGCTCTGGTGGCATATTCTGGGTAGATGAGGATGAGGAAAAGCTGTAGTCAGGGAGACAAGTTGTGAGTCTGGATTTGTCTGGGTCCTCCTCCTCTCTGTATGTGTGACTTCCTAGTGGCTTGCACTCAGTAGACAGTAGAGCTTGGGAAGTATATTTGGAATATAAAAGATATCCATTAATACATGTGTGTACAAACTTCCTGAAACATACCTAAGAAATGGATGTCTGTCTGAGTAGTGAGAGAAGGAGATGGGTGGGAGAAGGAGAGAACTACCTTTCATTTCATTCCATTCTAGTCTGTCAATGTGTGCCATGTGCTTATATTTCATAATTAACAGATTTTTTACAAGTAGTTCTTATTATAACATCAGAGATGAAAAGATCACAGCAAAACAGAGCACACAGCTGTGTAACTCTCCTTCCAAGTCTGGAGCATTTAACATATTTAAAGGTGTACAAAGAACAGAATGTGTAGGAGCAGGCACTGGAAAGTAGGAAACATTAGGTGCCAGGAGTGGGGCGGGCCTGGCAACCATTTGGAGATAGGTAACTGAAGCCAAGAGAATGATTCACCTGAGCAAAAAAAGGATCGAAATCCTTCTATCTCCTTGGCCCCATCCAGCTTCCATTAACCCCCTAATGTCCTACTGACCTCTGGGTCCCTTTAGGTTCCAGTTGCACATATGGCTTTACAATTTTATAGAATAACACACTTGTCACAGCCCAGTCCTAGCAACATCTTAAAATAGAAAATGAAAGAGCCCGAATGCCCAAAAGAAGTAAACAAATTAACCTTGCCAGCAAAAGAATCAGGAAGCTATATTTTGTGAATGACAGAGAAACACAGATGAGTATAGAACTGAAGGTAATTCTCTTAGAGGAAAAGTTCATCTACATGTTGAAAGGAAATTATATTTGAGACTGGTATACTCACACATGTTTATCGGAGAATTCTGACACCATGATAAACAAACTTGTATCTGATACTGCATATATTTACAAGACAGAAGAGAGCAGGGGGCAGCACTGGAATCCTGGAAGGAGAATAGGAAAGGATAGGGCAGACGGGCTGCATGCACAATGCTGGGAGTACCTCACTTCTAGGACCTAGCTCTGCCTTTGAACATTCAGGAGCTTGATTTATCAATACATACTGATTAGGTTCTGGGAATCACATAACTATGCTCAGAAGTGTGCATACAATTCATCACCCAAACCTGGACCTATTTTTTCTTACTGGGATTTTTAAGAGGGGATGCCATTAATATTTAAATCAGGACAACAAACTTAATCTAAGACTGACCCAAGTGAATAGGGACATATGGACACTCCACTAATAAGAGAATTGAGGACTTGAGATGGCAATTTCTAAACTGACAATGAATGTACACATTTTCCATAACTGCAAAGTCCAGGTTACTTGTCTGCATGATCCACAGGGCACATAGACAACGTCATCACTATCAGAAGGTTGGATTCGGAGAAAGACATTAGATCATCATGTACATGACATAATTCAGTTTGTAACACAGCAAAATAATGCATCCTGTTCTGTTCTAGAGTTCACCTTTACAGGGACTGAGCACCATATAAGCCATCCGTATCCTGTTTATATTGATACGGCACAATTTCCAGGTGTATCTTAGTTACCAGTTGATAAAGTAAAGACAAAGAATGGGAAGCCCTTACTGGGAAGGGAGAGCTGAGATGTAAGCTTTTCCTCTTAGCCAAGAAAGAATCATGTTGGTCTGACCTAGCTGCCTTTCATAAAAAATATGTTTGAACAGCTGCCAGCTGAGACAAGTCACGAGCCCAGATGACCAACCATCCCTGTCTTCCCGGAACTGAGGTATTTCCCAGGGCTTGAGATTTTCAGTGTGAAAACCAGAAAAGTCCCAGGAAAACTAGAACAAGTTGGTCAACCTACTTTTAAGTGTAGTGCCTGTAGTTCTTTTAGAAATTCAGTCACAATTTTGGAAATTAGCTATTTTTATACTGGTTGTATTTCTGCAGCTATCCCCCTCTCCCTCCTCAGGTATTTTGCAAACACCTTTTTTGAAAACGTCCTTTTCAAATATACGTTTGAATATATTCATGCAATATATATGTATTGCCCATCTGTAATTGCCCATGTTAGGCCCAGGGGTACAATAATGGGCAGAATAAATACTGTGCCCTCTTGGAGTAATAGATTTGAATAGGGATAGAAGTTTCTTCTGTCTTGAATTATTATGCATTAGACAAATCTGTAGAGAGAAATTTTCACACTTTGGGGTGGGGGGGTGGAGCTGGTCATATGGCAAAGTTCAGAAAAGAAGCCCAGAGGGGGACTGTAGCAGTGAAGGGAAGAGGTAAGCTTATACAGCCACGACTCCTAACTCACTAGTCTGAATGGAAACTGTAGGCAGAGTTATGTTTTCTTAAGATGAGAAAACACGTTCCTCACATTATTGTTTCACAGGCTCTTTCACTGTCTCATTCTCTGCCCACCATTCCAATGGAAGGGTCTCATCCTGGAGCCTCCTAATCCCCTAGGATAGAACCCTTGGAGGCATCTCTAATTTTCCTTCTATCTCATGCCACATTCAATTCATCGTCAACTTTTATTGATAATTAATTTTATTGATAATTAATTGTATAATTACCAGTTCTTATCCACTTTTAGACGACACAGTTTGGAGTGCCTGTTGAGCCCACACTCCTATTAGAAGTGCCTGCTCTCATCCACAGGAATGAGCCGCAAGTAGCCATGTCTGTAAGGTGACACTGGTGTCCTGGCCCAACTTATAAACCAGGCTTCAGTATCTGATCTGGGACAATCAGAGACAATCAGGGTATCCCCCTGGAATACAGATTTGGGATTTAGATGCCACTCTCCATCTGGGCTCTTTGCTTGAATGGAGTGATGCAAACTTGAGGGTTGAGGTTGGCATTGTGGTGTGGTCACATGGTGCCACATGCACGCTAATCAGCAAAAGCATCCATAGAGAGGGAGTCACAGGGATGAGGAGAAGCAGCAATAAGGGACCAAAGGAAGAGAGAGATCACTTTCTTATATCTCAAAGACCCTTCCTGGTAACAGTACCTCCTGAGACCTATATTTAATTTCTGCCTTTGATTTCCATAAGCGCTCTCAATGACCTTCCAGTACATTCTAATTTCTTTCCCAACTTTAAATAATCTGAAGTGAGTTTTTGTTATTTGCCATCAAAATATCCTTAACTAACGCATTATGTCTCAGTCTCTGTCCCAACAAAGTTTCTTAGTTTCTCTCCTAAGATGATGTGAAGATTGTGTATAAAACTCAGCACATTGTCTGGTGCATAGTAAAACCTCAATCACTGTTAACTGTTCTTTTTACTATTCAACAAGCATTTATGCAGTCTTTGCACACTGTGCTAAATATGTAAGACAGTAGCTTTGCTTTCCAAATTGCTTATTGAATCTGAGATGTGCAAAATCATAATGGAGGATGGTACCATGGGGAAGTAAAGAGGGAAATTCACATAGTGGCAGCTACTAGCTGAGTAGATGGAGGTGAGACAAGGGAATTGTCTATTTAGATGGTGATCGCTCCTGAAAGGTCACACTTTCTAGTCTTCTTACTGCTGACCACAGTAAATCTATCACTCAGCACTCATCTCTTTCAATCAGAGCTAGACAATAAATATGGGGATGAGGGGGTGCAGAAATTCATTTCACCTTGGCATTTCAGTGCCTTAACTATAAGCAGAAACTCAAATGATGCCTATGAAGTAAATTGTTAAAAGAGTTAAACTCTTTTCATGTTAGCAGTCCTGACACATTTTTAAGTCGGTTTCATCATAATTGATTAGATTCGCTTGAGTTCTTCATCAAGGTACGTTATTATGCATGTTTACTTTCAAAGCCTTCTACTGCTGGGAAGCCATGATGCAAGTAATAAGAACAAATATTAATATTCCTTTGAGTAAACAAACACTAAGCATCTTTTGACATAGCCTCTTCCATTATTAAAATTGGAGACAATGCCTGAAAATGAGAATGGATTTATCTAGATGTCAACAGCTGAAGGGAAGAATTATCAAGCACTTAAATGATCCCAAACAAGCTGAAACATATGTCTTAAGGCAGTAAATGAAACACATTTGAGTTACAAGGCCCAGTGAATGCCACAAATCTGGGGAAATGCTGCAAGATGCTCCTAATTAGGGACACTACTAGGTAGACAAATGATGCTGCTGCTTCCTAGTATTCATGCTGCTGGGATAATCATGTTATGTGCCTTAACTGAGCAAGGTTTCCTCCATAGAAAATCTTAAGTGGTTAGTCTTTAGGCACACATCTACCACCCCTTAACCAGCTACGCTACCTGCAATTTATTTATTTATACGCAGCTTATTTCTCTACAAAAGCAGGGGTTTAGGCAGGTTTATCTTCTTCAAAGAGGAATGTTAAACGGTTGAATTACAAATCAAGAGTATTGCACAAATTATTGATTATTTAAAGCATTTACTTCAAAGGGTGATTATTATTACAGCTATAGGTCTCCAGGCAATGGAGTTTACACTCCTAGATTCTGCTCCCCGCTCCCCTCCCACTGGGATGTGGCTTTTCCTCCCATCCCTCCACAGAAACTGTTCTTTCTAATGATCTCCTGAAGAGAAATCCTAATTGTGTGCTTTTCAGTCTCTAATCCTACTCAACCTCTCTGCAGCATTTGACACTCCCTGGTTGCTGGGGTCCCTTCTTCCTTTTCTTCTCTTTCCCAGTTGTTCATTTACTAATCAAAGGTCCATCCACAATACAAATTGTGAGTATCATTGACATTTCTCTTTTGCTCCCTCTTTTCACTAGTTTCTATCTCCCAGCGTTTGCTGGCTCTTTAATCCTTTCAGAACTACCTTCTCCTACACTTTACTACCTCCCAATCTCTGATCAAAATGCTGGATCTCTGCACTGAGCTATTCGCTATTGATCCAGAGAAGAACTTCTGATTAATTTTTTTTTTGAGACGGAATTTTGCTCTTGTTGCCCAGGCTGGAGTGCAATGGTGCAATCTCGGCTCACCGCAACCTCTGACTCCCGGGTTCAAGTGATTCTCCTGCCTCAGCCTCCCAAGTACCTGGGATTACAGGTGCCCAACACCATGAATGGCTAATTTTTGTATTTTTAGTAGGAATGGGGTTTCACCATGTTGGCCAGGCTGGTCTTGAACTCCTGACTTCAAGTGATCCACCCACCTCGACTTCCCAAAGTGCTGGGATTACAGGTACCCACCACCATGCATGGCTAATTTTTGTATTTTTAGTAGGAATGGGGTTTCACCATGTTGGCCAGGCTGGTCTTGAACTCCTGACCTCAAGTGATCCACCCACCTCGACTTCCCAAAGTGCTGGGATTACAGGTGTGAGCCACCGCACCCGGCCACCTTCTGATTAAATTCTGTCATGCATTCATTTTAAAGTATGTCCTCTTAGGATCTGTGGATTAAAAGAGTAATAAGACCTCAAGAAGTTTCCACTCTAATGGACATGGACAACAGAGATATAATCAGTGACTATAATTCAGTATGATAAATGCTAGGTGCTAGGATAGAGCAATGTACAGGGCCATACAGGTCAAGGAGGCATAACGCTCTCATCTACATTTGTATTTTTAAGAATAACAGTTTACAACTTAAAGGAAGGAATCTCAAACATCCCTGAAATGATACCTTTGGAAACAGTGCCAATATACTATTTAATAAAAGCAAATCTGAGTTCTGAGTGTGTATCACACACCAGGAACTAGGTTAAGTGTTTTATACATAATAACTCTTTTAACTTTACAGTAGCTCTATGAAGGATATATGTAATAACCTTTATTATATGAAAACACTGAGTCTCAGAGAACTAGCAAGTGTTATCTCTAGTTTTAAATCCAGATACATTAAAGTCATTCTTGTTTCCTACTTTGTTCACCTTTACATCCAATCAATTGCCAAGCTCTGCTGACTCTTTCTAAATATCACTCAAAACCATCTCCATCTTTCCATCACCCCTGCCAACATCTGGATCAAGGCCATCATCATTTTTCTGGGGGCGTATTGCTGTATTCTCTCAGTCTCCCGACAGCAGCCAATCCAGAATGAGGCCCCCAAGTAGAGAAACACAGTTACTGTACTATCTTATTTAAAATCATTCCGCATCCTATGATAAAAGCCCAACATGTTAACAGAGCCTATAGAGCTCTCCATCCTCTTGCTTGACTGACACCCACACCTCATCTCTCTTGCTGTCTCATCCCCAGGCCTGACCTGGCTGGGGCACTACTAGTAGATGCCAACAGCACTCTCTGACCTCTGGGTGTTCACACGTCATGTGACCCCTGCCGGGAACATTCAGCCCTGTCCCTCATCTGGCTAATTCTTAATCATCCTTTGGGTCTTCAGTAAGCAACATTTCTACAAGAAGGTATTCTCTAGGTTCGTTCTGTCAGCTAGATGTGTTCTTAGATTTCTTTGCTACTTGCATCATGATAATTTTCATCCTATTTTATTATTATTTGTTTAATTGCCCATCTTCCTAATGAAACATAAGTAATCTGAGGGCAGGACTAGGTCTGCAGCACTCAGAGAAGACTCTAGTTCTTTGGGTAGAGCATTAATAAACACGTAGGGAATGAACCAACAAATAGAGCAGACCCATCAGTCTGACTCCTGAGTCCTTGCTCTTAAGCATGATGCTATACTTCCTCCTTGGCTGAGCTCCAGCCAGCAAGGAGGCTGATGTTCTTGGTTAGAAAAGCATCTAACCAAGATGCAACATGTCCATACAGGCAACATGTCCTTGGTTTAAAAAGCATCACCACTTCATTTTTAAGTTGGATGAGAAAAATTTAGATTTGTGGTTCAAAAGAAGTATGCTAAGGATAAAAATCAACTGGTATACCATATCAAGAAAACCAGACTGGTAAGGAAAGATTTAAATAAGTAGTTTATTTTTAAAATAAAGGTATTTAAGTCAATACATCTGAATTGTATTGCTCCAAGATTTTTGAATCCATGGAGTCTTAGAACTAAAAGTTCTTTAATAACAGCTGGCTCATTGCTCCATATTTTACAGGTGAGTATGCAGGGACCAGCAAAATACATGATTGGCTCACATTCACCAACCAATAACAATGGAGCAGGCTGAAAGTATGGATAGTTTTGAGCAGAGTTGAGAGAAAAATACTGATGATAGCTCTATGAAGAGAAACTGAAGGAAACTAAGATCGAGGGCTATACTTTTGTGCTTCAGAATTCAAGGCAAATATACCCTCCTATAAAATACTAGGTAATACCACAGTCAACGGAATAAAGATTAGCTGAAATGGAACATTGTCATGATAATATTCCTTAGGGTCAGTGACCCACGATCTGCATAATAGAGTAACACTTACTTTAGAATTGCAGGTGCTGTTATTCAGCACAAAAGACATGCATTAAATATATTTAGTGATTCTAAAAGATGATATATAAATTCAAGGTATTAATAGCATTATTTTCATCGATTTATTGGTTTCATATTTTCTGAATGTTCTTAACTCAGGATAATTATGAGTTTTAACTAAGTACAATTGTAGTCAACATCTTTGCATAATAGATATTCAGATACACTTATCTAAAATAAAACTAGAATATTATGTATTCCAGTTCAATTAAATATAACAATTTTTTGAACATTCAATAAGTGCCAAGAATTGTCAAAATGCTTGGGATACTAGAATAATTAAGATGTGGCTTCTGTTTCAAGATTTAAGTCTAGCAGGGACCAAGACTTGTCAATATAGTTTTCAGTATGATAAGTAAAAGACATACATTCTCCAAAAGATTATACCGAAAGTAAAACAAATTGCTGTTAAAATTCTCACCTCAGAGCAACTATTCTATTCTATGAATACACCATCTTTTTCTTAAAATATTTTGTTTCGTATAACAACCCCCATGCGAAAACTATCAGTAAAAATAGCAAATTGTTTTTAATACCCACTATTCAATGTATTGGTGGAAAAGGGAGAGATAGAAACCTACCTTGGAAAGATCAAAAGAAATGGGCAGACCAGTGCTGAGTCAAGACTTTATACACTCTTGTCAAGGTCAAGGATGACAGCTTCAGTCAACTTTGCCATTGTTTCTAAATTTGTCTACTGGTTTTTAAGAAGTTGAACCCTTGGATCTGGATTTGGCACCCCAAATGTCTCTGAGGCAAGGGTATGAGATGTCAGAAAACGATCCCATTTCTATAACCAAAATCCGCAGACTAATTTAACTCATTCCTCAAATGCTTGCTACATAATAGGATTAGACAATATTAAAAGAGAAGCAGCAACACCGTCTCTGGTGGCATCAATTTTGGAGTCTTGGGCTCTAGTGCTATCTCTCCAGTGATTTGGAGCAATTAAGTTAAGGGTCTCAACATTTTCCATATCTCCAAGAAAATAGTTAATCATAGATATCTACTATTTATTTAGGCTATTCTGAGAATACTAAGAAAGAATATTTATTAAGGGTGGATTATATTCCAAGTGATTGTTCCAATCAATTTGCATATGTGAGTTAATATAATCCTCATAACAACCTTGTAAGATAGGGTTTATTATTCCCATTTTACAGATGTGGAAACAAAGGCAGAGGTGATAAGCTAGTCATTTTGGGAGAAAAGATTTGAGCCTAGATGTTGAGCTTCAAAATATATTCTTGTAATAATTATAATATATAATTTTTATCTCATACATCTCATTTGGTTCTTTAATTTCTTCCCCCCTCCCAAAAGTGTAATTTTTAAAAGTGTCTTGTCTATCCAAGGAAATGTATTTCTATTTGCCTCTTTCAACATTGAGAAAATTTTCTTTTACTGAGTGTCTAGGTGAAGCAAACAGCTAATTGATTGCTACAAAAGGGGAGATTAGCCAGTCGACCCTTGACTTTGAATTACTTTCTTAGGACTTATAAGCTTTTTACAAAACCTGAAAATGTCTTTCTGGAGCAAAGGACTTTCTGAACTTTTTTAAAATGACTTTTGGGAAATGATGTTAAAAAAAAAAAAGGAAACTCTTTGAGTTATAGGAAATAGTTCATGCGATCAGTTCTCACTACTCATGGGTCAGTTCTGCATAACTATTTCCCAGACCAATTTATTAACCATTTCCCACTGAGCAATAAAAGAATAGAGAGACACCTCTCCTGAAGCCTATTACAACAGCATTGAGGGCAGAAGTAAACTAATAAGAAATGCTGAAGCAAGTACTGTATAATTATACCCAATCAATTTTTACCAAAATGAATCAATATGGCAGTCTAATTGAGATGATCTTTGTTGCTTCATACAGGAATGAGATTTAATTAGAATCTCCAGTGATTGTAAATGGGTAAACTGAAGTCACCAGTAACCTCACAGAAATCCCAGGCAATATGAGATGAAGCAATAGATACAGCGCCCTGGCTGGCTTTTTGTTCACAGGAAATGGACATTAAAGTGCCCTACTTGGCCTTTGGGAGACTGCAAACCATTTTCAGGTGTGCTTGGGGCCTGAGTAAAAGGGTGTGGTATTGTGTCCAGACATTTGTAAAAGATTCAGTTCAGATAAAGCAGACAAAACAGTTTAACTTGCATTTCAAGGAGCTCTGAGGATTCAAGATGTTCAGTTGTGGAAGAAACTAACAAGACCGGTTTTAAGAGGGGTTTAGTTTGAAATAAATGAGAGACAGCTGTTAATAGTAATAAGCCTGTTTCCATTTTTGAAAGGTTGGGAGGGACATGCACCAATAGACTCGGAGGGCAGGTGGTGGGGAGCAATAGGAGATGTATGTGGTGAAGATGGTGGAAAGACAGAGGGGGACTGTGGTTCTATCAACAACAACAAAAAAATCCCAAGAAAGGGCATGAGGCATGATCAGGGAGATTCTGATGTGGCTTAGTGGGTATTTGGTAGTTGACAAATCTAAAGGGTAGATAGGTGTGGTGACCCTGGAGATTCAAATTTTTCCTAGGGCATTATTATAACCCCAGAAATGTGAGGCAGTGTTACTTCTTCTCTGGGTTGAACAGAGAATAAGGATCAAAACAAGGGTCTTAATGTAAAGTAAGTGGTGTATTTTAAAACAATCAAGTGAGAATAAGCTCTGTCAATAGTTGCTGTATTCAAATGATTGAATTCCATAGAATCTATGGATAATTGACTTGACGACAAAATTAAAGTAACTATGCCCACCATAGAAGCCCCTTTGAAGATTTCTTGCATGTTGACAACCACAAGTTGTTCTGCTTCACATGTAGTTGATCTAGTAGTGTAATTCACAGAACCAAAATTCAAACCTGAAATCTTACTAATTGATTAATAATTGCTAAAGAGGAAATGTTTTATAGCGTTTACTATACAGATGCTACAGAACTATTTGAGGGCGAAATAATTCATACGATGGTGTTTTGAGACACAATTTAAAACATCCGTTATTCCTTCCTGTTCCTAATCTCAATAGAAGGGTTGATATCATAAAAGATGTTAGAATGTATTAGGTGATACAGGGAGGAAAAGAGGGCATCTTCCACGCAGATTTGCTACAGATTTACAAAGGAAAGAAAAAATCCTCTCACTTCCAAGGCCCCCATCTTCTTCCTTTACCAATTTTGTTGGTGTGATTTGAGAACAAGAACATTTGCGAAAGGACTTGATGTGTGGATATAAAGTGATAGTTTCATACTTGTTACAATGTAAGATCATATGCTTCTGAGAAGGAGAATTCATTATTAAAGATGTTTGTGATATTTAAATAAGAATGAATTATAAAACAGTATTTACAGTATATTTAAGATTATATGCATAATAAAAGTTCCAAATTGGCTATCTCTGGATGGTGGGATTATGGATTCTTTTAAAAATTATTTTGCAACTCTAAATTTTCTACTCTTCTCTTTCTATAATGAAAATATCATTTTGTGCAATAAAGATTATCTTAAAATAAAATAAGGTGATGGTCAGTATTTCTGGGTATAAATTAGGGTCAGAATTAGATATATATCATACTGAAACATTACAGTATACCCTGTAAATATATGCAATTATTATTTGTCGAATAAAAATAAAATTGAACTTCCAAAAACATTAAAGAATTATGTAAATGTTTTTGTATACATACATATATAATACACTCCTGTACATATATAAATAACATATAATTAATTTTACATATCAAGAAGTTAAACATGTGATAAAGCTTGGGGTTTTTTTGCTTGCCTTTGTCCTCTTGCTACAGCCCATATTAGATCTTGGATTCTCTTACCCTTCTACTCACATTATCCTTCTTGCTTTTATTCACCCCACACATAATCCAGATTAACAATTTAGGATGTATTCTTCAATATTTTTCTCCGTGCTTATGTGTTCAGGTAAACAAATATACAGACATATCACATATTGTTGTAGGTCATTTAACAAAATAAGATCAATTATATACAGGCCTCTATGTCCTAATTCTTCTCACTCAATAATACCTCATTGAAAATCTGCCAAATCAACTGCTACAACTCAAATGCATTATTTTAATGATTCTATGATATTTCACATCATACCATATGTATCATAATTTATTCAACAATTCCCCTATTGACATTTCCAGAGGTTTTTTGCCGTTATAAAAAAATGTAATCAGCATCCTTGTACGTGTGTCATTACTCATGATTTTATTTATTTGAGAAAGTGTCCTAGGAGTGGGAATGTTAAGTCAAAGAAAATACACATTTAAAATTCTAATAGATATTGCCAGATTGTTTTCCAAAAAGGCAGTAACAATTAACAATTTCACCAGTCATATATGAAAGTACTTTTTCCTGCATTACTGACAGTAATAGGCCTTTTCATTCTTTATAACTTTTTGACAATCCAATAGGTATAATGTAATATTTCATTGTTAGTTTAATTTCATTTCTCTGTTAAAGAATTTGAACATCTTTTCGAATACTCATTTGGATTAGTTCTTGTCTGAATTGTTTGTTCTGTCTACTTTTTATTTCGTTTATCTTGTCTACTTTTCTATGGGGGTATTTACTTGTTCTTTTCAATTTGCAATTGTTCTTTGTACATTTTGTGTGCTAATCCTATGTCTTTTATTATTAATTTAATTTACCAAATCTATTATTTTTCTTTTGAATTCACTTATGGTAACTTTTGTCATATTTTTTACAGTTAAATATGCCTATCTTTTCTTTTTATAACTTAACATTTTTTTTGGTCCAGCTTTGGAGGATTATAAACAGTTATATTTAGTCAGTATTTCTTGGTAGTCCTGGTATTAGTTGCCAAGGGTAACAAAAACAATAACAAAATTGCCCTTTGCAAGTAGCGTAGTTAGAAACAGAAAAACCTCAAAATAACAATGACTTAAATACGGCAGAAGTTTATTTCTCTCATGAAGTCTGGAAGGAGTTAATCCAGGGCTCCTATGTATACCCCAGTGTGAGGGATCAGGTTTCTTCTGTCTTGATCTACTGTTCATGGCTTTCATTCCCCAGGTCAAGGCATGATTCAATATTCTGCTAGAGACCCAGCCATTTTGTTCATTTACACTTGGGAAGAAACAAGAAGAAGAAAAGAAGAGCCATGTCCTTTAAAGATTCTTCCCAGAAATTGTCTGCCCTTTTCCATTCACATCACATTATCAAGAACTTAATTACATAGTTACACCTAGTTGCAAAGGATGCTTATGTTTTCCTGGCCACTACTATAGAAAGTCTATTACATTGTCCTAATTTCAGCTAAAGATTGGGGGTTCCAATCTTTAGAAGATGGGGAAAATGGATATTGGTCACTGCAATTACTTCAAAATAGTAATTAGCTGACATATTTTAAAACTAACGATTTGGGGTAAAATGATTTTGTGAAGATGTTATACTACTCTAAATAAAACAGATAGATAAATAATGATGAATAAATGAATGAACTCACTTTTAATATTTTTCTAGAGCTCCTTTATTTATTTTAACCTCTCTTTTCCAACACAATCACTCTCCAGTAATAATCTTCTGTAGCTACATGGGTACAGATGTTTTAGCAGATAATGCCTACTTATTTGGAAATTTTCTGTCAGCCAGAATGACCCAGCACATTGCATTGCTCAGTTTCATTAATTGTTTATCTCACACATCTGATGCTTTTAGCAATCTAGAAACTTCCCTCGTGAACCTGGTAAAATGATAAATGAAAGAATCAATTGGGCCAAAAACACTTTCCAGCTAGAAGGATTAATGCTACTGGGTGTTTTTTAACGAGTGGCTGTATTCAAATGAGTAACTTCTGTTTAGATACTCTCATGTCTACCCTATTTTTAATAAGATTACACATTGAAAAAAATGTAATACATTTTAACAGATAATGATGGCGGCAAAGCAGATGCCATGACTTATAATGTGGGTTGTTATCTATCTGCTGTTTGGACCCGAGCAATAAATTTCAAAATATATTTCACTGATGTCTGCTATATATTAAAAATAATGCAGACTATTTGAGCAAATCAGATCTCTAATTTTGAAATAAATCATCTGTATTATTAAACAAATGGTCTGGAATTAGAATTAAGGGCATATAGTAGGCAAACAAACATCTTTGATTTTATTCTTTGATCATGTCTAGTAGTGATATGGAAAAAAAAGAAAAGGGAAGAAATATCCTGTTCTGAGCTGCTCATCTATAATTCCAATATCTGTGAAAACTCCCAGGTCTGTCATTCAGAAGGACGACTTCTTCCCTCATGATTGAAACTGAACTCAAATGTGCCAAATGGGCCAATAAAGCTAGACTCTTATACAGTGATGCTTCGATAAACAAACTCACCATGCAGCACTTTATTAATCAATTCATGCCACCAACAAGTACATTAAAATGACAACTTATGCAAATTAGAGCTACCTAATTTTCCAGCTGTGAGGCATATATTTGCACATAGAGCTTCTATTAGTCTTCACTAAACTGAAGAAGATAAAGTTGTCAACTCTGAAATTTATTTTCCCTGTTCCCAGTTTCCCTGTTCGCTTCCTTTTTCTATTTCTGTTCTCTCACTTGTGAGGATAATGCTCTCTGATCTATTCACAGGTTTCCAGTCAGTTCAGCTCATGATCTGTTTATTGAGCCTGACACAGAATGAGCACTGGTGAATAAGGAAGGTACCTGCCCTCAGGGAGCTTGTGCTCTAGAGCAGAAGTCAGACCTGTGTTAAGACCCCTGATAGTTACTTGAAACAAGCCAATAATAATTGCATTCAGATGTTTTCCAGGGATTTTCATTTTAAAAAGTATAAATTAGAATAGATTTTAAAATATCCATCCATTAACACTTACTACTTGCCATCACTCACATGTTTTCTCCAGTGGAAGGGTCTGGCTGACACTTTCTCATAAACTGCAGCCCATCTGATCGATGTTGCAAGCCTTATTAAGCCTTGACTTTAATGAACATGAGTCTTGCATGTGGCTGAGGAAAAGGGTGAGGACTGGTGTTTTGGTTGACTTATTTCCATCAAAAAGAATTGAAAAACAGATCAAACGCAGTGAGTTAAAATTTATTTACATTTATCTGTAGCTAATCCACTTTGAAGAGCTCTCACCTATGTTCTTACATTTCAATATTCTTACTTCTAGTTGTAGAGCTCAAAAAGTTTTCTGCTTTCAGTTGTTCTTAAAATTTAGTGTGCATCAGAATTATTTAGAGGGTTTGTTAAAACGCAGATTGCCATGTGTCACTCCCAGAGTTTCTGATTCAGTAGATCTTGGATGGGGCCTGAGAAGTTGCATTTGAACAAGCTCCCTGTTGATGCTACTTGTCTGGGGGATCTCACTTTGAGAACTACTGTGCTAGACTAGAGGAATTTTCCACCACAGTAAGCAAGCAGGAGGATTCTGTTTAGCCACCAGGGATTAGTGAATTCTCATCAGATCTGCCTACCCAGCCAGCCCTACAAAACAGCCTCAATTAACCTTTCTCTGGTGACCCAGACAGACACTGGCATTCCACAGCCCTTCTCCATAGTCCAGGAGAGGCAAATCTTGCTCCTCCCATGCACTTTTCAGGTCTGCCTAAAAACATCCTTCACCACCTCTCATTGTAAAGGACTCTCAGCTATAGACAGTTACATGTTTTATGAGACAATTTATGTTATTCTAATAGAGTTTAATTATTTTTTTAAAAAAATCATCTCCTATCTTACCCCTAAGAAGTTATTTGCAATGCATTTCCATAACTCCTATTTTGTGTTGACCATGTCTCTGAATTTCTCAGTATCTACACTAGTCAGATCAATTTTAGGTTTGAAAAATATGTCACCATAGAAAAAATCTTATGGCTTATCAAGGAGCTTAGAGGTTAAGAGTGGGCTCTGAAGTCAGGCTGCCTGAGTGTGAATCATAACTCTGTTCTTGTCTAACTAGGTGATGCTGAGCAATTCTTTATTCTCTCTGGGCTATAGTTTTCTCATCTATAATATGCCTTCATCTTAATCTGTTTTGTGCTGCTATAGCAAAACCCCAGACTGAATAATTTATAAAAACAGAAATTTATTTCTTACAGTTTTGGAAACTGGGAAGTTCAAGGTTGAGGAGTCTGTATCTGGTGAGGGACTTCTTGCATAATTATCCCTTGGTAGGGGACTGAGAAAAAGGTGGATGGGGAACTCAACTTTTTGTAAGAACCCACTTCCTTATAACAGTATTAATCCGTTAATGAGGGTGAAGCCCTCATGACCTAATCGCCTCTTAATACTGTAACAATGGCAATTAAATTTCAACATGAGTTTTGAAGGGGATGCATATTCAAACCATACCAGTCTACCTCATAAGGTTTTCATTTTAAATACAATAATATCTGTAAAATATTCAAAAAAGCACCCAGAACAGGTTATTTAATAAATAGAAAAAAATAATTATTGCAAAATTACTGTGATTATATTGGGGGCATATATAAGTAGAATTTGATTCAGTTTCTTAATAATAAAGAATGGCCATATCATTGGAAGACTAATAGGCAGCATAAGGTATGATGGATTTCTTTGAATCTTAAACTTCTTGCAATAGTCTTCTTGGTAAAACAGTTGAGATTACAGACACACTAAAATCTGGATGATGGTTGGGTTTTTCTGCACTCTGCCATGGGTTTTAAATAGTTTGATA
Organism: Homo sapiens; assembly: GCF_000001405.40. Taxonomy (NCBI): domain Eukaryota; kingdom Metazoa; phylum Chordata; class Mammalia; order Primates; family Hominidae; genus Homo; species Homo sapiens. The sequence goes on from NC_000003.12 coordinate 108,528,517, forward strand.
AGGAATTTTGTCTTTAAAAGCCATGACCTAATTTAGGTGTATGAACATGTATCTCAATTCAATCCAAAAGCAGTAAACTCCCACTGAGTGTGCAGAAAGATGATCTAAGTTCTTGTGTTTACACAGAACTCTATGTGCTGGGTACTATTATTGTCTTCTATTTGTAGATAAGGAATTGAGGCTTGGAAAAGAGAGACGACTACACAAGGTCACAGTGCTAATTAATACTCAGCAGAACCAGTACTCCAACTCATACAGTCTGACACTATAGACCATGCTCTTAACTATTCTGACTTTTTGCCTTGGGGTTGGTCCCAGAGAAAACTACTCTCAGTAAATAATTAGAATTCAGGCAACTCTGGTATCAGCAAAAATAGAGAAGGTGACACGTCATACTCCATCCCACTAAGTACAGAGAGGAAATTCAGTGGAAAATTTCAGCACCATGACCCTTGGTGTCTGAGAAAAGGGAAGTGAGAAGTTGTGTGTTGGGGACTGGACACAAGAGCACACAGAATGAAATCACATGAAGTGTTTTACCATCTGGATTTTTAAAAAGCAGACCGGCTACATTTATGTCATATAATGATCACTCAGAAATTACATCATAGCCTATTTTTATACTATCATGTAGTAATTGGTGTGCTGCTGATTAAGACCATCAAGAATAAAATTCTAGGCTGCTACTGTCAGGCTATTCAGCATTCTGTTAGACAAATTAAAACATATGTTGGGAGTCCACTCACCATGATCTTTTTGGTAAGATGAGGTAAATACAATTAAAATGATCATATGAAGTAGAAATGACCTAAATTGAGGATCCGATGAGAGAATGATAGCCAGGAAGGCAACATTATGTTGACAGCATGGGAAATCTGTGAATAAAGAGGTGGAAACATACAAGATATATTTAGTCATTGTGCTTGGGACAGGGAAATAATTTCAAAATTCAGACTGAGAGCACATTGTGGAAGGCTTTGGCTATCTCGCTAAGGAGTTTAGATTTTATTCTATATTTCAAAACATTCTTTTAAGGCAAAACACATTTTTTCAAACAATCTCCAACATAGGTCTCTTGACTGAGACATTTTCTTCCAACAAGGTGGGGAAACAGGGAAAAGATTTAGCCCCCTACCTAAAACAACTTAAGAAAAAAGCACAGAACATATGATACAATGGGTTTAAATAATTGATTAATAAACACAAAGGACACTGATCCCTGAAAGAGGGGAGCAAACAAGGTGAGCTCCATGACTGCCTCAGCTTGAAGAGTTTCCAAGACATAACACAGGGAGTTTTCAGACCATGACCAGCAACCTCTTTGAGTTAAGGAGATGAAGCTAGCAGTCTGTAGTGGCTGAGATGGCTAGAGTTTATAGAGCAGAGTACTGGATAGGAGAGAGCTGCTCAGAGAGAGCTCTGGGGAACTGCAGAGGATCCTTATCAAGTCATCAGTAGTGTAGTGATCTGTGCATGTGTATGAGGAAAGGACCACCCAAATAAATTAGAAGAAAAGTCCTTGGAGCCCTTTAGAAATAGTTTTTGTTCCTGCAAGCCAGAGTGGAAAACTTCATACTTCATGGGGAATCAGGAAGTGTATTCACAAGGGTTTCATGTCAATAGTGGAGATTAGCCGTAAACTAAACACTGCTCTTGTCCTTTCTAGCAAAACTTAAAAATCCAAATGGAAAGAATCAGTTTCTAAGTAACTTAACTGCAACTCAAAACAAAGCTCAAAGATATCTATAGGAATACAAATATATCTACCACCTAACAAGCTAGAATTCACAATGTCTGGCATCTAATTAAAAATTACCAGGCAGAAAAGGCTATACACTGTTTGACAATTGTATGACATTCTTGAAAAGGCAAAACATGGAGACAGTGAAAATATCAGTGATTTCCAGGGAGTTGTGAAGAGGGAGAGATAAATAGGTGGAGCATAGGGGATTTTTTAGGGCAGTGAAACTTTTCTGAGTGACACTATAGTGGTGAATATATTTGTCCAGACCCATAGGATGTACAATACCAAGAGTGAACCCTAATGTGAATTATGGACTTTGAGTAATAATAATGTGTCAACGTAGGTTCATCAATTATAAGATGTGTACTCTGGTGGGGATGTTGATAATGGGTGAGGCTATGCATGTGTAGGGACAGGGGATATATGGAAAATCTCTGTATTTTCCTCTCAATTTTGCTGTGAACCTAAAACTGCTCTAAAAATACTTAAAAATTACCACACATTCAAAGAAGCAGAAAAATACAGCTTAAATGAGAAGAAAAGTCCAATCAAAATGGACCTAGAAATGATATAGATGATGGAATGAGTAGATAAAAACATTACAATAGTTATTATAACTGTATTTAATATATTCAAGAAACCATAGGAAATATTGAATACAATAAGTAGAGCATGGAATAGCTGTTCTGGTTCAAGAAGTGTTGACTTCAAGATGAGCGCTATCATGGGGTTCAGTGAAGCACAATTTGAGAATTATTGCTGTAAGTTATTGGAAACTATTGAAGGCTTTTCAGCAAAATTTGGCTTAAAACTAGTGGTATTTTACAAAGACTGAATGGGTAGCAGGATGCAGGACAGAACTCATGAATGAGGGAGAATGAGACCAAAGATTTCAGGCAGGTGGTAACCATAATACAACAGAGAAATGAGAAACCTAAAACCAGTGGGAATACAAAGAAAGATATTATTATTTTTAAAATTAATGTGTATGATAACATGACAGATCCCAGAGAAGCCGGTGGGACCCCAGGGAGAGTTCTCTTTCCTTTGAGAAGGGCAGGGTGTGCTTGAATGGCTTCATTCCAAGAGAGTGGCCTGTGCGTTGTAAAGTGTCATGGTTCCTGCAGCATCTGGTGAGTTCTCACGGGCACTTGAAACTCTGGGGGAGAGGGTGTAAATCGCCTGCTGGGCCATACCCATATTTGCAGCAGGTCTCCAAGGTCAATGGCCTCTGATATGCTGGAATAACATAGGTAAGAGAGAATATTTCTAAAATATTATAAAAGTAAAGGCAGATCACGAGGTCAGGAGATACAGACCATCCTAGCTAACATGGTGAAACCCTGTCTCTACTAAAAAATACAAAAAAATTAGCCAGGCCTGGTGGGCACCCATAGTCCCAGCTACTTGGGAGGCTGAGGCAGAAGAATGGTGTGAACCCGGGAGGCAGAGCTTGCAGTGAGACGAGATCGCACCACTGCACTCCAGCCTGGGCGACAGAGCGAGACCCCATCTCTAAATAAATAAATAAATAAATAAATAAATACATAAATAAAATAAAAATAAATACTTTATTACTAAGAACACCTATTAGCAACAGGTCTTGCCATTTGAAAAATTAAAACTTGACACTTAGAGAGGTTACGTAATTATCCCAAGGGCACAATATTACAGTAGAAACTGAAAGAGGTAAAAACTGAAAAACAACTGTCAGATTTGTAGGAGAGGTCCACTCTCATCTTAGAATAAGTAATTTTTAGGGAAGCACTGGAAGGGAGGGAAGCATGGGGAGAAAGTAGTTGAGCTTTTCTCAAGAAAGAGAAAAAAGAGAGATCAAAATTAAAATAGAACATTTTCCCTATATAAAGATCCTAAATGTTGTCATCTGTGACAGTTAAATTTTTGTCTTGACTTGAGTGGGCCACAGGATGCTCAAATATTTGGTCAAACATTATTCTCGGTGTGTCTGTGAGGGTGTTTCTGGACGAGATTAACATTCAAATTGGTAAACTGAGCAAAGCAGATTGGTCTCACTAATATGGGTAGACCTTATCCAATCAAAAAATCTGAATAGGACAAAAAGGCTGACCTCCTGAGAATAAGAAGGAACTCCTCCTGTTTGACTCCTTAGAGCTGGGACATCAGTCTTTTCTGGTCTTTGGACTCTGACTAAAACATTGTCTCTTCTTGAGTCTCTATTCTTCCAGCTTTCAAACTGGAACTTACACTGTCAGATCTACTGGTTCTCACACTGAAACTACACATTGGCTCTCTTGTATTTCCATCTTGCTGACTGAAGATATTGGGACTTCTCAGCCTTCATAATCATGTAAGCCAATTTCTTATGAGAAATCTCTCACTCTTGCTCTCTCTGTACACACATACAACACACCCTATTGGTTCTGTTTCTCTGCAGAACCTTGACTAATATGTCATCTTAGAAGGACTTTCCTACTATTGATTTAGGAAGTACTGTAGTTCTTTAAGATACGATCAAGGGTATGGAACCCTTGTTGTTTAAGAGAAGGCAGTAAAATTAAAGGTCAGAGGTGTACCAGGGAATAACATCAAGGCCATGCCTATCTGGATGATGAACTCATCAAGAATAAGTATACTGCCAAACCAATGTATTGGCTACTGAGCGTGTAGTTCCACTTTACCAATGTTTCAACAACTGGTAACTAATGTATTCAGGGTTGAAACATGATGACAGTGATTATGATGATAGAATTAAATAAGGTTTTCTATGGGCCAGGGTCCTTATTTATGAGATAAATTTGTTGTTCCTAGTCTCAAATTACGTCTTTTGTGACTGTACTTTCATTTGATTCAGATATATTTTTAAAAACAATAAAAGCTTTTTTTTTTTTTTTTTTTCATGAGTATTGAGCAGGAGGTTAGGCAAAATGGGCGAGACCAAGTTTGCTCTGAAGAGCAACCTGTCCTTGAGAAGGTCCCAACAGAATGCAGTAGAAAGAAGTTCAGGCAGAAGTGCATGCCAGAATTTCAGGGAGGTCTGGCACAAAGGCGGGGCAATAAAAACACTAAATTAATGCCCAGAAGACCTGATCTCCCCTAATTATCAATTATTTACTAGCTCTAGGATCCTGGGCAGTTTACTTAATCCTTCTGAGTCTTAGATTTTCTGTAATTAAATTATTGAATTAAATTAAAATGTGACCACCATGCTCACCTGATAATTTTTGATGATCAAATAAGAGAATGTATAAAAAGATTAAGGTGGTTTGTTAAAGGTAAAGTCCTATACAAATATTGGTTATGATGATCAACCAGGGAGAGATACACTGGAATCTCCAATGGGCAAGCAAAAGGTTTCAAAGTATAGGGTAAGGTGCCAGACTGTGAGGAGGGAGTTGGGACTATATTTCGTGAAAGACTTGGGGACTGCATAAGACCTTAATCATGGAGGAATTGGGGTTCTGTAAAGGAAACCAGAATACATGTCATAGGTCAGGAATCCATTTATTAGGACTTGGTTTTAATTTAGGATTTGATTAAAAGACGAAAGCCTAGGTAATGGAATCTGGACATACAACTACAACTGGCTAGTCAGCAAGTTCAACAAGGTGAAACTGCTACCCTGCCTTCCCCTGCAGGGGGTTTAAATACCTCCAGATAAAAGCTAGGACTGACCTGAGAATATTGAGTGAGGCTGAATCTATAGATGAAGGGAAACAATGTATAACCAAGTAGATCTTTACCATAAGCATTTTTTAAAAAATACTCTTAAAACGATTGACTTATACATTTGAAGAGCTTTTTTGAAAGATTCCTGCTTTCCATTCATGGGTCACTACCAGGCATTTCTTGTCATTAATCTAAGGAGTCCTGTGAAATACATGAGCCTTCTCCAGCTGCTGCACAAATGATTGCACTGCTCAGAAACAGAATTCTAATGAGATGCCTAGGTTTTATAGAAAGCTGAATGATAGTAATCACTAAGGCTCACATCAGAAAACTCCAATTGCATATTATAATAAAACCCAATGTCAGCCATATTATTTATCTTGAAAATAGAAAATTAGACCAGCCTATTTGATAGTATATTTTCTTCTAATATTTTTATCCCTAGAAGGATGTCTCACGAATGCTCTATCAAACCAATGACATTTAAAGCTAAATTAAAACTATTTGGTCTTTCATAAGTCGAAAAAGTGAAGTATTCAATTATCATTCAGCCAGAAACTGGTTTAATTTTGTCTCAACTTTTTATCATAAAGTAATATGGTAAAAATAGTCTCATAATTGTCTTCTTTACAAGTTGTTTCTGAAGCTTAAGAAAAATGATACAAGAAATCATTAGGTCAGATTCAGTGGTTTATGCCTGTAATCTCAGCACTTTCGGAGATCAAGGCAGGAGGAGCACTTGAGGCCAGGAGTTCAAGACCAGTCTGGGTAACATAGTGGGATCACATCTCTAAAAAAAAAAAAAAAATTTTTTTTTTTTAGATTAGCTGGGCGTGGTGGGATGCACCTGTAGTCCCAGCTACTTGCAAGGCTGAGGCAGGAGGATCACTTGAGCCCAGGAGGTTGAGGCTGCAGTGAGCCATGATCAAACCATTGCACTCTAGCCAGGGTGAGAGTGAAACATTGTCTCTTAAAAAAATCATTAAACCAAGATGAAAATAAAACTTCACTGTTTCTTTCTGAGAAGGTAACTTTTGATGATGTGCTTGGTATTTCAGTTCTTCTGTATTCCCACCTGGTGGAAATTTAACATAACACACAGCTCCTCACAACATCCAACACCAACTGGGGTCTATTATCTCAAAATAGGTGTGGAAGACAATGCAGCATTGGTATTGTAGGACAGCAAATTTCAAAACATGGTTCCCAGATCAGTGCCATTAACATTGCCTGGGAACTTGTTAGAAATGCAAATTCTTGAGCTGTCCCAGACCTACTAAATTAGAAACTCTGAGTATGGGTGTCTTAGTTCCATCTGGGCTGCTATAGTAAAATACCATGAACTGGGTGGCTCACAAACAGCAGAAATTTATTTCTCACAGCTTTGGATGCTGAGAAGTCAAAGATCAAGGCATCAGCAGATTTGGTGTCTGATGAGGGCTTTCTTTCTGCTGCATAGATGGCATTTTCTCACTGTGTCCTCATGTGGTGGGGGGGCATAGGTCTCTCTTGAGCCTCTTTTGTAAGGGCACTAATCCCATTTATGAGGGCTCCACTCTCATGACCTAGTTACCTCCCAAAGGCCCCACATCCAAATATCATCATATTGGGAGTTAGGATTCAACATATGAATCTTATGGGAATGCAAACATTCAGTCTATAGCAGTGTGTCTGGTGGGTCCCAGTAATCTGTAGTTTAACAAGACCTCCAAGATTTTAATATACACCCAAATTTGAGAACCACTAAGGAGATTCTAACAATGTGAGAGCCTAGTAAAAGCTATAGAGTGTTTTTTGGGGGGTTTTGTACACTAAGGTAAGTGTATTAAGAAATAATATTAACTGTTTCGACTTATTATTTGATCTTCTTATAGTTAATAAAACAGGCCACCCCCCAAAAGACAAAACAAACAAAAACCACACACACATCCAACTCTGGCATGAGTATTCGCTAAACAAGATGTCCCCTAACTTGCAACTCAGAATAGTTGGTAAGGGTTATTTATATGCATATTGACATTCTCTTTGTTGTTTTTGTTGCTGAACAAATTGCATTAGAAAAACAGTTGCATGTTTAGGCAGGGCGAGGTGGCTCATGTCTGTAATCCCAGCACTTTGGGAGGCCGAGGTGGGCGGATCTTCTGAGGTCAGAAGTTCGAGACCAACCTGGCCAACATGGAAAAACCCCATTTCTAAAAATGCAAAAACTAGCCGGGGGTGGTGGCACATGCCTGTCATCCCAGCTATTTGTGAGGCTGAGGCAGAAGAATCACTTGAACCTGGGAGGCGGAGGTTGCAGCCAGCCAAGATTGTGCTACTGAACTCCATCCTAGGTGACAGAGTGAGACTTTACCTCAAAAAAACAAAACAAAACAAAACAAAACAATTGCATGTTTAAGACAGAAAGGAGGAGGAAAAGGGGGTTGATGACATTTGTATCTATTTTCTTTTATTAGAAAAACAGTTGTTCAAGAACATCACTCCACTCAGCAGATTTCTACAGCTCATTGGCCAAAACCATGTCTTGGGACAATGCCTAGCATCAAGGGATGTTGGAAAAGCAAATGCAGAATCTTATTTCTCACACTGTAAAGTTTATAGTTCTTTAAGAAAGAACTCATACAGGTAAGGAGGGGAGAAAGGTGCTAACATTGATAATGGGTCAATCTATAGAATTACAAATAGGGGATGCCACTCAGGGTTCTACCAAGGGGGAATGGCCCAGGTGGCCATAATGAAAGTAAGTATACAAGCAGCATCTTTGAGCTTCAGTGACAAAAGAGTAAGTGGGGTATGTCAAATAGAATCTAAGCCCCCAAGTTTCCAATAAGGGGCCTTCCCATACACCTTCAAAGAACTATATTAGAATGTACACTTACGGGATACCTCAGCATTTATCACTTGCCCCTCCTGGAAGTAATAACTTATTGGCCTGGCAAAACTTGGGAGACTCTCCTATCAAAGAACACAGCATCCTGGTGACAAGGTTACTGTTTGAAAACAGATAGTGCAGATCTCTCTTTTGAAGCTATTTCTAAGTGAAACATATTCTCCTTCCTCAGCTACTTCTCCCACGTGGCAAATACACTGGATAGTTCTCTTCAGAGTAGGAATGTATTTAGTGCTCTCTCCCTGCAATTGGATGGGGAAATTCAAATTGAGTCAGGAGAGAGGCAGGCTTGCCAATTTGAGAAATCCACCCTTTCTATTATAAAGCTAAATCTATATTTTGACTACTTTTGTTTTTAATTGATTATAACTTACAGAGATGGGAGCAGGTATGATCATTCCTCTAAATCTCTAACAAAGAAAGAGTAAAGTCATAGGGAGGCCTGTACAACCAAAACAGCCACACACTCTCCTGAGAGGACACACAGTCCCATATATCACCTCATTCATGGGTGATGTCTATTCCTCTTTAGGCTCAATCATTCTACCCCTCAGAAATCTTGTGTTATGGTCTAAATATGTCCCCAAAAATTCATATGCTGAAATTTAATTGCCAATGTATTAATAATAGTATTAAGAGGGAGGGCCTTCAGGGTGATGATTAAGACATGAGAGCAAAGTCCTCACAAATGGGATACATGAAATATTTTACCCATATAAAAGAGGCTAGAGGGAACTAGCTAGATCTTTTGCCCTTCCACTTTCTGCCACGTGAGGACACAGCAACAAGGCAGCATCTTAGAAGAGAGCAGCCCTCATCAGACACTGAACCTGTTGGCACTTTGATCATGGACTTCCCAGATTCCAGAACATAGTTTACAAATTACCTCGTCTGTTTTGCTGTAGTAGCACACGTGGACTAAGATATTCTGTAACCTAAATACTGGGCTACAAAGTTAACCACTATTAATATAGCTTACCTTAGACAGCAGATAAATGGGAGACGGGGAAAAACAAAGAAAAATAATTAAAATGGGAAGAAAATAATACATAGCCCACTTCAAGGTTGGGATAAAATATGCATAATTACTACAGTCTTGTTTCTCAAAGTGGGCATGTGATCATCGCTGATATTTCTGTCTCCTTGCACTATTCATTCTGTCCCTTTCCCCTTGGCAAACACTTCAGTTGGTCAGTTTGTTCCTTGTGGGATGATCCAAACTGTCATTTCTGAAAGGCCTGGGTCCATTAGCAGTTAATGTGGTTTTCCACTGATTTTTATCCCAGATCTAGGAATACTAAGAGGTGCTCCAGATGTTCTCCTGTGTTTCGGGCATTCTTCTTACTGCTTCCGTTGTGTATTGTGTGGGATCATTCATCCTAGCTAGTTGACAAACTCCTCCTTTCCTGATGGCTTAATATCAGAAGCTCCAAGTTGTTAGATGCCAGACTGAGCTTCCAGTTTAAGGAAATCTTTATTGTATCTCTTGGCAAAAGAATTTCCTACTTGGGTAACCGGAAACTCTAATCCAGCAGAACCTAACGTCAAGAACAGGAAGCTGAAATCCTGCCTGATCAATGAGACTAGAGGAGCTCATCCTCCTTGCAGATAAAGCATTTGATAAATATTTTAAATTCTTTCAAACTAAGAAGTAAACCTCTTTAATTTCATAAGGCATTTCTAGGAAAAACTTGCATCAATTATACTTAATTGTGAAATGTTAACAGCATACACTTCAAGATTGGGAAGAAGATAAAAAATGTCTATTCAAAGCAAAATTTTATTGCAGGTCCTAGCTGCTGTAATGAAGTGACAGAGAGAAATGAAAGTCATAGAAATTTGAAATAAAGAAATAAAACTATCACTGTTTTGTGGACAATGAGATGTGTATATAAAAGTTCCCTTTAATTTCATAATTTATGAGATTGAGTTTATCAAGTTGGCTGGTTGAGGTGTCTTAGTCTGTTTTGTGTTGCTATAACAGAATACCAGGGACTGGGTAATTTATAAAGAAAAGACATTTCTTACAGTTCTAGAGACTAGGAAATCCAAGGTCAAGGAAACCACATCCCGTGAGGGTCTTCTTGCTGCACATCACCCCATGGCAGAGAGTGGAAGGGCAATGGAAGGTGAGAGAAAGAAGGCAAGAGGGAACTGTTCTCACTTTTGTTAACAAGCCCACTCTTGCAATACTTGCAAGCCCACTTTCTTGGTAACACTAATCCATTCATGAAGGCAGAGCCCTTATGTCCTAGTTACTTTTTATTAGGCCCCACCTCCCAACACTGTTGCATTGTGTAGTAAGTTTCCTACACATGAACTTTGGGGAAACATTCAAACCATAACACAAAGTTAATATACAAAAGTCAACTGTGTTTCAATTTAATAAATTTAGAAAATAAAAATTTAAAACAGCTCTCATATTATTGAGTGAAAGACACAAATACATACTAATGAGTCCATATATATAAAGCTCAAAAGCAGGTGAAACAATACCGCCGTGTTAACACTACCGTACTTAAGTTTGAGGAGGAGGGAATGATAGAGGTTTAGCAGGGACATGAGGTGGACTTTTGACTTGGGTAGCTGTTCAATGTTATATATATGGGAAAACATGTGTTGTGCACTTTTCTACATGTGTATATTCTTCACAATATTTTAAATAAATAAAGCAAGCAACTATGTATTAGCAGATAGAAAAATGATAAAGTAATAGATCTAATACCTGGTTATTTAAAATAAATAAATAGATAAACTTCTGGCTGATTTAAAGCAGAATAAAAAGTGAAAAAGTCAATTACATAAAATAGGAAAATATAATTTACGGGTAACTAAAGAACCAAGGACAGTAAAAGCTTATCAGTATACTTATTTGTTCAAATATATGCAAAACAAATACCTGGAATTAAATAAAATTCTAAAAATATAAATGAACACAATTTAGAGTAGAGATAATATTATCTGAACAAACCAATTAGCACAGAAGAAATATAGACAGTTTCCTGGCTGTACCCTTTTCTACCCCCAGAAAGCCCATTCCTAGATTGTTTCACAGGTCAGTTCTACTAAGTCTTTAAAGAACATAAGCCTCCAACTCTGCTTACATTTTATACAGGAGCATAAAAAGTAAGTTAAATACTCTTCTTTTTAAAGCTAGAATAATACCAAGCCCTGACAAAGACTGCCCACATGAGCACACACAAAATAAAATGTATCTCACTTATATCCATGTGAAATTCCTAAATATTGCCAAACAGAACCTAAAAGCACACTAAAAAAAATCCATGATACATTCATTTCAGAAATTTAAGATTCATTCAAATCAAGAAATGTATTAATATATTTAGTTATATATTGACCAAACACTTCCACTTCTTTTCCAGGTTACATGGTAGAATTATTTGACCTCTTCTTCGGTTCTCTGTGGCCATGTGATTTGCACTGGTGAATAAAATGTTAGCTAAAGTCATGTGTATTATTTCCAAGTGGAAAGTTTAAAAGTCAGTGGCTGACCTACCATGTTCCCTTTCTCTCCACCACAGACAGCATCTCTCAAAATGCCAGATGATGGCTGCTCTATGAGCCTGGCTCTGGGAGGAAGGAAAGTATGGAATTCCACTGACATGGAGTATGAGCCAGAAATAAACCATGTTGTTTAAAGCTACTGAGATTTTAAGGTTATTAGTTACTGAAGCACAAACTAGCCTATAACGACTGATATGATACTAAAAAAAAGAGAAAAAAGTCACATTATCTTTATAGATATCGAAAAGATCTGATAAAATTCCATTTCCATTTTGGTACAATCATTCCCAGTCTTAATAAAAATTTTTAGTAAAATAGAAATAGATGAATACTTAACAAGTTAAAACACGTATATCTTAATCCAAAAGTGAGCATTGTGCTTAATGGGAAAACACTAAAATTGCTTCCATTAACACCAAGAGCAAATTCCTTTTTCATCATATTAAAAAAATGATCTGGATAAGAGAAATGTTATTTAAAACTTGGATATGAAAATGTAAATTTTTTTACAGATGACAGAACGGGTTTATTATTTATAGTAGTTTTAGTGATTCTCTTGGATTCTTCAGGTAAATTCACTATTGGTTTGGGTACAAAATATGTATATTCATATATTTTATGAATACAATGAACATATAATGAACAATGACAAAAAGCTAAAACTTAACAAGGTATAAAAACTATATTCAAATAAAGCATTATTGAGGGTCATAAAGTACTACTGAAGATCATGAACACATGAAAAGATACACTATGTTTTAGAAAAGATAATTTAACATCATAGAGATGTCAATTCTTCCTAATCTAAAAACCTATAAACCTAACATTATTCAAACAAGTGTCAACACTATTTTTTAACTAGACAAGATGAGTCTAAAATAAATAATATAGAAAAATAAATGAGCAAGTGTACAGGAAAATTCTCAAATAAATATGAGAGATTGCTCCTATAAAATACTAAAACATTATCAAGTCACAATAATAAAAATGATGAAAAAATTACAAATAAAAAATTCTTCACAGAAAAGCTAAACCATAAACAAAGTCAAATGACAGCTAATTGAAAAAAAATTTGCAATTTTTATCAAGGACAAGTGAAAAATGTACTTACTAAAGATCATCAGGAACCCAGTTAAAAAAAAAAGATGAATAAAAAAAAGATGAATAACCCACAGGAGAAATTGGAAAGGGATTAAACACTTTACAGAAAAGGAAACAAATAGTTTTTACATATATGGTAGCCATGAAAAAGTTTGTTAACACCATAATGGTTGAAAAACTTGGATTACAATGGAATGAGGATGTGGGGAAACAAATATCGCTAGTGGGTTATTTGTAAATGTACATACACTTCAACTAAGTAATATTTTGAATGACATCTGTATAATAACTGCAATGTCTTCATTATAGCCAAAGATGAAAAAACAATGTGTTCATTAATATGACTTAAACTATATTGATCAATGAAATATTATGAAACTGTCAAAAATGATCAAGAAGCCCTATACGTATTGATATCATGAAATGATTTCCTAAATATCACATAGTGAAAAAGGTACAAAACAATATGTATAAAATACTTGCATTTCTGTAGCCCACCAATATATAAATATAGGTATACACATTTATGTATTGCATTATCTCTTTAAGAATACATAAGAAATCTGGTCAAAAAAATTAGTGATTCTGTGGAGGGTAACTAGATTGCTGAGAGAGGGATGAAAGGGAAATAACTGTCATGTATCATCCTTTTTCTGTATTAAAAATTAAGACTTACAAATTTTAGTAAAGTTTTAGATTTTGAGAAGATAGTTCTCACACTATCTTCACACGGAAGATAGTTCCGTGTGTCCATTGAGTCCCCTGGCACCCCTATTATTTACATCTTGGATTACTGACACATTTATTATAATTAACGAACCAGTATTAATACATTAACCATAGTCTACAGTGTAAAGTTCATTTTGTATTACACAGTTCTATATGAATTTTGACAAAATGAATGTCATGTACCCACCATTATAGTATTATACAGAATAGTTTCACTGCCCTAAAATGCTCCATTTATTTTTTGCTCCGCTCTTTCATTCTTTCAAGTGTTCTATAGTTTTGACTTTTCCAGAATGTCATATAGTTGTAATAATGTGTGCAGCCTTTTCAGACTGGCTTTTCATTTAGCAATATGCATTTAAATTTCCTCCATGTCTTCATAGCTCATTTATTTTTAGCATTGAATATTCTTTACTCCTAAAGTTCCGGATACATGTGCAGGTTTCTTACAAAGGTAAGCATGTCACATGGTGTGCTGCACAGATCAACCCATCACATTGGTATTAGGCCCAGCACCTATTAGCTATTCTTCCTGATGCTCTCTTGCCCCCCACTCCTCCCCACAACAGGCTCCAGTGTGTGTTGTTCCCCACGTGTCCATGTGTTATAATTCAGCTCCCACTTATAACTGAGAACATGCAGCGTTTGGTTTTCTATTCCCGTTAGCTTGCTGAGAATAATGGCTTCCAACTCTATCCATGTCCCTGCAAATGACATGATCTCGTTCCTTTTTTTTTTTTTTTTTGAGATGGAGTCTTGCTCTGTTGCCCAGGCTGGAGTGCAGTGGCACGATCTCAGCTCACTGTAACCTCTGCCTCACGGGCTCAAGTGATTCTCCTGCCTCAGCCTCCTGAGTAGCTGGGACTACAGGCAAACACCATCATGTCCGGCTAATTTTTGTATTTTTAGTAGAGATGAGGTTTCACCATGTTGTCCAGGATGGTCTCGATCTCCTGACCTTGTGATCCGCCCGCCTTGGCCTCCCAAAGTGCTGGGGTTACAGGCGTGAGCCACCGCACCAGGTCAATCTCATTCCTTTTTATGGCTGAATAGTATTCCATGGTGTATATGTACCACATTTTGTTTATCCAGTCTATTATTGATGAGCATTTGAGTTGATTCCATGTCTTTGCTACTGTGAATAGTGCTGCAATGAACATACATGTGCATGTATTTTTTATAACAGAATGATTTATATTCCTTTGGTATATACTAAAGAACTTCTCCTTGGTGATGACTCTGGCTTTCTCCTTGAAGACACTGATATGCACATTACTGGTCCTGTCAGCTGGGTTGCCAATTTGAGTTCAGCAGAGCTGTCTTCCTTCGTGGGGTCCAAGGGCTTCCTGGGGAAGCGGATGAGCTTGTAGCAGTACTCCTTCAACTGGAGTTGCTGGCATTTCAGGACTCACCCGACTTGTTCTAATGTCTCCTTGGATCCACAGATACCAAAGGTCCGGGTCACCGTGTGGATGCTGGCCACCTTAACTCTTCTAAGCTGAAGCTTCTGCTAGCTTATACTTTGGTGTGATATCTCCCTGTGGGACATCCTACTATGGGCTAGATGGGTCCAGATGCAGGATGATAGGCAATGGTGGTGTGCTTTTGCTTGCTGGGTCTTGCATCTGTGGATCTTTTGGGTCAGCTGGCTGAACCAAACTGCTACTGCCACTTCTTGTGGAAGTGAGGCATCAGGATCATGCCATTCTGGCAGGGTGCCATAGCTGCATATGGTTCTCCTCCGAAGGAGAACGGTTGGCTGGAAAGGCTCTCAACAGTTTTAAATTCCCAAGCTAGTTCACATGTCATCTAGTAATTCGACAAAATTACAATTTAAGTGTTCCTACCAGAGCTTCAGATAAGTTGATCCATACTTCAACTGTATTCTCTACAGTTTTCAGAATGATGATTTGTCCTGTGACCTCAATTCTCTGGTGGATCTAAAAGAAGCCACTGATTTTTCAGTTTGTTCAGCTTTTTTTCTTGAGAGAGTGAGAGACAAGTTCTTTGCATGTTAAAACAGAAAGTGCATGTATCTTTTAATTTTTGAATTTTGTACCACGTGCTCATATTCTATCTCTTACTCTCCTCTGGCCCCCCACTTTCCTAAATAGAGAATCACACTTACAGTTGGTAAAATTAAGGTGATACTATCGTTTGTAGAATGGGAAAGATTTAAAAGAGGCATAAAGAAATAAATTTGATTAGTATGTAATGACCACAGAACTAACCTTACAAAGAAACATAGCCTCTGAAAATATTAGCAGTATGATCATAAGTTGGGTGGATCATATCCACCCAGGCAACATGGCAAACAAAATATGCTCCTTGGATCGACCTACAACATCAATAATCCAAGTCTCTTATTCAGTAGCTCAGGGATAGCAGCAATTCAAGTCATGGCTTCAGTCAGTCTAATCTGAAGGGTATTTGCATGAAATGTCATTCAGACTAAATGGCTCAGGGTGACCTTGCTTATTGTTCTCTCAAAGTGTTTTTACACAGCCAGCTTCAAATATTTATTATTGAGTTCTCTCTCCTCTGGATTCTGTACAAATTCCCAAGATTCTTGTAACCCTTCCTTGATATTATAATTAAAGGTTTGTATTTTCATTATCTCTGTAAACACAACACATACATCTCTACTTTAAGGTAGATAACACTAAATGTCTTTGGACTTTTAAAAAAGAGCCTACTACAAAAATGGTATTTCTAAATAGAAATACTAACATAGATTAGGAAAACTTTTAAATCTGTCAAAAGAGCTGGGAACATAATGGGATCCAAGTCCTAGACATATTGTTTTACCACTAAAATTTGGCAAACTTTTCTTAACTACATCTTTTCCTCATAATCTCCTCCAGGAAATTAAAGAAGTAACAATGTACAACCTCACAATGAATTTTGTAGGTACAGTCATTAATTAGAAACTACTATGATACCTAAGGCTAATCTGAAGTATGAAAAATGCTTCTTTCAAAAAGAGATGTTAATTTACCACTGCTTATAATTGATATCTAATATAAATAAGTTAGTCTGAGCAACCCAGACTAGTCTAGTCAATAAAAGTGTTACTCTTGGGGTGTAGACAATAATTTAAAGATTTAACCCCTAATCTCTCCATCCTCTACTACTCTCGAAAATAACAGAGAATCTTTACCGTTCATTTTACTTTCTCAATTGGCCAAAGGTTTGATGAAGAGAAAGAGGAAACCAAGGACAAAGGACATAAAACTTTTTACTTCGTTCCATCTCCAAAAGGGAGATAAACCATTATTGAAAATCTACTAAAAGCCATGAGCTTTATTTGTATTTTTTCTAACAAGTATGTGTTATTCTCATTTTACAGAAGAATAAAACATTAAATAAAAACTTTCCTTAGGTAGAGCCAGAACTCAAATCTAGATGCGGTTACCAAACCAATGTTTTAAAACATGGTTTTAAAAAGTTAAAGTAACATTGTACTTCTAGAAACCAAAAAAGTCAATTATAATTTCATTATGCAGAGGTTACCACTGTTCACTGTTTCTAATATACACATACACACACACACACACACACACAAACAAATCTTAAAGATATTCAGGTATCTGAATCATTGTTTACAAATAGTTTGGTTTACTTTTTTTCACTTAACACACCAAAAATCTCTTCCCAATACCTATTATATATTTCAGTAACTTTTCAAAAAGGATGCATGATATTTTACTCCATGACTGTACCTTATACTGATTAACCAATCTCCTATTACTGTATAAATTGTTTCCAATTTTGTGCCATAATATTACTGTACATAAATCTTAGTGCACAACCTTATTTCTTTCAGATAAATTGCTAGAAGTGAAGCTTCTGTGTGTTCCATAACAACACATACTAATTTAAAAGTCATATCAGTTTGTGTTTGAATCATGGGACTTCTTTTCTGAGAATGCATCTTTTTTCACATCGTTTTTACACACAAAGGGGTTGGGATCACTGTTCTTTCAGAATTCTCTCAGCTCTAAAATGCTGATTAACTGTGGGTATTACACAAATTAGTATGGAGTAGTTGATAGTAGCCTTTACTTTCAGTTAAAATGAAAACCCTGCCTAATTGAAGATGAACAGTGCTGTCTTTTGCTAGGGCTAATCATAAGCCTTTTTATTTGAAGTTTGAGAAAAGCATAACACTACTCTAATACATTATATCTTTTGGCTCTTTGAGATAAGTGAGATGAAATATGATACTTAGAATAACAGTGAAGATAATGTAATGGAGAGGCAAAATCATGTTCATTACTAAATCCCTGCCAAATGCTCAGCTACTTACTGGAAAATTAGTTTTTAATAACATAATGAAAGTGAAAGCCAATCCACTCTGTTGACTTTGAAAATGTCACTCTCTAATGTAGTAGTGGACAGAATGTAAAAAGTCCTTTGCTATGTATCCTGGGATTATCCATCATATTTTGAGATATCGAGAGAATATAGATACTGGGTCCTTAGGAAATAGACAACTAAAATGTTATATTTAGTTGGAAGGAAAGAAGCTTACTCCTTCTTGCATTTATGAAGGGATACTTGTAGCTCAATGTGCAAAAAAAGGTGAGTTTTAAGAGTTATACCTCTTATTCATGGTTATGTGATAATAAAGTTTTTTCTGGGGTAGTTTTGAAATATTTAAATGAACACAAGTATAAACCAAACGGGACTCACAGAGGTCTTCGATGACAGGAAGAAAGTCAGTTCGCTGCAAAATGCTTAACTCAGTGAGACTGTGTAAGGTTTCAAAGTGATTTGCATGTTGAAAATAAACCATGATTTTTTGAGTTCACAATGTTCCCTCTCAATTTATGGAGTACAGAGGTATATAATTTCAAGGACTTATCATGCTCATTATTCACAACATAAAAAATCAATGAAACATCTGCCTTTAAAAAAATAGGCCATATATATATATATATGTCTGAGGTGTAGCGGTGCAATCACAGCTCACTACACTGCAGCCCGAGGGACATGTCACCACACCTAACTAATTTTTTTTTATTTTTTGTGGAGACGTGTGTCACTTTGTTGCCCAGGCTGGTCTGGAACCCCTGCCTCAAATGATCTGCCTGCCTAGGCTTCCAAAATTATGGGACTACAGGCATGAGCAGTGACCAAGTTTTAATTTTTAAAAGTTAATTATCTAGAATGTAAACTTAGTGAAGGCTGGAAATGTACAATTATTTTCTTAATCCAAAATACTTTATTATGGGTAATACTCATTTAATATTTATTGGTAATCACTGAGAGCCAAGGTAAAGTGATGATCCAAATGAATTGAATGTCATGATTTAAATAGGCAATTCTCAAATTAGGGGGTTTGGGTAGAAAAATAATATCAAAAAGTTCTTGTAGTTAAAAAAAAATCAATATGCTTAACATGCCTATTTATTTTCTTAAACTACAGAAAGCAAATCTCACATGCTTTGCTTGTAAGAATATGCAAAAAAAGTAAATGCTGTATTAACTGAAAAACTCTAAGTACTATATTTTAATTTCGTGAATGATATGGGTGATGTCATATAGACTGCTATTTTCAGTACATTATAAAATTACCAAAATGTTCAATTTTCTACCTTTAAAAAGTAGGAAAATATCCACTTGGCAACCAACCATCAAATTAATAACTGATTCAAGTAAGAATTATCAACAATACTAAAAGTAGCAGATGCAAGTTGGAAGAGAAACAGCCTATATGCAGTATCTGCCCACAAATTACTTATTATTTCCAAAAGGAAAAACAGGAGTGTTACACTGAAGAAACTACTTTGTATTGGTGCATGCAAAGAGGTGAACATACTGATGTTGACAGCCAGAGTCTTTCCATGTAATTGCTTAAAGCAAAAATTATCACATGGTTTTGAAGGTTAGCTACATAAGCAGAGGTAATGCACATGTCAACTATAGCATGAAGGATGAGAAGAGGACAGATGGACCTATATAGTTGCAAGGTTTCTACATTTTAAGTTAAGTGGTACAATATTAACTCTAAGTGGATTGTTAAAGGACTTATTTTGTCAAAATTGATAAAAAAGCAAGACCCAATTCTATTTGTTTACAAGTCATGAATTTTACATATAAACATAACAGGTTAAAAGTAAACTGATAGAAAAAGATATATCAGGCCAACAGAAAACATAATAAGGACTAAGTGGCTATGTTATTATCAAATAAAATAGACCTCAAGATAAAGATTACCAAACATAAAAAGACATTTCTTAATAAGTAAATGTAACATCTAATAGCAAAGTTTTGACTAGTTTTGTTACTAAAGTTTGAATGGAACACAGCCATGACTAATCATTTATGTATTGTCTATGGCTGCTTCTGTGCTGCAATAGCAGGGTTGAGTTGTTGTGACAGAAACTATGTTCCAGAAAGCCTAAAATATTTACTATCTGCCCCTTTACAGAAAATGTTTGCTAAATCTTGCAAAGGATTAAGTCACAAACAGGACACATGGCTGGTACGATGGTATATATGCCAAAAGCAAAGTTGTAAATATAGTTCATAACTATTTGAAGGCAGGAAAAGAATCAAATTACAGTAAGACTTTGAGTTTTAGGAAATATAACTTGATAAGTACCTGTAACATATGAATGAATGACCAAAGGTAGAAGTAGAAATTCAAACATATTTTCATTTAACTGACAGTGCTAACTCATGACAGAATCTCTTTTTATTCTTAAGTAACTAGTCCTTATAATATATAAGTAAATAGACCCAAATGGACACTGACCTGATAATTTCCTAAGACACAGCATACAGTTTCATTCTTTTTTTCCTGACATTAAATTAATGAACAATTTAATATAAACTTTAACCAACCAAATTTTATGAGATGTGTCTATTTGTTCAAGTGGCAAGTGTAAATAGTAACGGAACTGTGTTAATGTATACTTTGGAGACAAACTCTCCCCAGCAAAATTTTAAGAGGATGCGAGTAATCCTAATATAATGATGCACTTCCTAAGTTTTGTTTTTTCCATTAGGAAATGGACATGCATACACACATACAAAACCCTGACTATGGTGGTGGTTCAAATTTGATTAAATTTTTTTTTTTAGAAAAAAAATATTTACACACACTTTTGCTTTTTTAATATGAGGTACACAGTCCAACAAGAAAAAAAAAGTAACTGATATAGTAAAGGCACTCAGAAAAACAACAGAAACAATATGAAAGGTGTTACAAGAGACAGAAAGAGATGAAGGATGATGATTAGTACTCACCTTCTTCAAAGCTGCAGTACGGACTTTCTTCTTTAGGGAGAGAAGATTAGAAATAAACAGGTTAAAATTACATTAAGAAAGGGCTACTACATATATATAATGGGGTAATTATTTATATAGATCTTTAAGAAAAGGCAAATTGAGTTCTTTAAACACATACTTGTGAGAATGGGACAGATCTGCATTATCTAACAGGATGGTTATCAAAATTAAATTTAATAAAATCAAAAATTTAGTTTTTTCAGTTGCAAAGGCCAAATTTCAAGTGCTCAATGGCCACTTTTAGCCACTGGCTATGGGACTGGACATCATAGAACACTGTCATTATCACAGAAAATTGTATAGGGTAGCACTAGGCTAGGCTGTCTCAAGATGTCTAAATTGGAAAGATAAATTGATTTTCCCTAGAATTTTTGGTTCATTCATTCATTTCTTTCTTTAACGTTTTGTCTCTTTTATTTTATAGACCCTTTTATTCTTCAGTCTTATCTATCCACTTAAACTTTTTCATATTTGGTTGAAAATGCATGCAATTTCAAAAGAGAAACAGAATGTATCTCCTCTATAGAACAAATAGTAATTTAAAATGTTTTACTCTGCATAATATTTTTTAAAAAATTTCCAGAACTGTACAAATCTAAATTCACTTAAATCAAACAGACATATGGTGAAGAAAACACCAAGTAAAATTAATGACTGTATTGGTATAGCAATAAAATCAATCAAAATATTGATGTAAAAACGTTTCTTACAGAGTAGTTAGAGGATATGATTCAAATGAAAAGTACAGAAGGACCCTTGTATTTTAAAAAAAATAAAGATATTTAACCTATGCTTTAAAATTAAATGAACCAATTAAAAACTATTAGGACAACAAATTAAATACAATTCATATCAGAATTAACAGTAAATAATATTTTTCTGAATATGCAGCAAGAGTAGAATCCAAATTATCCTTATGTAAATCATAAGAAACTTATAATTAATTATAGATGATCTGGACCACTATGCAACATTTGAAAAAAGAGAAAAAAACACTAAATATACCTTACAAATAATTCTACAAGTTCTTAGATTTTTTATGAGACAGCTATTGTGTTAAATGTAATCATTTAAATGTAATAGTTTAACACAATGACAGTTTTCTAATTTTTATACATTTTATTACCATTGCATTTTTTTCAAATTTAGAAATTATGCTACAGCAGTATAAAAATTATTTTAAATTCACTAATATTTTCTTTTGTGCTTCTTCAGAGACAAACTTCTCTAGCAGTAAAATCATACCTTCTCTCTTTTTACTTTACTTTTTACTTTTACTCTCTCTATATTTTTATTTTGTAATCTTTAGGACTGTTATACCAAGAAAGTTTGGTCTTAAGATCTAAATAATCACAAATGAGAATAAATAAGACAGGCAAAACAGAATAGAAAGCAACTAAGAAAAAGGAAAGAACCTTAGAAAAATGATAATGGAGGTTAAAAATGATTTTCTAATGTAAGAACCAAAGAAAACCTTAAGCCATAAAAGCCAGAAACAAAAAGTAAAACTTAGAAAATTAAATTTCTATTCAAACTATCAAATAAAAAACATGCAACAGATCAGGGTCTTTACTAAATTAGATAATAACTTCTTATTGTTACGAAGTCACAAATTAACTCCCCTACCCACCCCCCCTCCAATAGATAAATACATCAAAAATATCATGAGATTACAAATTCCAAAATGCCATAATGTCTATATACTGAGATTCACAGTTTCTGGATTTATTTTTCCACCACTTAAACTGTGGATCATTGCTATCATGTGGGAGTGTTTGTTCAATTCCTCTTGCTGAAGTTTCACCAAGGACTCTTTCTCTTCCAAACGACCTTCTAATTGTGCCTTTTGAACCTCTAGGGAGGAAGCCTAAGGAATTGGGGTTGGGGGAGGAGGAAGAATTGAGAAGAAAAATAACTTTAATGTTTTCTCTATACATATATTTTAAGATGCTTTTATTTTTTATTGTACAACAACCATTTCAAGACATACTATAAATATTATACTTCAGTTAATTCAATTACATGGTAAGTTTAAAATGAATAATCATTAAACAATATAATACAAATTGAGAATACACTTTCAACTTGTCTTAAGTTAATGCCAGCAGCTGAAATTTTGCAGAAAATACTACACACTACATATTAAAATTACTAATAAGATAATCACATTAAAGCAGAACCAGAAAAACTGTAAATGTGGTACTAAATTTTATGCCTCTTCTGTTACTCAGTAGTAGTAGTAGATCAGTCTTTAATCCTAGTCTGTTCTCATCTTCCTGGTAGTAAACGGGCCAGAAAGTACAATTCATAGCTACCACTCAAGCTATGCAACCATGGTAATATAGAAAGAACCCCGGACTCAGATTCAGAATATATACCTATTGATTCACTTATTAGCTGTGTGACTTTAGTAAGTAACCTCAGACTCAGTTTCTTCAGTTGTAAGTTGAAAATATTTATTAACACATTATATAATATTTGTTAAAGTGAAAATTATACAGCTACCTATATATGACATCAAGTACTGGTAACCCCTTTCTGTATTCTTTGCACACTTGAAAATACCAGGTGCTGACACAAAGTATCTGTTTAATAACTGCTTAACTATTTTAGAAAATACATTATGAAAACCTCATAACAAATGATACTCAAGCTGCTTTGAGATCCTAATATCTTCTAAAAAATTTGCTGAAGAAACAGTACATTCCTTTATCCATATTCACCCTTTTCACAACAGACTTTTTTATTTTACTGCAAATGAGAAATGGAACAGATTCTTACCTTAATGCTCAACTCTTTTCTTATCTGTTCTGTTCTGCTTAATTCTTTTCTAAGGATATCAATGGTTTCTTCCTTATCTTCCCTTTCCTTTTGTAAGGTTTTAATCTTTTCTTCTTGTACTTTTGTTTTTTGATGCAAATCTTAAAAGAAAAAAAAGTCAAGTATTATACTCAGAGGTCTTACACTGACTACTCTGAAATGGTCTAGTAGCTACTGTAAGAGCAAAAGAGAAATAACTAGAACAAGGAAGAGAAACTTCTCTTATGACAGTATTCTATAGAAAATACCAAATCTCCATGTCTTTCTTCCATCCTCTGTTCTAAATATAATATGCTATATAGGTAAAGGACAATTCTCAAAAGTGTAAGGGTTAGAAAAGGGAGAGCTACAACTATGAAAAATTATATAGGTAGGTGCCTGCGCTCTAAGGCAAGTGAGAACAAAAATGTTTTTCAGGATCATTTCAAATATACCATTAAGAAGCTAGTAACTAAAAGTTACCTAATACTGCCACCTGCTGTTACGTTCCTTCAACATTTTTTTATTTTGAAAAGGGCAATCCATAATCCTATGTGATTTAACGAAGGAACAGAAAACCAAATACTCCAAGTTTTCACTTCTAAGTGGGAACTAAACATTGAGTACACACAGACTTAAAGATGGAACCAATAGACACTGCAGACTAGAGTTGGCAGGAGGTTGAAAATTACCTATTGCTACCTATTTGGTACTATGCTTACTACCTGGGTGATGAGATCCATACCCCAAACATCCGTGTCATGCAATATACCCAGTGTAACAGACCTGCACACATGCCCCCTGATTCTAAAAGTTGAAATAATAAAAAAATTAAATTAAATTAAATGGTCAATCATCTCTTTCCTTTTGTTTTTTTTTTTTTTTTTTTTTTTTTTGAGACAGTCTTGCTTTGTCACCCAGGTTGGAGTGCAGTGGCGTGAACATAGCTCACTGCAGCCTTGACATCCAGGTTCAAGAGATTCTCCCACTGTAGCTTCCTGAGTAGCTGGAACTACAGGTGCACACTAACACACCTGGCTAAATTTTTGTATTTTTTGTAGAGATGGGGTTTCACCATGTTGCTCAGGCTGGTCTCAAACTCCTGAGCTCAAGCAATCTACCCATCTCCAACTCCCAAAGTGCTGGGATTACAGGAGTGAGCCACTGTGCCTGGCCAATTTCTTATAGCTCCTAAATTTAAAAAACGTACCACTTTTTCAACTTGATTAAACCGAACTGCTTTTGTGAAACATTATGTCAAGAAAAGGGAAGCCATTCCAAATATGATTTAAAGTTTAAAACAATAAGTAGAAAATAAAAAAGCAAACAAAACCACTCATGCTTCCAAAATAAATACATTAAAAATAGAAAATGTATTAAATAAGAAGCCACTTACTTGCTAGCTTATGTTCTCTGTCTACTAGCTGATTCTGTACTTCTTTTCTCTGTTCTTCTTTCTCTATTAATTGGGCAATACTTCTGAAGTTATTAAAAAAAATAGAAGAAAACATTAATGAACCATATACCATTTGTAACTTTTTCTCCCTACCAAGCACTTTGGGAGGCCAAGGCGGGCAGATCACAAGGTCAGGAGATCGAGACCATCCTGGCTAACATGGTGAAACCCCGTCTCTACTAAAAATATAAAAAAAAAAAAAAAAAAAAAAAGGTCTCGTTCTGTCACCCAGGCTGGAGTGCAGTGGCATGATCTTGTGCTCACTGCAACCTCTGCCTCCCGGGCTCAAGTGATTCTCCTGCCTCAGCCTTCTGGGTAGCGGAGATTACAGGCACCCGCCACAACACCCAG